>NC_000006.12:30363030-30666060 GCF_000001405.40 Homo sapiens
CAAAGCTCAAAATGTAATTTTGTATTATTTTAAGTATTTGTGAAACATTATACAAATTAAATAACTTTGTTTTAAAAAAACAGAAACATCGCTGTGCTACAGTATTCCAAAACTTCCAAAGATCCTACTACCCACTTATGTTGTTATTAGACATTATAAATTTGCTTTTTGATTCAAAAATTTCACTGTAGTAAACAGAGCTATTTGTTCCTGAAAACTAACTTTTAGGGTTTGTACCGGTGAGAACTTTCTCCTTCAGGAGCCTGCAGTATGTGTGGGCAAAATCAGATTCTATGATGCCTGGTATGGAACTTCTGTTTCCTTCAGGGTGACAGAGGGTCATATTGTTCTCTGCAGAGCTCCAATGCATCCCCATCTTCAATCCCGCCAGGCCAAAAGCAATCCCTAAGATAAGTCTGGGTCTTTGTGGCTGATGTTTGTAAACTGTGTTGAACCTGTAATGAGGCCTTCATTTCCCTTTAGGCTTTGGTTAAAAGTGTGTCACAATTGTGGATCAATGATTAAGTTAAACTTCTCATGAAGTGGCAGATTATATGCTGTGCCTGGTGGTGAGGTTTCAGGTTTCAGGTTCCTGCTGCTAAAGCTCTGCATCCCTTCCACTGCAGGCCCTTACTTGGGGCAACAGTACTTGTCCTGTGAGGACCTGTCAGTGTCACCCCCAGTGCTGGTGGTGCTCAATGGTTGTTATGGAAACCAGGGATTAGGTAATGTTCTCTAGTTTCTACATAGGAAAACTGATCACATTCAACTGAGGAAACATTGCTCACTAAGGAAACGGATGGATCCCCACCAAACTTTCTTGAACGGCACTCAACATTGGTCCCTCAATGTCAGACTACATGTTCAACAGAGTAAAATATGCCCCTGGGATTCTCTCAAGATTGCTCAAGGCTTTGCTTTGGTATGTCATCATTTTATGCATCATTGTTGGAAGCGAGAAAAGTTTTAACAATTGTCATGTTATATCCAGAGGATAAAGCTGAATCTAATATCTAGATTTCTATGTATCAACTGGCAATGTTTGGGAACCGGCAATACTTAAGAACCTTATAAAGTCAGGGCTTTGAAGTGTACTTTAAAATAGATTTCCCATCCTCTGAAGTACACAAACATCTTTCCAAAGGCACCTAACCCACAAGGATTCCTCTTGATAGAACCAGATGTGAAGTTGCTACAAAGAAATGATGGTGTATGAGAAACCATGACTTCCCAGGGTCTGCGTTTGCTGAAGTCACTGATTATGAAGTCATTTTCTCTGTGGGTTTGGGTGTTAGGAAGAATCCACTGTGACTCCATTGTGGATCCATCCTCACTCAACATTCAGAAAATCAGCAGCACATTTGGTCAACACGGCATCTTTCCCTTGCACTGCTGGATGGAGCTAGTCCAGGCGACATGAACTTCTTTCTCTCACTCTCTCTCTCTTTTTTTTTTTTTTTTATACAAAGTCTTGCTCTGTTGCCAGGCTGGAGTGCAGTGGCATGATCTTGGCTCACTGCAACCTCTGCCTCCCAGGTTCAAGTGATTCTTCTGCCTCAGCCTCCTGAGTAGCCCATCTAATTTTGTATTTTTAGTGGAGACGGGGTTTCACCATGCTGGCCAGGATGGTCTCGATCTCCTGACCTCCTGATCCACCCTCCTCACCCTCCCAAAGTGCTGGCCTTTTCCCTTTTGTAGTCTTCACAGTGTCTTTTGATCTTGGGCTCCACAGAGTGGCATCTACAGGTCATAGTTGTCAGTGACTCAGGGAGACCAGGAGGTGGCAGGCAAGTGAGGGGAACCCAGAAGTAGCCAGTACCTGTTCAATGCCAGAAAAACCTGGCCAGGACATGCCCTTCAGTATTGAGGGACACAGTGGCAGCTGTGGTGAGAACTGTGGAAACCAGCATAAAGCTGAATTATAAATCAGTATATGTGGTCCAGTACAGACTGCTTCCAGGCTCTCTGTGGTCACAATCACAATTAGAATTGGATTATAATTAAATCCAAGTCTCTCTGAGCATTATATTGTCACAGTCTATCACTGTCTCTAGAGGAGATTAAATAAATATTTTTGGATCTATCATTGATGCATTATCAATGATTTTGTAAAGTAAATTATGAAAACCTAAAAAAATGTCTCCTGGCTATTTATCCTTCACTTGCCAGTCACTATGATTGTCTCTTCCCATTTTCCTGTTCTTCTCAGGGTGTTTCTGGGACCTTCAGTAGAAATTCTCAACTCCAGGTTTTCAGCTGTTTCTGCACAGAGGACATAGTCCTGTCCCAAACTCTCTAGTGTCACACACACACACACACACACACCCCGTCCTGAGACCCCTTCCTTTCTCTCAAGTTTCTGGGATCACATCACATGTCCCAGTGGTTGTACCTCCAGGATTTTGAAGTGTCTCATCTCCTCCTGCTTTCCTAAGGAGAAAGGATGGAGGAAAGGAGCCTGGTCTCTTCAGGATTTTTTTCATATTTAGGCCCTTCTAGCCTGGGAATGAAAGGACACCACACATTAGTGAGCAATTATGGAGGCACCAAGAGACGTCATCCAGCAACTGTGCATGGGAGGGAGGTTCAACAGGAGGACCAAAGAGCCAGATCATAGAAAGGATCACGAGAAAGGAGTGGGGGAGCTAGCAGGTTCCCAGTGGCAAATCAATTACAGAGTAGACCAAATGCCTGCAAGTGTGCAGAGGTTCTGAGCCAGGGGTTATTGTCTTGTGCATCTTCTAGCTACTTTGGATTTACCTTCCCCTACATGACTCCCACAACCTTTAGCTGCTGCACATCTTGTTGAGTGACAACCTGCAATTCTACTCTACTCTGGGCTCCACACTGTGTTGCCCACCCCGTCCTAGTGCCAGAAACATGGAAAATCCCAGCCCAGGGGCTCCCTTGTTCACTCCCATTCTGCCCCTTCACTGGGGTGTGCAGGTGTTAGACCTCTCCTCTGCTCCACAAGTGGGAGCTTCAGGCTTTCCCGACCCTGCCCCCGAGCCTTTGTAGCTGCACCATCTCTAGTGCCTGTCCTCCTGGATCCCAGCGTAGTCTCCACAGCCCTAGATCTTGTCACTCTTTCTGTTGTTCAGAGTTCTTCAAAATCTCCCAACTCATTTTATTGCCTCCAGTCTTGCTCTGACCCAAGCAAGACTTGGGTCAGTGCCCTACAATTGCAGGAATCCTGCTGAAACAAAAATCCACTTTTGTTTCTTTCTTACTTAAAATATTTTAATGACTCACTATTAACCTCAGGATAACACCCAAATTCTTAACCAATTTTCCCAACCCTGTGTGAACAGGACCTTGCACACTTTTCCAATTTTCTCTCTCTCTCCTCTTGCACTAGCCAGTGATTCTGCTTACAGTTTCACAAACATGCTGCAAAGCCTTTCATTTTTTGGTCGGACTAGGTGTTCCCTTTGCTTGGGTCTGCCTAATTCCTGCTTTTTTTTTTTTTTTTTTTATACTTGGATTCCTGTTGGAAGTTTAGCCTGCTTTCCTGAAACTGGCTTTGCTCTTCCTCCTTTCTTTTCTCACAGATCCTTTCCTTCCTTCTCAAAGCACTTTTTGTAGTAGCTTCTATTCATCTGGCTCATGTATTTCTTTCTCACTACACTGTAACTTCAGAACATAAATGCCTATGTTTATGCTCCTCACTGTTCTATTTTCAAGGAGGAGCACAGAAGCTGGCATATTCTGGGCCTTCAAGCTGTATTTGTTGGATAGATGAAAAATAGGGATTCTTACAGTAACAATGCACACTGAGAGTGTCTCTCCATAGTGAGAGTTCAAGAGACAACACATACAAATTTAAAAAAAATTTACTTTTAAAATGTGTAACATTAGGTATGACACTAAAAAAGGTGTCCATCTCCCCTACTGGACACCAGGATCAATGAAGACAGCTACACTGGCTTACTTACTTTTCCCTCAAACAGTCTACGTTTGATCCCTGTTTGTTGAAATAGTGATTCACATAAAATGGATGAGAAAATGGAGACACAGAGAAGTGAAGGACTCTGTCTAGAATCACACAGCTGTCAAACTCTCGGGCTTAAGCCATTTCCATGCCTCTGCCTTCCAAAATGCTAGGATTACAAATGTAAGTCACCACACCAGCCAGCATCATATAACTAATTTGTTATTGCTTAAAAAGGAAAAAATGGAAAGTGAGCTGATGGAGAATGAAATATGGACAGAGGAAGATGATGGGAAGCTTTGAAGGGCTGCCCTTGACTCTGTGTGTGTGTGCGTGTGTGTGTGCGTGTGTGTGTGTGTGTGTGCATGTGCGTGCCCCTTATTCTCTCTTAAGCTACGTCTAACCTCATAGGGATCACTGGGGTCCCTGTCAGCCACAGCCACACACATCCACAGAAACCTTGACCTATTGACAGATGTAAGAGGGTGGCCTTTGAGAGTTCTGAATCCCTACCTCATAGGATTCTGGATATCTGGACACTTTCTTCTTACGCTGTTTCTGCATCGACCTTAGGGACTGTGTTTGGGGTGTTTCCTGCACTCATCTTGTGACAGAGTTCTATTTGCTCCTCAGATGGCCTCTTTTCCCTTGGAGTGGAACCGTGGCTATCAGGGTCTTGGGCCGAGCATCCATGAGTGACTGTGTGAGTTGCTAGAAGCAATCTTATACTTTCATAGCCACCCCACACTTCACAGTGATACTCATCTCTAAGAAATTATTCAAATTAAGAGAGAAAGCTACACATATAAACAATTGATGGACTTGATTGATTAACATGGAAAAGCATTAACTTTCCAGTTTTCTGCCTCTCACTGGAATTTTATCCCTACACTTTGAACTCATTTCAAACTTCTGGCTTAACTAGGAATTGCTATAGTCAGGCTATTCTAGACAGCTCCTGTGAGCCACTAGGATTCAGAGAATACAACACATCTTTTCCAATTTAAATATGTAGTTCTAGAAAAAAACTATTTTAAGGTCAGGCTTGGTGGCTCATGTCTGTAATCCCAGCACTTTGGGAGGCCGAGGCGGGCAGATCACTTGAGGTCAGGAGTTCGAGACCAGCCTGGCCAACATGGTGAAACCCAGTCTCTACTAAAAATACAAAAAATAAAAATAAAATTACCCAGGTGTGGTGACACATGCCTGTAATCTCAGCTACTTGGGAGGCTGAGGCATAAGAATTGCTTGAACCTGGGAGGTGGAGTTTACAGTGAGCCCAGATCATGCCACTGCACTCCAGCCTGGTGACACAGCAAGACTCCATCTAAAATAATAATAATAAATAAACAAATAAAAAGAAAAAGAAAAAACTATTCTAAAATTCATATGGAACCAAAAATAGCTAAGGCCATCCTAAGCAAAAAGAACAAAGCTGGAGGCATTATGCTATCTGACTTCAAACTATACTGCAGTGCTACAATAACCAAAACAGCATGGTATTGGTACATAAACAGACACATAGACCAATGGAACAGAAAGAGAACTCAGAAATGAGGCTGCACACCTACAGCTATTTTATGTTTGACAAACTTGACAAAAACAAGCAATGGGGAAAGAATTCCTTATTCAATAAATGGTGCTAGGATAACTGGCTAGTCATATGCAAAGATTGAAACGGGGCCCCCTTCCTTACACCATATACAAAAATTAACTCAAGATAGATTAAAGACTTAAATGTAAAACCCAAAACTATAAAAACTCTAGAAGACAACATAGGCAATACCATTCAGGACATAGGAATGGGAAGAGATTTCATGATGAGGACACCAAAAGCAATGACAACAAAAGCAAAAATTGACAAATGGGATCTAGTTAATCTAAAGAGCTTCTGCACAGCAAAGAAAACTAGCAACAGAGTAAATAGACAACCTACCCAATGGGAGAAAAGTTTTGCAAACTATGCATCTGACAGAGATCTAATATCCAGCATCTATAAGGAACTTAAAGAAATTTACAAGAAACAACCCCATTAACAAGTGGGCAAAGGAAATGAACAGACACTTCTCAAAAGAAGAAATACATACAACCAACAATCATATGAAAAAAGCTCATCATTGATTATTAGAAATGCAAATCAAAACCACAATGAAATACCATCTCACACCAGTCATAATGGTTATTATTAAAAAGTCAAAAAATAACAGGTGCTGGCCAGGTTGCTGAGAAAAAGGAACGCTTATACACTGTTGGTGGGAGTGTAAATTAGTTTAACCATTGTGGAATACAGTGTGGCAATTCCTCAAAGACCTAAAAACAGAAATACCATTCAGCCCAGCAATCCCATTACTGGGTATATACCCAAAGGAATAGAAATCATTCTGTTATAAAGACATATACATGTGTATGTTCATTGCAGCACTATTCACAACAGCAAAGACGTGGAATCAACCTAAATGCCTACCAATGGTAGACTAGATAAAGAAAATGTGGTACATATACATCATGGAATATTATGCAGCCATAAAAAAGAACAACATCATGTCCTTTGCAGGAACATGAATGGAGCTGGAGGTCATTATCCTTAGAAAACTAAGGCAGGAATGGAAAACCAAATACCACATATTCTCACTTATAAGTGGAAGTTAGATTATAACACATGGACACAAAGAGGGGAACAACAGAGACTGGGGCCTATTGGAGGCTGGGAGGAGGGCAAGGATTAGGAAAAATAACTAATGGGTACTAGGCTTAATACTTGAGTAATGAAATAATGTATACAATAAATCCCCATGATACAAGTTTACCTATATAACAAACCTGCACACGGACCCCTGAACTTAAAATAAAAGTTAAAAAAACATAAAGGTCTAGCTGGATCAGTGGGCTTCTAGGATCCTTCTTCAGTAATACTGAGGTAAATAGCACAAACCATGAGTTTACTCTTTTCATAATCCATGACACATCACACTTAATATTTGCTGAGTTTAAACAAGTCTCTTAAACACATCACTAGTTTACATCAGCTGTGGAATCTTTGCTTTGTCAATCAGGGGTCAACAAGCCCATCTACACTTGCCATCATTAACTAATGTGCAGGATTGTGTCTTATCAAATCAGCAGCCACCTTCTCTGCCGAGAAGCAAGGAGTATGTCTCCCAGAATCCCCTTCCCTGTGTAGTTCCGATTCACATTTTCCAATCAGAGAAACTTGCATGAGATATGGTGCCCAGAAGAGATGGAGAGACAGGCCTCTACCCATCAGTCGTGGCTGCAGGCAGAAGAGTAGGCAGATGTCAGGTTCTCAGTGGCTTCTGTGCTAGGCCAAAGACCCATCTGCTTTGCCTGTGCAGACCGAGATGAATGGTGGGAGCTTTCTCAGAGGTTCTGGAGAATGACAGCAATCTCCCAGCAGGGTTCTAGGAACCTCCCACCTGTGCTTCAGGCTAAGTTCTTCAGCACATGCTTCCCTGACCTCCCAGCTGCAGCCTCCAAGAGCTACAATGGTGACTGGTATTAGTATTCTGTTTCTGCTGTAACAAATTACTGCTATGAAGTGGCTTAAAACAACGCAAATTTATTATCTTACAGTTCTGGAGGTCAGAAGTCTGATATGGGTCTCTCTGGCCTAAAATAAGGGGTCATCAGGGCTGCATTCCTATGGCGGCTCTGAGGGAAAATCTGTTTCCTCACCTTCTCCACTTCTTAAGGCTGCCTGCATTCTTTGGCTCGTGGTTCCTTCCTCCATCTTCTAAAGTCAGCAGTCCCATCACTTTGACCTCTGATTCTGTTGTCACATCTCCCTCTCCAATTCTCACTCTGCTGCTACCTTTTTCACTTATAACGACCATTGTGATTGTATTGGACCTGCCTGAATAATACAGGATAATCTTCCCATCTCATGAGCCTCAACTTAATCACATCTGAAAACTTCCTTTTGTCATATTAGGTGACATTTTCACAAGTTCCAGGGGTTAGGACATAGGCATCTTGGGAGACCTTTATTTTGCCTACAACATGACTTCACCAATATTTGCTCTCCTAGATTTTCCAACATTAGTATAGGCTCTAATTCCTATATTGAACACGTTATTCCTAAAATGTTATACTAGAGTGTGGTGGTTTTCCTGGAAAAAGCTACA
Source organism: Homo sapiens (assembly GCF_000001405.40). Taxonomy (NCBI): domain Eukaryota; kingdom Metazoa; phylum Chordata; class Mammalia; order Primates; family Hominidae; genus Homo; species Homo sapiens. Next base: position 30,371,104 of record NC_000006.12, read on the forward strand.
CTAATACACTTCCTTACCTCAGAAGAGCTCAAAAGTTACCTTTCTATTATCTTTTTTTTTTTTTTTTTTTTTTGAGGGGAGTGTCGCTCTGTTGCCCAGGCTGGAGTGCAGCGGCGCGATCTCGGCTCACTGCAAGCTCCACCTCCTGGGTTCACTCCATTCTCCTGCCTCAGCCTCCCAAGTAGCTGGGACTACAGGCGCCCGCCACCATGCCTGGCTAATTTTTTTTTTTTTTTTTTTTTGTATTTTTAGTAGAGATGGGGTTTCACCGTGTTAGCCAGGATGGTCTCCATCTCCTGACCTCGTGAACCGCCTGCCTCGGCTTCCCAAAGTGCTGGGATTACAGGCGTGAGCCACCGCGCCCGGCCTACCTTTCTATTATCTTAAAGTCTCCAAATGGTACCACCATCTCAAGGTGCAATGGCTGTAATTTAAGCAACGACTTTGCGGGGGTGATGGAGGGAGACAAAAAGAAATGACTGGAAAGCACTTCTGATTCCATGCCCTGTCCCTGGTGTCTGGCCGTCTTGGACTCTAGGCTGCAGTTTCTCTCCTACATAAACCCAGTCATTTCTGAGTCTCCAAGAGTGTTTTATAGGATTCATGTCCACTTCTTGGCTCTGTCATCTTCTCTCTACCTTGTCTTATAGCTCCGCGCTTACATTTTCTTCTCACCTACTGCTATAGTCCTGCCTTGATTCTTCAGCCATTGTCCTCTTTTTACCTTGTGTATGCTTAAGCCAATTCTCCAAGAAGAAATTCCAGATGGCTCTTTATTGCTGTTTGTTTGTTACTATTTTTTATTTGGCTGAAGAGTTTTCAAGATTCTTAACTTTCTATTTTTAAAATTTTAGTGTACAAATAATACATGCTCAGAGTTGGAAATGAAATCATCACAATATGTATAAATATATTTTAAAATATCTTCTATCTCTAAATCTATGCCCACTTTACTAAGGTAATTTATGTTATCAATCTACTCTCTATGTGTCTACTTTCTCCATTTTCATACAAACATAGGCACCTATATTAAGTGTTGAGTGTTTTTACTTTGTAGCTTTTTTTTAGCAAAAGTCCTCAAATTTTATTTGTAGTTTAATCATTTTACAACAACTTGAGATATAATTTACATATCATAAAATTCACACATTCATTATATACAAGTCAGTGGTTTTTAGTATATTCACATAGTTGTGCCAACATTATCATTATCAATTCCAGAACATTTTCATCACCCCACAAAAAACCCCATACCCATTGGCAGCCACTCCTCATTTCCTCTCAACTCCCCTAGCCCTAGGCAGCCACTAACCTGTGTTCCATATCTACAGATTTGCCTATTCTGGAAATTTCACGTAAGGGAAATTATACGATATGTGGCCTTTCGTGTCTGGCTTCTTTCACTTACCGTAACATTTTCATGGTTCGTCTGGGTTGTAGCATGTGGCAGTACTTCACGTCTTTTTTATTACTGAATAATATTTCATTGTATGGATATATCACAATTTGCCTATTCATTTATTAGTTGATGGACATTTGGGTTCTTTCTATTTTGTGCTATTATTAATAATGCAGCCGTAAGCATTTGCGTATAGGTGTTTGTGTGGACAGATGTTTTTGTTTCTCTTGGGTATGCTGTATACCTAGGAGGGGATAGCTGGGTCATATGCTAACTTAGTGTTTGACATTTTGAGGAAGTGCTGGCCTGTTTTCTAAAGGGGCTTCACCTCTTTATATTCCCACCAGCAGTATATGAAGCTTCCAGTTTCTCTGCATCCTCATCGGTGTTCATTATTATCTTTTTATTGTAGCCATTCTAGTGGGTGGTTACAACTAAGGGAAAAAATCAAACTTTAAAGAATTAACTTAGTTTTATTTGGAAATCTTACTGAGGACTATAGACGGAGGCCTACAACCCAAGAACAGCCCTTTAGAGAGGCTCTATCAGACTGTACCAGCTCAGTATTTCAGCCCACTGCTTATATTATAGGTGTTCTGTATTGCAACATCACATCACACTTGGTAAGAAGTTACATTAAAGCAGAATCACATCAAAGTTTGGAAGCAGGAATACGTCCAGTGTAGATTACAGAAGCATGATCACTATGCCCGTCAGACATTATCTTATGTGCAGGGAAAAGCAAGGGCATTCATCTTTTAAGGAATATAGTGGCTTAGGCAAGAGACGTTGGGGGCTGTGTGCTTTATCCTGTTTTGTCCTCAAAGCATCTTTCCAGAGAGTTGCACATCCTCACGATGAACTAGGAGGATGTGCAACTCTCACAGGGACTTTGTGAAATTATGCTGGCAAGTAAAAGTCAGCTTCTGACATTTACTACTTTGTCTCACAGTGTGAAATACTATCGCATTGTAGGGCCGATTTGCATTTTCCTGATGGTTAATGATGTTGAACATGTTTCCACGTGCTTATTGGCCTTTTGTATATTTTCACTGGAGAACTGTAAATCCAAATCCTTTATTTTTAAATTTGATTATTTGCCTTTTTACTATTGAGTTATAACCGGTTTTATATATTATAGACAAAATTTTCTCTTTTACCATATGTATGATTTGCAAAAATTTTCTCCCATTCTGTGGGGTTTTTTTTTTTCACTTTCTTGATGGCATCTGTAAACATACAAAAGTTTTTAAATGCGATGACGTCCAGTTTATCTTTTTCTTCTTTTTTTGCTTATGCTTTTGGTGTCACATTTAAGATTAGGTGCCTTTACTTAATCCAAAGCCATGAAGATTTATGCCTATGTTTTATTTTCTTTCTTTCTTTCTTTTTTCTTCTTCCTCTCTTCCTCCCTTCCTTCCTCCCTCCCTTCCTTCCTTCTTTCCTTCCTTCCTTCCTTACTTTCTTTCCTTTTTTTTCCTTGAGACACAGTCTCACTCTGTCACCCAGGCTGGAGTGCAGTGGTGCAATCACGGTTCATTGCAGCCTCAACTTCCTCAGGCTCAAGTGATTCTCCCACCTCAGCCTCCTGAGTAGGTGAAACTACAGGTGCATGCCACCACACCCGGCTAAATTTTGTATTTTTTGTAGAGACAGGGTTTTGCCATGCTGCCCAGTTTGGTCTACCAACTCCTGGGCTCAAGCAATCTGCCCACTTTGGCCTCCCAAAATGCTGGGATTACAGACATGAGCCATCGTGCCTGGCCTGTTTCCTTCTAAGAGTTTTCTAATGTTAACTCTTTCACTTAGGTCTTTGATACATTTTGAGCTACTTTTTATATATAGTTTCAAGATTTTCATTTTTCATTTTTCATTCATTGATACTGTATAGAAACACAATTGATTTTTATATTTTGATTTTGTATCCTGCCAATGTGATAAAATTCTTTAGTTGTAATGCTTTTTTAAAGTAAATTCTTTTGGATTTCTATGTATAAGATCATATCATCTGTAACGAAGGTAGTTTTACTTCTTTCTTTTCAATTCAGATGAGCTTTATTTTATTTTCTTGTTCATTGTAGCAAAAAATTCAACTATTCTATTTATAATGCCCTGTTACTTGATGTTTTTTATTTATATTGTGAACATCTCACCAATTTCATAGAGAAAGCTTGAGCTCATCATTTTAAACCCTAATTCCATAGTATTTTGCATGCAACTGCTTCTCTAGTGTAAATATTCAGATGGTTTCCTTTAGTTGTCACTACACTGAATGTCCACTGCACAGACATCTTTACACACATATCCTTACAGCCATCCCAGAGTTTTCTGATTTCCCACAGCACTACATGATAGTGGTTAATCTGATGATCTAACTGACTAGCTAGGCAGACTGACTGACTGACAATCCCATTGCTTCTGTATATAAAGTCAGTAACTACATTTGGAACTCAGCTTCTCTAGGCCCAGCCACGCTTACTTTCCTAGTCTTAGAGGTTCCCTCTCTGCCTCTAAATTTCTCTGTCCCTGAAACCACCCTTGTACTCCAGCCCAAGAGCGCTTGCAAACAGGTAGAAGGTATCATCTGGAGAAGGTAAGTAAGAGACTTATCTCCATTCCCTTCATATCTAATTACCAAATCTTCCATCTAGCTCAGTCAGGTTGAGTTGAAAACATCTTGACTTTAGTCATTTAGCCACTGAGCACATCATAGCTCTTTTCATACCTCAGTCTTATTCAAATATTTAATTTATCAAGCTCACTTATAAATGCCAAGCCTCTCATTTGGCCACCTCTGACCCTACAGCTCCAAAGCCCCTCCCATTTTGAGAACATGCTCTTGCCAGGCCAGTCTCCTCATTGCCCCCTGATTATCCATCACTCTGTCCGTTTCTGCGCCTTTGCTCATTCTGAACTTCTTGTCAATTCTCAAGTGTCAGCAGCCACCTCTAGTTGCAACAGAGTGGACTTTGCTTAATCTTATTGCCCTCTCAACCTCTCTAGGGCATTCTATAGGTAGAATCCTCCTTTTTGTGGTCCCTAAGTTGGCCTGGATATTACACTCTAAAGTCTAGAATGCAGTCATGCCAAATCCCACGGAGAACCTTTTATAAGTAACTATTTCTGGCCCTCTCCTAGGCCTACAGAATCAATCTCCGGAAGCAGAACACTTCACTCTTAAAAATTCTTGGGGGATTGTGAGCAGCTAGTCAATGGATCTGGGGTTGGTGTCCACCATACCACACTCCAAGTCCTCCTAGTTTCTGCTTTCCTCAGTCAGTTAATCTGCGAGCTACCTTGCTTCTCATCCTCTCTTCTGTGAGAGGTCAGGCACCATGTTCTGGCAGTTTTCCCAAACATTCCTCTACATTCTTAGCCCCACTGGTCTCCCCTCACTTATGGACCTTTTATCATTTTATCTAACGGATAAAGGTTTGTGTTTATGTTCTTGCTTATGCTTCCTTCCATCCCTTCCAAATTTTAACCTTCGTATATGCATTTATTTAACAAGTATTGACAGCTTACTAATTGGAGGAATTGCATTAGGTGCTATGATTCAATTTCCCCAAACATGTTTTTCATATTCTTATATGTATTTAAAAAACCACTGCATCGGGGTGACAGAATAAGGTTTTAAAATTCTAATATTAGACTGTCCACTACATTGTCTCAGTCTATCTTTCTGTTCAGTCAGTTAATTATTAGGATAAGAAGATACCATCAATCTGATTTTTCCCCCATATTTTTAAAGGAGAGGAGAGAGAACAATTTGGAAGGTCAAGAAGTTGGTATGCCCAGGAGCTCACAACTCTCACCTTTGGGGTTTTATGGAATATTTTTAGGCCTTATTTATTTATTAGTAAAAAAAAAAACAGAATAATGAGTTCTTCTCTGACAACTGTACAGGATTGTAAGGATCAAGTGTGTTTATGTGTATGAAGCACCATGAATATTATATATAATGTAATTGCAATAGAATATATATAGAAGTAGAAATCATACTTTGAAATAACAAGTGGCAGAAATATATATTGAAAAATATTAGTGGAGGATGTCACAAAGTTTGAGTTACTTGTTTTTCATTTCATTTTAAAATAAGCATATCTGAGTATGATGAGTTCTAAGGATTCCTTTCAGGGCAAAAATTGAGGCTACCCCATTGCAGTTGTCCAGTCTTTCCACAGGATGGCAAAGTATAGCCAGTATTTCTTTGAAATGTTTGCTTGCTTATGCCACTAAATTTTGAACTTAGCCTTCTAGAAATGAGTTTATAACTTATCTTTCTTGAAGGTAATCTCAGAGTACCTATGAAAAGACATCTATAAAATACTTTTGCAAAAATACCTAATACATCAAATGTGTGCTCACCACATCTCATCAAAGCAAAGTGTAAAACGTTCTCAGGGACCTGTAGAGCTAAAATGTCACCTTCTATGTTCAAGATATATGTTGAATTCTATGTCCGATTTCTTCTCATTATTGGACTTAATTCTGTAAAACATGAGGCTTGAACTTTTCATGAACTGATTGGTGCATCCTCTGCTTAATTGATTCTTCCCATTTGACTTGGAGGATGGTGTTGGCCAGAGGTCCTTTTTTGCGGAGGCCTTTAAAGATATTTATTCAGAAGAATGTACCACATGAGGCATTTGACTAATAAAAACACTGTTATTAACACTGACAATAAGCAAACACATATTTCTTTAGCTGTCTTGCAATTGGTACATTCTCCTCTTCCCATTGAGGAAGTATCTGCTCTACCCTTGCTTCAGATTAAACATTTTGAAACTCTCAGTTTTAACATTATTGAGCCTTACTATTATTGAAATAATTCTTTTCCCAAAACACCAGACTACACTCAAACTCCAGAAGATGCCCCTAACCAAGACTAATATTCTGACATCAAAGGAAATCTGTGGATAAGATATTGGGAACTTCTGAAAAATTTTAGTAGGGCTATGCCTAGAGAATTTTCATGATCTTAACAAATCTTGCTCATTCAGCAAGTCCTTAGAGAGCCTTCATGGGAACCTATGAAAAAGAAAGTCCTCAATGTATTACATGGAAAATAACGATAGCAACAACTATAATAATAATAGTGGCTGCATTTAAAGGGCACTTGCTGTATTCCAGGCATTGGCTTAAGTACCTACATAAGTTATTTTGTTCAGTATTTATCACAACCATATGAAAAAAATGTTCTTATCCACAATAAAGAAATGAAGTTTAGGCTGGGTGTTGTGGCTCACACCTGTAATCCCAGCACTTTGGGAGGCCGAGGAGGGCGGATCACCTGAGGTCAAGAGTTCGAGACAAGCCTGGCTAACATGGTGAAATCCTGTCTCTACTAAAAATACAAAATTAGCTGGGCTTGGTGGCGGGTGCCTGTAATTCCAGCTACTTGGGAGGCTGAGGCGGGAGAAACACTTGAACCCGGGAGGCAGAGGTTGTGGTGAGCTAAGATTGCACCATTGCACTCCAGTCTGGGCAAAGAGAGCAAAACTCTGTCTCAAAAGAAAGAAAGAAGGAAGGAGGGAGGGAGGGAAGGAAGGAAGGAAGGAAGGAAGGAAGGAAGGAAGGAAGGAAGGAAGTAAGTCAAGAAGTCTACAAAGTATAGGTAACTTGCTCAAGAAAATTAGGTTCAGAAAGTTTAAGTAACTTGCCCAGGGTAACACAATTATGAAGATTTGAGGCCAGAATTCAGTTCCAGGCAGTTTTGTTCTAGATCTATTGCTCTTCAGCCACTATAGTGTCATGCCAAGACTGGCCTAAAGTCGTGTCTTCTGCTCAAACAGGTCCTTCTATGGCAATGACCATGAAATACATGGCTAATAAAGTATTAGGGGCAGGAAGAGGGGGAAGAAGAATGCAGTATTTGAGACTATGGTTACTGACTATATTTAAAATCACAGTTTCATGACTATTAAGGTTCTTTTTAAACTTTTCTCCCTGATGTATCATGGTATCCAGGTGAAAGAGGATCTGGCTCCCTACATCCCAGGACGTGTAGAACTGTCCATGGTTCTGAAAGACAAACTAGCAGGTCCCACCACCTTTACAAATGGCAATCTTACTGTGGAAAACTGCACTAGTGAAAACTCTACATATGACTTTGTACATGCATCACTTACAAGGATTCAGCAATCCTTGGAAAGATGACATAGAAAGACCCACAGAATATTCCCTTTATATGCCCTATACTAAAATGTACAAAGCAAAATCAAATTAGACAACACTATGATTTAGAAGTTTATCTTGAAATTTTAGATCAGAATGTAAAGAAAAGAAATCCAGCATTATTGTATGGACAAGAGAGAATGGATATAGATTTTAACTAACTATATATTCCCTCAAAACTCATATGCTGTCCTTTTTAACCTCACCTTAATTTAAATTTAACCACACATTTACTTTCATTTTTGATTTTTATTTTGTATTTATGTTTTCTTTTATCTTGTATCTTCCAACCAGGATTTCGCCTTTTGCCTGAAGCATATTCTTTAGAACTCCCTTCAGTAAAAGCGTGTTTGTGTCAAATTGTCTTTGCTTGGAAAAAATCCATTGAGACTTGATTTTTATATTATCATGTATTTCATTTCTAAATGTTTTATATTTGTCTTTTCAATTTTTCCTGAACATTATTTGTAGTTTCTGATTAACTGGAAGTCTTTTAAAGCCTGTTTTTTAATCACAGGAAGCAGGGCTATTTTATGTCTTATTCTTATTATTCTGCTGTATGGTGTTTCTGCTTGATCTTTCATGGTGACTTGTATCTTGTAAATAGTTTTGTTGTTGTTTTCCTGGTAAGTGCTCATTTTGCTTATGGAATAATTTTAGGAAATTTTAAGTGTGGTTGATGACATCTTCCTCCAGAGAGGATTTGTGTTTGTTTTGCGTGTTATTTGCGTTTGTTTTTTGACAGGTTCCTTGGAGCCTGGCCCACTATAAACTGAATTCACAACTTGATGATTGCCAGACAATCCAGGTAGTGAGAACTTGGGCTGCAAATACATGTGTGGGGCCATTGTGTTTACTCCCAGTTCCACTCAGCACCAAGGCAGCTGTTCCTGCAGTCCTTTGAGCATGGGGCATTTCTCTTACACCGAGGAACTGAACTTAGGGGTCCCAGCAAAATGGAGGAGATCATCCTAGGAGATTTCCCACTTTGAGTGCTACTTGAGACTTGCCTCCTATTCCAAATTCCTTATGAGGCCATGGAAACTAAAGCTTAACTTGTCTACATTGAGCAAATGAGCTCAGGATAAAAGTAAATTCAGAGCTTCCTGATATTTATTAGACAGTTTTCACTGATGTGAAAGCCTCTCAGTGCTTTTATGATGTATTTTATCTTTTGATAACCCATTTTTTGTTAGCATGAGAGTAGGCGTAGATACCTAATATGCCACATTAGTGGTTCACACCTTATCCTTAAAGCTCCTTATCACAAACCTTCCCATCTTGTTCCTTTGAAGTCATTGAATACCTGAGCAAACTATTAGTCACTACCCATGCATTGATGAGGATCTAACAATAAGATATTTCTTTAGGCAAAATGAACTTCCAGATGGTCTGATTGAAAATCTTCCTGCTGGAGGTACTTTCCTTTCCACTCTTCTTTATGACAATTCCTGAAAAGGGCTGTAATGCTGCAAAGTACACTTTTGGGTATTCAAAGCATATTCAAATTTCTTCTTCTATAGTCAACAGTCCTTAGGGAACTCCTCAAGACCCCAAGGATGAGACAAGGGAGAGTGGATTTACCGGTGGTAATAAGAATACTAGGAATATAGTACATATTATGAGGCAACTTAGCTGGCCTTGCTAAGGACCAGCTCAGGTCTGATACTGTATGTATATACAGTATATATATCCACTTCCTCCTGAATGCTCACTGAGTGCTGGTGACCATAAGTGAATAAATAAAATCCAGGTCATGGTGGACATCTCAAGTCACTTGGTCATTTGCTGTATCATGATCATGGCATTCAGAATCTACCAGGGCTCAGTAGCAAGCCAGGAACTGTTATTTAGTAGAAGAATAAAGAATAAAGCTTTTCTTCGAAGCCCTGGAACTTGAGCAGTGAGCTCCTATGCCTGTTTCACACACACACACACACACACACACACACGCACACACACACACACACGCGCACACACACACACACACACACACACACACATATCCAAGGAAGCATTTAGGCCAAATGGCAGATATGTTTGATGCCTGCCTGGATCAGAATGACATTTCCATTTCTTATGGAATGTTTTGAACTTGTACTAACTTACCGGATTTTGGTGCAGAGAAATCCCCTCACAAGATAAGAAATCACATTTTTTCTTTGTTGAAATTATTTATCTTCATTAACGTTTAATAACACCGGTGCAGTTATTTTTCAAAGAGCTTGTACTCCAATCTTGGAGGAATTCCTTGAGTTGAAAAGCCCAGGGCCTGAATAATGAGGGAGTCTCATTTCCAACAGCTTCCAATCAGCTGTAGGATTGAATGAAGACACATGTGATTGCATGATTTTAAGAGAGGGTAGGGGAGAGGGGCAGTGCTTGTTTCACACTTAACTGAACTACTTCCTTGGCCTCCACTCAAATTTAACTGCAGCATTGGTGACTTGATTTACAGAGTCAGAAATTTCCTAGGTATGGAATGTGCTGTCTTAAATAGTAATGAGTCCAATCTATGTAGAGTGTCCTTCTTTATCATTGGGGGTCATATGAAGTCAGCGATTCTTTTAGAAATTTGGGGTTACAAACAGAAGGCCTCAACTTACTTCAATTTGAAAAACCTGAACAAGGAATCTCTGGTGTCTGGATCCTTATTTGTCTCACAAAATTGAATTGTGAGCTGTGACATTTTCTCCCAAAAGTCTCTTTTAGGACAGAACTTCTGGTAATGGCAACATGAACAGGTAGATCAGCAAGTCTTCCTCTAAATAGCAATATGAGAACTGGACAAAATCATAAAAATAAATATTTGAAGTCACTGGAAAACAAACAAAGGCGAGCAGAAATGTAATAGTGCTTTGATCTTGAGACTATCTATTGGGTAAAAGCTGCAAGTTGGTGGCCTTTCCTCCTTACCTATGAGTTTGCTCCAAACTCCCAGCAGGTAACTGCAGCCCTAATGGATCAATAGGGCAGTTTATAGAGTTAAAAGCCCAAATAAGCTAAAAATGTTTACATTTTTACATGTTTACATCAGTCAGGCAATTTTGAAAGAGATCTGCTGAAGAATTCAGATTCAAAATCTGAATACAAACTATGCTCACATCCCTGGTTGAACACTAAACTCCCCATGGGTGTGGGACACTCAGGGGAACCTGGGGAAAAATCAGAAAGAACCTAGAGTGAGGTCTACCCTTGAAAGAGTGAAATAATCCTGGCAATATCTGAAAGTCTGCAGTAACATAGACTGCTTGCATTTGTCAACCTGCATACAACACAGGCAGAAGAAAGCAAAAATCTTACTGGACTGAGGGGTGAAAAGGCAGGATGCAGGACAATTTAGAGGGGATTCCAGAAGCAAAACAAACACAGAGAAGCTGAATTGCAAAATCTTAGCAGAAATAGCCCCAGTACTTGTTAGTCCATGTTGTGTTGCTATAAATACCTGAGAGTGGGTAATTTATAAAGAAAAGAGGTTTATTTGGCTCATGGCTATATAGGTTGTACAAACATGGCACCAGCATCTCTTCAGCTTCTGGTGAGACCTCAGGAGCCTTTTACTCCTGGTGGAAGGGGAAGGGGGACCAGGCATGTCACATGGCAAAAGAGGAACAGGGTGGGAGGAGCCAGATTCTTCTAAACAACCAACTCTCTTTCAAAATAATAGAGCAGGGGCCGGATGTGGTGGCTCATGCCTGTAATCCCAGCACTTTGGGAGGCCGAGGCGGGTGGATCACGAGGTCAGGAGTTCGAGACCAGCCTGGCCAATATGGTGAAACCCCATCCTTACTAAAAATACAAAAATTAGCTTGGCATGGTGGCATGTGCCTGTAGTCCCAGCTACTCAGGAGGCTGAGGCAGAAGAATCACTTGAACCCAGGAGGTGGAGGTTGCAGTGAGCCAAGATCGCACCACTGCTCTCCAGGCTGGGCAACAGAGCGAGACTCTGTCTCAAAATAATAATAATAATAATAATAATAATAAAGCGAAGAGAACTTACTTATGACTGTGGGGAGGGCACCAAGCCATTCATGAGGGATCTACCCCCATGACCCAAACAGCTTCCACTAGGCCCCACCTGCAGCATTGGGGATTACATTTCAACATGAGGTTTGGCAGGGACAAATATTACAAAGATGCAGAGTAGACACCCAGAGCCCCCTGCTGAAAATGCAGCAACTGGATATCGGTAAACAGAGCAGAGACATCAGCTGTAGCCAACTGCAGGGGTAACAGATTTCACAGTTACCAGTGCAGGGAAAGTTAACCACGTTCACTGAGGGGCAGGGGTGGTGGTGGTGGGAGAATTGCCATCTTTAGAGAGATTGTTGTAGATTCCAGACTCTCTAAAACAAAACATATAATGTCCACTTTATCAAATAGGATCAGACATAGAAAGAAAAGAAAGAAATGTGTGACTATAATAAGGAGGAAATTAAAAATAAATGGGTTTCAATGGGTCCAGATATTGAAATTATCAGCAAACTCTTTAAGACAGTTTTGAAAAATATGTGGAAAGAAATGAAGGAAATATCATTTCTAAAGAGTGAATAGAAGTAATTGCAGCAGAGAAATGAAAACTATAGATGGTACTAAGTGGAAATTCTCAAACTGGATAGAAAAATAATGACAGTGCTCTGGATGAGGTCAACAGAAGTTTTGAGATGGCAGAATAAAGAATCAGTCAGTGTCCTTGAATATAAATCAACAGAAATTGTCTAATCTAAAAATAAAAAAGAGTGAAATAAGATTAAAGAAAAGTGAAGAAAACTTCACAAACCCTCAGAAAATATAAAGCAGGTAAACAGGTGACCAATTGGAGTCCCAAAAGAAGATAGACACAGGATCAGAAAAAAAATTCAAAAAAATCTATGGCTGAAAGATTCCCAAATTTGATGAAGAATTTTAGCTTATAGATGTAAGACACTCATCAAAGCTGAATACCCACATAGAAAATCATAGGTAGAGTGGCCATGGCCTTGGCTGGCCTGAGGGTGTGTCGCTAGCCCTGCTGCATGTGGTGTGGTGCAGGGTGCCAGTGCCTGGTGGGACCAGAGAGCTCCCAGCACAGCCTTTGGGCAGGTGGGACCGCCGATCATTTTAAAATAATTTTTTATTGATTTAACTTATATTTTGAGTTCAGGCATACATGTGCAGGTTTATTATATAGGTAAACTTGTATCATGGGGTTTGCTGTACAGATTATTTTGTTACCTAGGCATTAAGCCTAGTACCTATTAGTTACTTTTCCTGATCCTCTCCCTCCTCCCAGCCTCCACTCTCTGGTAGGCCCCAGTGTGTGCAGTTCCCTTCTATATGTCCATGTGTTCTCATCATTTAGCTCCCACTTATAAGTGAGAACATGTGGTATTCGGTTTTCTTTTCCCGCATTAATTTGCTAAGGATAATGGCCTCCAGCTCCATCCATGTTCCGCAAAGGACAAGAACTCATTCTTTTTTATGGCCACATAGTATTCCATGATGTATATGCACTACATTTTCTTAAAAGAGAGCAGGAGTGGCTATTCTTATACAAAACAAAAACAGACTTTAAAGCAACAACAGTAAAAAAAAAAAAAAAGACAAAGAAGGACATTATATAATGATAGAATGATAATTCCAACAAGAAGATATCACAGTCCTAAATTTATATGCACCTAACAGTGGAGCTCCCAGCTTTATAAAACAGTTACTACTAGACTTAAGAAATGAGATAGACAGCAAGACAATAATAGCAGGGGACATCAATACTCCACTGATAGCTCTAGACAGATCATCAAGACACAAAGTCAACAAAGAAACAATGATCTTAAACCATATCCTACAACAAATGGACTTAACAGATATTTACAGAACATTTCTTCCCAGTAACTGTAGAATATACATTCTTCTCATCAGCACATGGAACATTCTCCAAGATAGACCATATGATAGACCTCAACACAAGTCTAAACAAATTTAAGAAAACTGAAATCCTATAAAGTATCTTCACAGACCAGAGTGGAATAAAACTGGAAATCAACTCCAAAATGAAACTTAAAAACTGTATGAGTACATGGAAATTAAATAACCTATTCTTGGATGATTTTTCAGTTAACAATGAAATCAAGATGGAAATTTAAAAATTCTCTGAAATGAATGATAATAGTGTCACAAGTAATCAAAATCTCTGGGATATAGCCAAAGCAGTGAAAATAAGAAAGTTCATAGCAATAAGTGCTGACTTAAAAAAGCCTGAAAGAGCCCGGGCACAGTGGCTTATGCCTGTAATCCCAGCACTTTGAGAGGCTGAGGCAGGTGGATCAGTTAAGGTCAGGGGTTTGAGACCAGCCTGACCAACATGGTGAAACCTTGTCTCTACTAAAAATACAAAAATTAGCTAGGCGTGGTGGCACGCGCCTTTAATCCCAGCTACTCAGGAGGCTGAGGAAGGAGAATCACTTGAATCCAGGAGGTCGAGGTTGCAGTGAGCTGAGATTGCGCCACTGCACTCCAGCCTGGGCAACAGAGTGAGACTTCATCTGGGAAGGAAAAAAAAAATCTGAATAAGCACAAATTGAAAACCTAATGTCACACCTCAAGGAACTGGAGAGATAAAAACAAATGAAACCCAAAGCCAGCATAAAAAAGAAATAATAAAGATCAGAGCAGAAATAAATGAAACTGAAACAAAAATAATACAAGAGATAAATGAAAAAAAAGTTGGGTCTTTGAAAAGGTAAACAAAATCAATAGACCATTGGTGAGGTTAACCAAGAAAAGGAGAGAAGATCCAAATAAGCTCAATTAGAAAACAAACTGGAGATATTACAACTAATACCACAGAAACACAAAAGTTAATTCAAGGCTACTATGAACACCTTTACACACACCAGCTAGAAAATCTAAAAACTGATAAATTCCTGGAAACATACAACCCTCCTAGACTAAATCAGGAAGAAATAGAAATCATGAGCAGACCAATAACAAGCAGTGAGACTGAAACAGTAATAAAAAAAACTGTCAACAAAAAAAAGCCTAGGACCAGATGGGTTCCCAGACAAATTCCATTAGACATTCAAAAAATTGGTACCAATCCTACTGAAACTATTCCAAAAGATAGAGAAAAAGGGAATCCTCCCTAAATCATTCTATGAAGACAGTATCACCCTAATGCCAAAAGTAGGAAAGGACATAACAAAAAAGAAAAATACAGACAAATATCCCCAATGAACATACATGCAAAAATGTTCAACACAATACTAGCTAACCAAATCCAGTAGCCTATCAAAAAAATAATACACCATGTTGAAGTGGGTTTCATCCCAGGGATGCAGAGATGGTTTAACATATGCAAGTCAATAAATGTGATACACCACATAAACAGAATTAAAAACAACAATCATATGATTATCTCAATAGATGCAGAAAAAGCATTTGATAAAATCTAGCATTGCTTTATGATAAAAACCTTCAACAAAATAGGCATAGAAGGGACTTACCTCAAAGTCATGAAAGTCATATATGACAAACTCACAGCCAACATCATAGTGAATGGGGAAAAGTTGAAAGCATTCCTCCAAGGACTGAAACAAGGCAAGGATGCCCACGTGCACCACTTCTATTCAACACAGTATTGCAAGTTCTAGCCAGAGCAATCAAGCAAGAGAAAGAAATAATGGGCATCCAAATTAGAAAAGAGGAAGTCAAACTGTCCCTGTTCACTGATGATATGATCGTATACCTAGAAAATACTAAGACTCATCCAAAAGACCCATAGATCTGATAAACAAATTTAGTAAAGTCTCAGGTCACAAAATCAATGTACACAAATCAGGAGCATTGCTATACACCAACAACGACCAAGAGAGAATCAAATCAAGAACTCAATCCCTTTTACAACAGCTGCAAAAACAAACAACAACAACAACAACAAAAACCTCCAAAAAAACAACACCCCCCAAAACCTAGGAATATACTTAACCAAGGAGGTGAAAGATCTCTGCAAGGAAAACTAAAAAACACTGCTGAAAGAAATCATAGATGACACAAACACATGGAAACACATCCCATGCTCATAGATGAATAGAATCAATATTGTGAAAATGACCATACTGCCCAAAGCAATCTATAGATTCAGTGCAATTTTCATCAAAATACCATCATCATTCTTCACAGAACTGGAGCAAACAACCCCAAAATTCATGTGGAACCAAAAAAGAGCCCACGTATCCAAAGCAATACTAAGCAAAAATAACAAATCTGGAAGCGACCCATTAACAGACTTCAAGTTACACTACGAGGCTATCGTTACCAAAACAGCATCATACTGGTATAAAATAGGCACTTCAGCTGGGCACGGTGGCTCACGCCTGTAATCCCAGCACTTCGGGAGGTAGAGGCAGACAAATCACCTGAGGTCAAGAGTTCGAGACTAGCCTAGCCAACATGATAAAACACCATCTCTACTAAAAATACAAAAAAAATTATCTGGGCGTGGTGGTGGGCACCTGTAATCCCAGCTATTTAGGAGGCTGAGGCAGGAGAATCACTTGAACCTGGGAGGCAGAGGTTGCAATGAGCTGAGATCGTGCCATTGCACTCCAGTCTGGGCAACAAGAGTGAAACTCCATCTCAAAATAAGATAAAATAAAAAATAGGCGCTTAGACCAATGGAATGGAATAGACAATCCAGAAATAAAGCCAGATGCCAACAGCTAACTGATCTTTGACAAAGCATACAAAAACATAAATTGGGAAAAGCACATCCTATTCAATAGAGAGTGCTGGGAAAACTGGCAAGCCACATATAGAATGAAACTGTATCTCCATCTCTCACTTTATATAAATGTCAACTCAAAATGGATCAAAGACTTAAACCTAAAACCTAAAACCTAAAACCATAAAAATCTTAGAAGATAACATGATAACATTAAAAAACTCTTCTGGACATTGGCTTAGGCAAAAAATTCATGACTAAGACCCCGAAAACAAACACAACAAAAATAAAAATAAATAAATGAGACCTGGTTGAATGATAAAGCTTCTACACAGCAAAAGAAATAATCAGCAGAGTAAACAGACAACCCACACAGTAGGGGAAAATATTCACAGACTATACATCCAACAAAGGACTAATATCCAGAATCTACAAGGAACGCAAAGAAATCAGCAAGAAAAAAACAAATAATCCCATCAAAAACTGGGCAAAGGACATGAATTGACAGTTCTCAAAAGAAGATATACAAATAGCCAACAATCATGAAAAATTGCTCAAGATAACTAATCATCAGGGAAATGCAAATTATAAGTACAAGATACCACCTTACTCCTGCAAAAATTGCCATAATTAAAAAATTTTTAAAAACCACAGTAGATGTTTGTGTGGATGTGGTGAAAAGGGAACACTTTTGCACTGCTGGTGGGAATGTAGATTAGTAAAACCACTTTGGAAAGCAGTATGGACATTATTTAAAGAACTGCAAGTAGATCTACCATTCAATCCAGCAATCCCACTGCTGGATATCTACCCAAAGGAAGTCATTATATGAAAACGACACATGCACGTGCATGTTTACAGCAGCACACTTCACGATTGCAATGACATGAAAACAAAGTAAGTGTCCATCGACCAACAAGTGGACAAAGAAAATGTGGTATATGTACACCATGGAGTATTACTTAGCCATAACAAGGAACAAAATAATGTGTTTTGCAACAACCTAGATGGAGATGGAGGCCATTATTCTAAGTGAGGTAACTCAGGAATGGAAAACCAAATACTGTATGTTCTCACTTATAAGTGGGAGCTAAGCTAGGAGGATGCAAAGACATATAGAGCGATATAATGGACTTTGGGGACTCAAGGGACAGGCTGAGAGGGGAGTGAGATAAAAGACTACATATTGGGTACAGTGTATATTGCTTGGGTGACAGGTGCACTAAAGTCTCAGAATTCACCACTAAAGAACTCATCCATTAAACCAAAACCCACCTGTACCCCAAAAAACTATTGAAATAAAATAAAACTTCATAGGGCAAACAACAACAAAAACAACAACAACAAAGAAAATAAATAAATCATACAAAAAATATTTAAGATCTCTGAAATCCAAGACACTAGAAATCAAGAGACACTGTGGAAAGAGTACATAGAAGACCTAAATAAATAGATCCCCTGTTCATGGGGAGCAAGATTTAACATTGTTAAAATGCAACACTCCCCAAATTAACCCAGAGATTTAAAAAAAAACTAACAAAATTCTAGGAGGCTTTTTGATAGAAATTTATGAGCTGATTTACAAATTTATATGAAAACATAAAAGGTCTAGAATAACTCATGCAATTTATTTTTTAAAAATTTTAGAGAAAGAGTCTTTCTATATTACCCCATGTTGGCTTCTAACTTCTGGGCTCAAGGGATCCATCCACCTCAGCCCCCAGGTAGCTGAGACTACAGTCATGCACTACCATGTGCAGCTAATTTTTCATTTTTTTTCAGGACAAGTTTTGCTATGTTGTCCGGGTTAGTCTTGAACTCCTGGGCTCAAGGTGTCCTCCCATCTCAGTCTCTTGAGTAGCTGAGACTACAGGCATGTTATCATAGTCAGTACAATTTAAGTAATTTCTAAAAAGATGAACAAAGTTATAGGAGTTATTTTGACTAAAAAAGCTGAGATAATTTATTATGTTAATAAATATTCTTGTACAATTACACCTATTAATTACTTTTAAAATTTCTGCTTCACATCTCTGCAACCTTGGGCTTAGTGGATTTCCCAGGAAAGAAATGCTTCCACCAAATAAGAACCTCAGCTGGCCATTTTATATTTCCATAAAATATAGTGGTATGAGGGTTCTAATTTCTGCTTATCTTTCCTAACATTTATTTTCATTTTAAAAAAATTATTATTATAGCCATATTATTGTGGTTTAATTTGCATTTCTTTAATGGCTAATGATGTTGAGTATCTTTTCCTGTGTATATTGGCGGTTTATGTATCTTCTTTGAAGAAATGACTTTTCAATTTCTTTGCCCATTTTGTAATGGGATTATTTGTCATTTTGTTATTGATGTTTAAAGGGTTCTTTGTGTATCCAAACACTTGACCCATATGAGATATGTAATAGGCAAATATTTTCTGCCATTGTATGGATTGCCTTTTCACTGTATTGATAGTGTTCTCTGATGCATAAAAGTTTTGGTTTGATGAAGTTCAATTTATCTATTCGACTCTATAACCATACCCAGGGCAGGATCAGGAAAACAAGGACAGGAGACGTGCAGGGGCTGGACCACCTTCCCTCTTGGGTGACTGGAGGTCTGTCCTCAGCAGTCTTTCCCTTCTGACCTATGACTTCTGGGAATCGGGTCCCCATCTCTAGAATCATCAAGGTGATGACTGGTCCTTTATTTTCACAAGTGCTTTACGTTACAGAAATTTCAGCAAGCAGGGACTATGACTGGGTAAGCATGAGTGTTTGTGTTTTGTGTGTGTGTGTCTGTGTGTGTGGTGGGGGGCGGGGTATGTGGGGTACATTTTATTATCAATGCAGAATGGAACATGACAATGCAGATCCCAGTCCTTACATACCAGAGCTCTTCTTCCGCTTCATCGCAAGTGTAGCCACCACAGCTCAAGTAACCACATCTCCAATGAAATTTGATAGTGCATACCAGAGTATCTTAGTTTTTAATCTCCCTAAAAGTATACCATGTCACTCATAGATTGAATATATCAAAGTTGTCTTCATATGGAAGCCATGAATTTGTCTATATGGGTCTCAGACATATCATTGAAATATAGCATGCCCAAGAAAGTTTAATTAATGTGTATTTGAACAACTACAGTGTATAGACATCAACCAAAATATGAATTATCAGTTCATAGTATCAAGTCTTCATAAATGCACATCACTGTTGCCAATCCATGTCTATATTTCACTGGAAATCTGGCATAATATTTTCTTTACTTTGGTGAATGTAAGAAGGCAAATAAGTCTTGAGTACTCATCCTAAGTTGTATTTATTGGATACCACATATATTAAGTACCCTACAGACCCAGTAGACACATTTCAAAAATTATAAAATAATTAAACCTTACAATCCCATCGCATTAGTAATCTTTACTTTTCCACAACTTGAAACAATTCTATGTCCTTCAACTCTCGGACCCCTTTCCTCATCGTCTCTTCCTAGGTCAAATATGTATGAAGTTTTCACAACTCTGGAGTGCAGATGTTCTAAGCATGACCAAAATGTGAAAAGTGATGAAGAATGATGATAATCATTTTGACTACTTACAAATTAAAAAAAATCTCTTTGGCATCCACAAACACAGAAATGTACAAACACTTTCCCATAATCAACCTCAAAGACATGTAAACAGTTGATGGACAAAATAGTAACAATGTGTTAATACCCTTCAGCCCAAGGCCACCTGGAGCACATCTGTGGGTGAAGAAGTTGGGTTTATTACTCACTGCAGTGGGAGGGAGAATGCACACCTTGGATAACTACCGAGTATCTTGGTAAGTGCCTTTTAGATAGAGCCTATTATAATATTTGGGCTTCAGCTGGTATTTCAAGTTTCCCTGGGATTTAATTAATTAGTAGTTATGACTGAATGATGACACAGAGAGGTCTATGCCACTGAAAAAAGAGTTTATTACCCACTGACATAGGAAGCACAGCACAACAGGCAGCACCAAGGCTGGTCAAGTGGCAACGGGAGGGGAAAGCATGGGCGAGAGCCTCTAATGTGGTTTTTAGGGGAATGAATGAGCAAGGCAGGGTAAGCAGTGTAGACATGTTCAGTATTGATGAGTCTGAATAATCTTGGTGACTCTGAGGCATAGGGATTGTCTCTAGTTGTCTGATACCTGTCTCTCAGATTATTAAGACAGGAGAATATTGACTGGGAGTATCGGGGCCATGTGACAGCCAGAAAAAAAGAACTCATTCTGAGTTTGGGCTCTGGTTTGGTTAGTTTGCATAAGAAAGGCGCATTTGCGGTCAATCCCTTTAGTATCTGTAGGAATAGACTAGTCTTGGGAGGGGAGTCCTCACAATCAGTGAGGACTCAGATGCCAGAGCATGAGAATAAGGAAAAAAAGAAAATACAGATAACACAGTTGAGAAATTCTATTTTATTTTATTGCTCTAGATTTAGTACTGTCAGTAAGCAGAGGCAATTCTACAATTCGGTATTTCAATAAATCTTACCTTTAGGGAGGGTGGACTAGAGTGCAGATAAAGCTTAATCCGTAGAGAAGCATCAGCCACTCATACTAGCCGGGAGAGGGTTTAGACAAAATTATGAAGTACTTTTGTTTCGCCTCACTTTCTCATGGGCTGAGAGTGATCCAGTGTGGTGTTGGTATTTTGTGATATAATTTATGTCCCAGAGGGACTAATATGGCCCAGTAGTGAAGACCAGACCAGCTCCTGGCAACACTGATGCCCAGCTGTGCCAGACAAGTTCCCAGATATTAGGGGCTGCTTTTTCTTGATTAAATTCAATATTTAAAAATATCAGCATTACGTTTGAGAAATGATTAAGAAATGTCATATAGTTATATTAGTAATAAATATGTGCAAAAAATAAGAATGTAGACTACAAAATGGGAACCAGAATTAAAATCCATCAGCTTGGCAAAGACAGAAGTAAATGATGGTAGTATTGATCAGAGTACAGGGAAAATGTACTGTTACGAAGACTGATGGCATTGAAAAGTGGTACAAAACTTCTAAAGGGCACTTTTGCAAAATGTCTCAATAATTTAAATGTTCTGACGTTTTTGAGACAGAGTCTTGCTCTGTCGCCCAGGCTGGAGTGCAGTGGCACAATCTTGACTTATTGAAGCCTCCACCTCCTGGGTTCAAGCGATTCTCCTGCCTCAGCCTCCCGCGTAGCTGGGACTACAGGTGCGTGCCACCACGCCCAGCTAATTTTTGTAATTTTAGTAGAAATGGGGTTTCACCATGATGGCCAGGCTCATCTCAAATCCTTGACCTCAAGTGATCCACCCGCCTTGGTCTCCCAAAGTGCTGGGATTACAGGGGTGAGGGACTGCGCCGGGCCTAAGTGTTCTGACATTTTGACATGAAAATTTCTCTTTTAGGAATTTATCCCAAGGAAATAATTACATATCTTTCTAAAAACGCATATATAGGCCGGGCGCGGTGGCTCATGCCTGTAATCCCAGCACTTTGGGAGGCCGAGGCAGGTGGATTACGAGGTCAGGAGTTCAAGATCAGCCTGGCCAACATGGTGAAACCCCGTCTCTACTAAAAACTACAAAAATTAGCCGAGCGTGGTGGCAGACACCTGTGGTTCCGGCTACTCGGGAGGCTGAGGCAGAAGAATTGCTTGAACCCGGGAGGTGGAGGTTGCAGTGAGCTGCGATCATGTCACTGCACTTCAGCCTGGGTGACAGGTCGAGACTCTGTCCCAAAACAAAAACAAAAAAACCACATATATAAGAATGTTCCTTGAATTGTGGTTTATAAAAGCAAAATAATGGAAATAACCCAAAGATTGTAATGAATATAGTGATGATAGTTATCAATAATGGAGCATTTAGTATGACTCAGAAAATAATGCCATGGCTTTACATAGAGAGTCAGATTTAATCCTCAATGCAAACCCATGGGGAACTCAATATGTGATCCTTTGTACAGACAGGGAAGGAGAGAGGTAAAGAAGGTGGTGGGGCTAGGGTTGAACCCTGGAGATTTTCTCTCAGAGGCCTTGTTGACTTGTCTTCCATTGATTCTCTCTTCATCTGCACCTTACACAAGTGAACTGTTTTGATGTCCCAGAATGTTCTATGGACAGGAGGCCACTGGCTCAGAGCTCAGGAAGACAAGAAGGGCAATGACTTAACTGCCAAATTCACGCAGAAGTCCGTTCATCCAGGGTGTATTTCCAGTGATCAGGAGATCTGCTAAGCACTTGAGGATATAATGAAGAGCAAGAGTAAAATCTTGGAGATGGGGAGTTTTCAATATTGTAAGGAAGATAAATATTTAGCAAAAATTGCCCCAAGATTGTGAAATTGCTAATGAGCGTAAGGGAAAAGTTTGTGATATCATGAAAGCAGGTTACAAGGAGACCTAATGGGTCCCTACCACTATTACCAATTATGTGTGAAAGATGTAAGAAAACAGCAGTTATGAGATTTGAACAAATTTATAAACAATTTCATGCAGAGAACTAGAAAGAGCTCTGGAATTTTAAAATATGATCATTGAAATAAAGAGTTTAAAAAATGAACTGAAATGAAAGTTGTGTGCTGCAAGGTAGTACAAAATAAAAACGTGATGCCAAGCATGATAGAACTTTAAGAATATTATACTATCAATTAAGGAATTCCAGCAGTCTCATAATATAAGTTCCAATAACCATAGAAAGTAATTAAAAGTAATTCAAGAAAATGTTTTGAAGGCTACTGACAAAAATGTATAGTGTGAATGGCTGCAACAAAGTTCTCAATACAGGAGATGGAAACAGACCCACACCAAGACTCATGACAACAAAATTTCAGAGAGTGAAAGACAGAGCAAGACCAATGGACAAAGGAATGGCAGGAGGTCTGGTCGTGTGTGTGCATTTCCTCCTTCCCGTCTGTCATTGTCCTTCCTCACCAGGCCTGCAGATCACCTGTGATGACTTGGCCTCTTGCCATCCCTAGCTGGGCAAACTCCATCATGGTGACACACGGGATGGCAGAAGTGCAAGGCCTCGTTTCTGCTGGATGAGCCTTCTGGAGACTGTCTCAGGGTTTTCTGAGAACTTCTTTAAAACCTGGTCTACGGGCATGCATTACCCCAGTTATTTTTTCCCTAAGTGAAAAATCAACCAGAGGAGATGATTTATTTTAATAGCCTTATTGCAGGAGAGGAAGGTGAAAAGTGTTTCTATTCATTGGCCCATTAGTTACAATGGGCAGAGGCCACTGAGCGAGCAGCGGGTGGTGGCAGTGATGACCACACGTTCTCACGGCAGCGCAACACTTTTGAGACAAGTTCCCACCTCTCCATTAAACATGTCTTCTCCACGTGCAGAAAATGTGGTCTCGTAGCTTCCCTTCTCAGTGCTGGATTGCTGGCATTTCATTTTCCTTATCAGAGACATGAATATCTTTGTTCTTCTTGGATTTCTAAGACTTCAGGTTTTCTTCAGGGAGAAGCTGCTTAGGGAGGCTCCTGCGTGGACCGAGTCCTTCCTGAGGGTTTGCTTGGTGCCCTAACTGTGGCTGACTGCCTCCCGCGGGGTCCCAACTTTATACCCAGAGGTAAGGACAGATGCTTCCAGCTCCATCTTATAACTTCCACATGAAATTTGAGGTCAGGAACTTCTCTTAACTCGTCTTAAAGGGCCTCATACTTACATTCTTGACTCGGAAAATAATTAAGTGTGCGTTTGAACATGTTTCCTCCGCAATTTACTCTCTGGAGGGGAATACATTGAAAACCCAGTTTATTTTCAGATACTGAGTGGGATTGAAAAGCTGAATTGTCTGTTTTCCTGCAGGGCACACAGAGGAACTGGCTGTCCCACACCACTCTGACATTTCCAGAGAAGCACCGTCCTCTTCCAGTAGGACATGAGTAAGACCAGTGAGGAGCCAACATGCAGCCCCTGGGCATCTCTGGGGTTGAAGGAAAGATATATATGTCCTTCTGATGTGTGGAGCCCTGAGGGCAGTGTTCAAGACCCTGCATTTTCCGAAGTACTTGTTTACTGAGCAAGTGTTTCTGCTTGTTGCATTATGTCAGGGGATATGGAAGCCACTTTTCATCCAGCCAAACACAGATGCAAATGAGATGTTCTGGGAGAAAGCAGAAAAAGCCCTTTTCACAGAGTTCCTTATTTTACTATTCTATTACACTTGTCTGAGGTTACAATCACATCCTTTTTTAACAATCTCTAAATGAGAAAATCATCAAAAGGGTATGTAGTGAGTGACAGACACAGGATAAATGCTGTAAGTCAGTGTTTGATGAAAGATACTGGTGTTCCAGGATGTCAGAGTCTCCTGGGTGCCAGTAGGGAGGTGGTCAGGGACTTTATCCAAGAAGCAGAAAGAAGAGCTTCAGGGACATGAGGATGTCTCATAGCCAAGGACAGGACAGTAAAGGGCCCCGTGTGAGTGCATCACAGAGGTCTGTTACTGTTCAGACCCCAAAGCTCAGCACCCAGTGTGGCATGTGGCAAGACCTCAGCAAACACATCAGTTGGCTGGATGAAGGAGGGCAGGTGTGAGCCGACAAGGAAAATCTTGTGATTTTTGTTGGGAAATGAATGTAAAAGTGTTGATGTACCTCCCTTGTAAGGAGATAGAAAGGTAGAGAGCAGACAGATGCATGCATGGATGAATGCATGGATGGATGGATGGTTGGATGGACGGATGGATGTTCATTTTCTGTGTGTGTTTCTATCTCTGTTCTGCCTTTCTGTTTTGTCTCTGGCTCTGTCTGTATCTGCCATTGTCCCTTCACAACCATGCCTTCACTATTATCAGTAACATCTTTTACCTGGTCTTATAGGATCTTGCCTGTGTTGTATTAGTGGTCAAGGACAGAAAAAAGAAAGAAGTCTGTGGAAAACAAAATAAAGGAAACAGATGCTTCTGACATGCGGCAGTGGAAGGATGTGTGGACCTGAGGCCCCCAGGGAGACAGGGGCTGCGCCTCACTGCAAAGTCGATCCTGCTGAACACAGAGGGGAAACGCGCTCAGACAGCCCTGCCCGTGCTGATCAGAAGGGAGGGTTGCGCCTCCAGATCCTTCTCCCTGTGTTTCTTCAGGGCCCAGCCCTGAGAGTTCCAGGGTCCCATTTTCTTAGTTAGGACCTTAAGACCCTATCAGAGTCCAGCCCCAGGAAGCCTGCAGTCATAGCACTGGGCTAGACCAAGTTGCTGCTATGAAAAGGGATTTGAAAATTCCCAGAGGAGCCTTTCAGCCTCTTTCCATGGCTCTTTATGCCCTTTCAAAGGCACAGCCAGAGACATCAGAAATGAAATTGTATATAATTATATGGACTTTTCGACAATCATTGAAATTTCTGTAAGTGCCAGTTATATTTTGGCAACCCCATCAAAGCCAGGTGTGCCCAGGGCAGTCAGCTCAGGCCCTGGCCTCTCATTCAGGTTGGATTCTATAAGAACCGCATTCGCGGTGAGAATTCTAGAGCCAGATCTTGCTGCTCCACAATTGCCTCACGTTGCAAGACAAGCAAATCTAGCCTGAGTCTGTGGATTCCAGGGCTGCTTAGGAGGAACCTGCATTCCCGCGTGGATGACCTCAGGCTCCGCCCCTTCTGCCCCACTCAGCCCTCACCCAGTGCCTGAGAGCGCTCAATCAGAATGCGAGAGCAGCGCGGCGGCGCCCCCGTGTGGCCACAGGGACGAGGACAGAGGACCGGACCCCGCTCCCCTTTCTCACCAACCAGGACCTCCGAGGCTCTCCCTCTGCTCCCAGCACCTGGACAGGGCTCTGCACTCAAGGAGCCTCCGGGTCTCAAGTCAGGCTCTGAGTCCATTCAGCTTCCCAAAATCCATGTTGACAATGACATTTCCTCTCACCACTGAGTGACTGGACTTTTGCCTCAGAGCAGAGAGAGGCCTCCAGGGCAAAACAGTGGGATCAGATGTGGGGATGACACACCCCCAAATCCTTGCTGCCACAGGACCCAGTCCCTCAGCCTCCAGATGGGGCCTTGGCCTCCCGTCCCCTCCTTTGTTCCTGCTGCTAGAGGCTGCTCATCCCAGGAATCAGCCTGTTAGCCTCCAACCCTGGGGTCCAGGGACAGCAGCTCCTAGTGCCTCGGTCCAGGAAGAAGGGAACCTCCAGAGAGCAGAAGAGAGAAGAAATGGACCATAAGAGAAGGGGGCAAGGGGGGAGAAAGAGAGTGAAAGGAGCCAGGGAGGAGAGAAAAATGGAAAACATCCTGTTAGGAATGTGTGTGTTTGTGTTGATGTGTGTGCGTGCAGGTGTGTGTAGAGTGGGAGAGAGTTTCTAGGGTTCTGAGGAGAAGAGAGCTGCTATACAGGTGCTAAGGGGCCCAGCCCTGGGAATTTCAGGGTCCCGCTTTCTGAGCTAGGATCTTAAGGCCCTATCAGAGTCCACCCCCAGGAAGCCTGCAGTCATAGCACTGGGCTAGCTGGACGGCTGCCTCTTCTTTGCCTTTGACAGCAGGAGCTGCCATGCCAGGCCCAGGGGCCCTGGGGTCATGGGCAGAGAGCAGGTCCCTCTGCTGGCAGCCAAGGAGATGTTGTTCTTGGAGGGTCAAAGACTCACTTAGCTGGGAGTCTGAAGGTGGTCATGGGTTACAAAGGGGTTACAAAGAGCTCAGCGGTGAGCCTGGCCCAAGCTTCTGACCCCTTTCTTTGGATCTCAAGGGCTGACCATGGATTCTCAATGGATCTCAAGAATTCGCCCATTTACCTCTTGCCCCAGACCCTCCCCACTTCGATACCCTGGGACCCAGGCATCTGCCTCTTTCCTTCTCCTCCGGCCTCCCAAGCACCTCCAGGCCCTGCTCTCTGCCAACCTGAACTCCAGGACCCTGCAGCCCCACCCCAAAATTGCTTGATAATACAGTGATTCTATTTTCAGTGTTTTGAAAACTCTGTATACTGTTTTTTACAGTTGCTGTACTAGTTTTACACACTGTGTGTAAGAGTGCCCTTTTCTCCACATCCTCACAAACATCTATTTGTTTGTTTGTTTTTTTTTGTCTTTTTAGTTGTACCCATTCTATCTGGGGGTAAGATGATATCTCATTGTGGTTTTGATTTGCATTTCCCTGATGATAAGTGATGTTGAGCATTTTTCATGTACCTGCTGGCCATTTGTATGTCTTCTTTTGAGAAATGTCTATTCATGTCGTTTGTCCACTTTTTAATAGAATTTTTTGGTTTTTTTAGCTCTTGAGTTCCTTACATATTCTGGATATTAGTCCCTTGTCAGATAAATTGTTTGAAAATATTTTCTCCCATTCAACAGGTTGTCTGTCTACTCTTTTGATGGTTTTCTTTGCTGCGCAGAAGCGTTTTAGTTTATTATAGTCCCATTTGTCTATTTTGTTTGGGTTGTCTGTGCTTCTGAAGTCTTAGCCATAAAATCGTTACCCAGACCAATGTCCTAGAATGTTTCTCATATGTTTGCTTCCAGTTGTTTTATAGTTTTGGGTCTTACGTCTAAGTATTTAATCCATCTTGAGTTGATATTTATATAGGGTGAGATATAGGGATCTAATTCCATTCTTCTGCATGTGGATATCCAATTTCCCCAGCACCATTTATTGAAGAGGGTGTCCTTTCCCCAAATGTATGTTCTTGGCACCTTTGTCAAGAATCAGTTGGCTGTAAATATATGGATTTATTTCCAGATTCTCTATTATGCTGCATTGATTGACATGTGTTTGTAGAGACGAGGTCTCAGTATGTTTCCCAGGCTGGTCTAGAACCTCTGGGCTCAAGTGGTTCACCCTCCTTGGCCTCCCAAAGTGCTGGGATTACAGGAGTGAGCCACAGTACCTGGCCTTTGTGCTGTGTTTTGATTCATCGTTATCTCCTAAGCCCTTTCCCAGCATTGATATTTTACTAAACACCCTATGATTAAATTATATCTCTACACCTTGAGATAAACAAAAAATTATATAAGCGGTAAAGACAAATATGAAAAAATAAAACTACTACCAATGTTATTAGGAGGATAACCTTAAAACATTTGAGCAAGAAAATTTTTCTTTTTTTCTTTTTTCTTTTTTTTTAGCTGTACCTGCTGGAATGGAAAATATTTCTTAAATGAGACAAATATATGAAAGTGAAAATGCTTAAACTTCAAAGGACTTACATTACATATATAGTCATTCTTTCTTAATGATAAGATAGGTTCTGAGAAATGTGTCCTTAGGTGATTTGGTCTTACGTGAACATCATAAAGTGTCCATACACAAAGCTAGATGATATAGCCTACTGCACACCTACGCTATATCATAAAGCCTATTGCTCCTAGGCTACAAACTTGGATAGCACATTACTATACTGAGTACTGTAGGCAATTGTAACACAATGGTAGGTATTTGTGGATCTAAACATATGTAAACAGAAAAAGTACAGTAAAAATATGGTAAAAAGATTTTTACAATGGCACACCTATATAGGTTACTCATCATGAATGGAGCTTACAGGACTGGAAGTTGCTCTGGGTGAGTCAGCAAGTGAGTGGTGAGTGAACTGAAGGCCTAGGCCATTACTGTGCACTACTGTAGATTTTATAAATGCTGTACACTTAGGTTACACTAAATTGATTTTAAAAATAATTTTCTTTCTTTAATAATAAATTAACCTTAGCTTAATGTAACTTTTTTAACTTTATAAACTTTAATTTTTAAAACTTTTCAGCTTTTGTAATAGCACTTAGCTTAAAAGACCAACATGTTACAAAGCTGTACAAAAATATTGTTCCTTATATTTTCATTCTAGAAACTTATTTCTATTTAATTTTTTTTTTACTTTTAAATCTTTTCTGTTAAAAAAAAAAGACATAAATTAGCCTAGGCTGACACAGGGTTAGGATCAACAATATCACTATCTTTAGCCTTTACATCTTGTCCCACTGGAAGATTTTCAGGTGTAATAACATGCATGGAGCTGCCATCTCCTATGATAACAATGCCTTCTTCTGGAATACCTCCTAAAGGACCTGGCCGAGGCTGTTTCAAGTTTTTTTAATAATTAGAAGGAGCACACTCTAAAATAACAATAAAAAGTATAGTAAATATGTAAACCAGTAACATAGTCATTTATTATCATTATCAAGGATTATGTATTGTACATAACTGTATGTGCTAGACTTTTATAGGATTGACAGTGCAGTAGGTTTGTTTACACCAGCATCACCACAAACATATCATTAATGCATTGTACTATGATGTACAGTGTCACCTACAATGTCACTACAGAGAAGAAACCCCCAAAATCTGCACTCCTAAGCTGCATATGCTTTAGGTGATACTCTAAGAAGCCCACCAGAGAACAGTTGCTTGGAGATTGCATGCTAAGTAGAAATGCCAAAGGCTTCAGAGTATGAGGAGATGTTGGAATTTTAGCCCAGCCAAACCTGGGTTGAGCCAACAGGGTGGTGAAGCACTATGAGTGAGGACCCTTGCCTTGGAGTAAGGACCGCACTGAACTAGACTCATGTTAACAAAGGCTAAAATCAAGCCTAAGCAGAATCAAAGTGGGTCTGATTTTTATGATAATTAATGAACCGTCAAGCAGTTAGCAGTCTTAGCAGGAAGATAGCAAAATCCAGAACCTCTGTAACACATCACCCAGAATATGTGGCATGCCAAGCAGCAGAAAAAATGCAACAAGTGGAGATAAAATAATCAACAGAAGCCGACTCAGATGATCTGGATACTGAAGCCAGCGAGCAAGGACATTCTTCAATATATTTATGATTAATATGTTAAGGATAATAGAGGAAATCATGGGCAAACTATTTCATAATCCCCAGAAAGATCAATCATACAAAGAGAGAAAACACGAATGAACACTGTGAGAAGGGACAACTTATAAAACCACAGATTTTATTAAAATGAAAATAAGAGAATATTAGACACAACTTCATGACAATACCTTTTAAAATTTAGGTGCAATGAAATGAGTTCTTGAAAAACACAGTTGAACAAAGCCAACAGAAAACTAAGTAGAAAATATAAATAGTCCTCTATCCATTAAGAAATTGAATTTTAATTAAATTCCTTCCCACCAGAAAAACTTCTTACCACATTTCCTCCCATCAATTCTTTCAAAAACTTAAAAAAGGAATGTCAGTCCTATATAGTCATCCCTTGGTATCCTTTTGGGCTGGGTTCTAGGACCCCTGTGGATACCAAAATCTGTGGATTCTCTGGTCCCATGTATAAAATGGCCTACTATATGCCTACTACCTATGCATATCATCCCATATACTTTAAATCATCTCTAGATTACTTACAATACCTAGTGCAATGTACATGATTGTAAACAGTAGTTATACTATATTGTTTAGGAAATAACGACAAGAAAATGTCTGTACATCTTCAGTACAGATGTAACCACTGTCAGTAGGCCTAACTACAGAGTACACAACAGCAGCAACATAACATTTCCAATCCTCAGGTAGTTGAATTCACAGATGTGGAACACACAGACATGGAGGACAGACTGTCTTATATTTTATATAATGAAGAGTGGCCAGGCGCGGTGGCTCATGCCTGTAATCCCAGCACTTTGGGAGGCCGAGATGGGCAGATCACCTGAGGTCAGGAGTTCAAGACCAGCCTGGCCAACATGGTGAAACCTCATCTCTACTAAAAATACAAAAAAATTAGCTGGGCGTGATGACAGGTGCCTGTAATCCCAGCTACTCAAGAGACTAAGGCAGGAGAATCGCTTGAACCTGATAATTGCTAGGCTTTGAGTAAAGTAGTTTGACCTTTATAATGTGACCCTCCCTAAACAAGATGGAACTCTGCAGCAGACATCCTGGGATTTGAACTGCAATATCAGTCAACTGACCCACAAAGAGCTGGTTGGTTTGTGTACAGCATTTGCAAGATGAGTGGACAACATCCTGTTTGGAAGTCTACCCCTTTGATCAAAGAAGTTAAAAACAGGACAGTTTTTTTTTTTTTTTTTGGTTGAATTGCATGATGTTTTCTGAGAAGTGATGAAAGAATTGAACAATGACAAAAGTCCCTATGTCTTAGTTTTTACTGACTTATGGGCATTGACTGATGGCCTGGCCATATAATTAAGAGAGCAATGGAAAACTGGCCTATGAAAAGAATACCCGTATAGGACACAGTCCTGTGGAAATCACTATGGTAATTTGAGGGGTGCATTAATGTAAGGCGTGTTGATGTCTGATATAAATTGGGTGTTGTCCCCACCCAAATCTCATGTTGAGATATAATCCCCAGTGTTGGAGGTGAGGCCTCAAGGGAGGTGATTGCATCATGGGGGTGGCTTCTCATGAATCGTTTAGTACCATTCCCTCAGAATAGTTCAATTAGTTCAATGCCCCTCAGAATAACCCTCCTCCAGGTTTGGAAGGTGATTGAAATCAACAAGCATTTATTTCTAAGTGATTTCCAGGTGTACCTGTATTTCCAGCTACAAGAAGAACTGAGGCAGAAGGATCTCTTGAGCCCAGGAGTCTTAGTTTTGCCTGAGCAACTTTTGAGTCCAGGGAAAAATATCAATACCACATCTCAAAAAAATCCACGTTTGCTTGTGGTGATCACCTGGGTCCGTGAAATAAGTAGACACTGAGGGCTGCAGCAATGCAGAGATAGGCTGAATCAAGATATATTCCTTTTACATCCTCCAACTCACAGGCACGAAATACCCATAAGGACTGTTCTGTTTAAGAAGAGACAGAGACAGCATATGGCTATGTAGCAAATTCTCTCATGGGAAGGTCTTGAAAATAGATAGCTGGCAAATTAGACTGATACCAGTACCCCTAGGAGGCAGCAAATGGGTCTTGGCAGGAATAGATACTGACCCTGGAGTAAGCATTGCTTAGCTGGTGGTAGATGTGTTATCAAACTGAACTGGGGCCCACTCACCTGGTGCAATAAAGGCAAACATCCACACTGAGATTTTGTAGTGGGAGAAAGGAAGGCGTTTATTTGCAAGGCACCAAGCAAGGAGAATCGGGCAGCTCACACTTAAGACCTAACCTCCCCAATGGCTTACAAGCAAGAGTTTTTAAGGCAGGAGTAAATTTCAGCAAAGCCGAGTTGCAGGCAACATCAAAAATCAATGCATAGAAATTACACACTGGTTTGGCCTAAAAAGGTGGGATATCCTGATGAGGGATCGTACAGGTCATAGGTGGATTGAAAGATTCTCTGATTTGTGATTGGATAAGGAGCCAAAGCTTTGTCTACACACTTAGGGGCAGTAGGGAGGAATGTTCAGGTCTGCTCTGTGGACCTGACTCTTTCCAGGCCCCTCAGGAAAAAATTTAGAACAAAGAGTCACAGTCAGCATTGAGTCCTCATTTTCCCCTTATCTGAGGTCTCCCTATCAGTGGCTCTGTTTGGTGAGAGTCTGGGTTCCTGAAAAACTACTCAAGGACATATGTTAAGATGTTCTCTTTAGTTTCTATAGAGAATCAAACATCTTGGGACTCTAACTTCCTTGGCTATTGTTTAAGCTATTTTTACCTGCTTGCTTATAAGGTCACTCACTTGCTTTTCAGGGCTGGCTAGGTGCCTGGAATTTCTCTTGAAGGAACTCAACATTTTCCTTTATTTCCATGTTAGGGAGGTCTAGCAGGCTTCTAAGATAAATCCGTACTTCATCTCAGATGCAAATGCTTAGAGCACTATAATAGAACCTGGACGGGAGATATTGCAACCATTTGCATCACTGAGTCACATTTCTTCACACCAGGAAACACATTTGCCCAAAATGTCCAACAATGTTCAGAAAAATATTTTGCTCAGAGGAATAGTTTCATAGAGAATAAAAATAGTCAAATGACACATTACTTGTATAAAGCAGGAGTGGGGAGACATAAGCATGAAGGGCGGGCTTACACACGTTCAT
Source organism: Homo sapiens (assembly GCF_000001405.40). Classification (NCBI taxonomy): domain Eukaryota; kingdom Metazoa; phylum Chordata; class Mammalia; order Primates; family Hominidae; genus Homo; species Homo sapiens. The sequence goes on from NC_000006.12 coordinate 30,404,283, forward strand.
GAGTGGGCTCACACCAGACATGAGTGTGGAAAAAGGAGTGTCCCCACTAGAGAGTATCCTCTTTTTTCCTGCTGGATCAGGGAAAGGTGCTAGTATGACCTGACATACGATTTTTCCCATGACAAGAGGACACTGGAATGATGACTAGACTTCACCTCAACTCGCCTTTCTCATACCTGATTCAGTGGTCTTAGGACAAGGGATGCATATAAAAGTGCCAAAACAGGAATTATTCCTAAGCAAGAAAGTGTAAATATATTTTAAAACCATTATGCAAGAATTCCTCAGGGCCTGGAGGAGTAGGTTGTGCCTTCACTGCATCTGGCAAAGTTGGGGCTAACACTGAATGCAGCTATATTGCCTGGGGTCAGATAGCCAACTAGTTCTCTACCTGCATAACCCTACCCTCTATGAACTGGAATGGACCAACGAGAGACACTTGCTAGAACAGTATTGCTCCCTTCAGTCTAGGCCAGCACAGTAGCAGAACTTAATGTTTCTTCCAAAACTGTTAATGTTTGGTATAAATGAAGTAGAAGGAGGAATAGTAGCTGAGGGTAAATGAATGAATAAATGGGTTGTGTAATGAGGAAAATCCAATGTTACATGAACTCCCAAAAAAAAGAGGTATAAGCAAGAGATGATATTGTCTCTTGACAATGATGGTGCACCCCGTCTCCATGGGGACAGAGGGTCGTGTGCTCAGAGTGCTTCCAGATGTCGCCTCCTGCACTTCATCTGCCTGCTCATTTGTATCCTTTACAACTGCTATTGTTTGAATGTTTCCCCAGAAAAGCGTCTGTTGGAAACTTAATCCCCAGTGCAACAATGTTAAGAGATGGGACCTTTGAGAGGTGATTGGACCATCAGAGCTCTGCCTTCATTAATGAACTGATCAAGGCTGCCCTCATTAATGCTGATCATAAAGGACCTGAGCCTGTGAGTTCGACCTCTTACTCCCTCTAGCTCTCACCCTCTCTTGCGCTTCTCCCTTCTGCCAGATACATTCCCTTGATTTTGGAATTCCCATCCTCGACAACCATGAGCCAATTAAATTTGTGTTCATTGTAAGTTATCCAGTCTCAGGTGTTCTGTTATAGTGGCATAATTTAAACCAGGGGTCCCTAACTCCCCTGCAGTGGACCGGTACAGGTTTGTGGCCTGTTGGGAACCAGACCGCACAGCAGGAGGTGAAGGGTGGGCGAGAAAGCATGAGCATGACCGCCTGAGCTCCGCCTCTGGTCAGATCAGTGGTGGCATTAGATTCTCATGGGAGCACGAACCCTATTGTAAACTGTGCATGCGAGGGATTTAGGCTGCACGCTCCTTTATAAGACTCCAGTGCCTGATCATCTGAGGTGGAACAGTTTCATCCCGAAACCCATCCCCGCCTACCTGTGCCGCCTGCCCTGGTCAGTGGAAAAGTTTTATTCCATGAAACCAGTACTTGGTGCCAAATATGTTGAGGTAAGCTATGATTACCGCTGATTTAAGCTATGACAATAATAAACTGCAATACTGAGTGTGAAAGAAAGATAAAATCTTGGGACCCCAAACTCACAGTGCCAAAGGGAAAAGTTAAGTTTGGGAACTGAGTCATGGAAAAACTGCCTTTCTTTTGTTCCTAAACAAATACCTGCAAAGATAGAGGACCACATATCTCCCCAAGTGGCCTCCCTCACAATCTGCTCACAATGTAATTCCTTGTGGGCCCCAACATCTTTACCCTAAAACAGAGTTTTGTTGACTTTTCCCCTGACAATGTAAAGTAACAGCTTATCTTCACAGGTACAGGACAAAGACAAGACTAGAAATCATCCCTTCACCCACCCGGAGACAAACACATATTTTACTACTCTATGTTTACTTTAGCTTATGTAAAATTCAGATTTACTGAGCACAAGATGAATGCATAGTTGACTGTTTTTCCCCTTCTGCCTGCTCTTTCCCCTGTAAGTACTGAAGTCCTCAAAACCCTTTTAGGAAAAAGCGTGGGCCACAGATGCTAGTGATTTTTGTCTCTTTTTCCAAGGTGCATCTTGGAATGGGAGACTGGAGGGACCCATGGATCCCAACCCTGGACCTGGTTCCCCCAGTACAATCCATGAGCCAGTTGAATCTGAATGCGAAGATGGAACGACGACTGACCAGAGTCATGCTGACATCAACCCCCATAACATGGGGACTGATCAAGAAAACCACACAGGAAGCTGAGAAACTGCTGGAGTGCCAGGGTGTCACCTTTTGCTGGAACTCAGAAGTACAATCGATGTTTAACGGACCAGTGCTTTCTGACTCAGCTCCTCTCTACCCTGAATACAAGAGACCCTAATAGTTAGGCAGGAATATCATCGCCCTTATTCTGCATGAAGAAGTTGCAGAAGACAGACCTTCATCCTTCTGCAACCCTTAGGATTAAGCGTCCTCTTGTAAAAAGGGAAGGGGGAGATATGTAAGAAGCATTCAAACCACAGCAACTCTATTTTGAATAAGGGCTAAGAAAAATGAAGCTGGATCACCAACCGGCAATTAAGAGCTGCACAGCCTGCAATTACCTTGCTCAATTAATTTTAAAACAAAAAGGAGTAGATGTTGGAGGCCGCACGAATGTTTCTTATGATTTGCCACAATTGAAGCCTGCCAGTAACAATATGAACCTGTGATCAATTAAGCAGCTGACCAATCATTACCTCCTCCTCCTTGCCCTTATTACCCAGTAAATATGAAGGGCTAAGAAGCTCGGGCGGCGGCCTTTGCTCACTAGAAGCAGGGAGCTCTTTTCTTCTCGTCTCTCTTCTTCTTCCCCATGCTAGCCTTTCCTTAAAATGATGTAGGGTATCTGGCAGATAAAATTTCTAAGCAGCAAAGCATTCAAAGAGTGACTTGGGTGCTCCTAAAAGCATTCCATTTTCAAAGGGAAACAGAGCATAAAAGTTCAGAAAATTTACAGCCTGACAATGCAGTAGAAAAGAAAAACCCATTTTTTGAGGAGAAACTCAAGCTGGCTGCAGAAATTTGCATAAGTAACAACAAGCCAAGTGTTGATCCCCAAGACAAGGGGGAAAATGTCTCCAGGGCATGCCATAGGTCTTCATGGCAGCCCCTCTCATCACAGACCCAGAAGCATAGGAGGAAAAAATGGTTTCATGGGCAGGGCCCAGGGTCCCCATGCTATGTACAGCCTAGGGACTTGGTGCCCTGCATCCCAGATGCTCCCACTGTTGCTAAAAGGGGCCAAGGTACAGCTTGGTCTATGGCTCCAGAGGGTGCAAGCTTTAAGCCTTGACAGCTTCCATGTGGTTTTGAGCCTGCAGGTGCACAGAAGTCAAGAATGGAGGTTTGGGAACCTCCACCTAGATTTCAGAAGATGTATGGAAATGCTAGGATGCCCAGGCAAAAGTTTGCTGCAGGGGCAGGGCCCTCATGGAGAACCTCTGCTAGGGCAATGTGGAAGGGAAACGTGGGGCTGGAGCCCCCACACAGAGTCCCTACTGGGGCACTGCCTAGTGGAGCTGTAAGAAGAGGGCCACCGTGTTCCAGACCCCAAAATGGTAGATCCACCAACAGTTTGCACTGTGCATCTGGAAAAGTCACAGACACTCAGCGCCAGACTGTGAAAGCAGCCAGGAGGGAACATATACCCTGCAAAGCCACAGGGGCAGAGCTGCCCAAGATATGGGGACCTACCTCTTGCATCAGCATGACCTGGATGTGAGACATGGAGTCAAAGGAGATCATCTTGGGGCTTTAGAATTTGACTGCCCCACTGGATTTAGGACTTGCATGGGCCCTGTAACTCCTTTGTTTTGGCCAATTTCTCCCATTTGGAATGGCTGTATTTACCCAATACCTGTACCCCCATTGTATCTCGTAAGTAACTAGCTTGGTTTTGATTTTACAGGTTAATAGGTGGGAGGGACTTGCCTTGTCTCAGATGAGACTTTGGACTGTGGATTTCTGGGTTAATGCTGAAATGAGGAAAGACTTTGGGGGATTGTTGGGAAGGCATGATTGGTTTTGAAATGTGAGGACATGAGATTTGGAGGGGCCAGGGGTGGAATGATATGGTTTGGCTCTGTGTCCCCACCCAAATCTCATCTTGAATTATACTCCCATAATTCTTACATGTTGTAGGAGGGACCCAGTGGGAGATAATATGAATCATGGAGGCAGTTTCCCCCATACTGTTCTTGTGGTATTGAATAAGGCTCACAAGACCTGACGATTTTATCAGGGGTTTCCGCTTTTGTATCTTACTCATTTTCTCTTGCCACTGCTACGTAAAAAAAAAATTCACCTCCTGCCATGATTCTGAGACCATCGAGCCATGTGGAATTGTAAGTCCAATTAAACTTCTTTTTCTTCCCAGTCTTGAGTATGTGTTTATCAGCAGTGTGAAAACGGACTAATATAGCTGGCTTCGTAGACTGAATTGAAAAAAACTGCCTACTTTAATTTCTAAAAGGTATGTGTAAAATTGATGTAATTTCTAAATTATATGTTTGATACAATTCATCAGTGAAGCCTTCTGGACCTAGACTTTCCTATATTAGAAGGATTTTGATTACAAATTCAATTTCTACAATCAATATATGGCTGACCACATTTTCTATCTCTTCTCAGGTCAGTTTTCATAAGTTTTCCCTCTCAAGGAAATTGTTCATTTCATTTGCTTGTCAAACTTATTGACATGAGATTATCAATATTTCTTTTTGAGATCTAGAGTGTGTACTGATGTTCTCTCTTTTATTGCTGACCTTGTTAATGTGTATGTTTTTGTCTTGATCAGTCTGGCTAGAAATTTATAAGGTGTACGATTTTTCCCTATAGAACCAATATTTGGATTCATTAATTTTCTCTTTCTGCTTCAGTTTTTTATTTTATTATTATTTCCTTCCTTCTGCATGCATTGGTTTAATTTGTTCTTCTTTGCTTCTTACAGGAGAAACTAATTTACTAATTTGAGACCTACCTTCTTTCTTAATATAGGCATTTAAGGATATCAGTTTTTTCTTCAGTACTGCTTGTTGGGAACAAATGCTCAGTGTTGTAAAGAAAGATCAGCACTGAGACAAAGGATCTCTCAGCAAGGCAATTGACTTCTGCAGAAAGGATGCTACTTATGATGGAACGATGGCGAGTGCACACCTGAACAAAGGAGAGCAGGGGTTTTTTATAATCTCTTAATGCAGCTTGTCCCTGTAACTGTGTCTTGTCTCCATTGGCTGGAGCTGGACTGCACAATCTAAGCTGAACCTGGCTGGCTAACTTGAAAAGTGCAGGAATGTGGTTATACCAACAGAGAGTGCAGTCTTGGCGGGAGGAGCTGTTGCAACAGGAGGGTTAATCTATAGAGTGGGTAGCAGATGTGGGATGTGGTCTCCATAGATAAGGACTGGCGGGAAATTTGTTTACCAGGGCAGGGGATACAGAGCGTAAGGAAGTCTGGCCTTGAAAGCAGGGAACAAAGAGCCAGGATGCTGAGCAAGTTAACCCTTAAAGAGGAACTCTTTTTATATCTAACACTACTTCAACTGCATCCCATACATTTGATATGTTGTGCTTCAGTATTCTTCAGAAAACAGAAGACTTTCTAATTTCTCCTGTGATTTCCTCTTTGAATAAGTTGTTATTCAGAATTTTGATGTTTAATTTCCAATCCTTGGTATTTTCATGATCGTCCGTCTTAGTCAATCTGGGCAGTTATAAAAGAATTCCATAGTCTATGTGGCTTGCATACAACAGAAATCTATTTCTCACAGTTCCGGAGGCTGGGAAGTCAAAGATCAAGGCCTGGGAAGAGTCAGTGTATGGTGAGGGCTGCTTCCTGATTCATGGATGTTGCCTTTTCTTGGTGTCCCCACGTGGTGGAAGGAGCAAGCAATCTGGGGTCCCTTTTATAAGGGCATTCATTTTATTAATGAGGGTTTTGCCTTCACTGCATGATCACTTTCTAATGGCACAACCTCCAAACACCATCACATTAGAGATTAGGTTTCAATTATGAGTTTAAGGATGACAAAAGCATTCAGTCCCACAAGATCATCTTATTGTTACAGATTTCTAATGTATTTCCATTATGGCCAGAAAATATATTCTGTATGATTTCAATGTTTTCAAATTTATTGTTTTATGGCCTGAAATATGGTTTCTCCTGGTAAATGTATCATTCATACTTCAGATAATTTGTGTTTTTCATTGATGTGCATATGCATATAAATAAATTAAGTCTGGGTGCTTGATAATGCTTTTCAATTTTCTATGTCTTTGCTAAATTTTTCTTAGTTTTTGTATTTATAGCTGAAAGAAAGCTTTAAAATGTCTAACCATGTTTGTAGAATTCTCTACTTCTCTCTGTAATTTTGTCAATTTTTCTTCATGAACTCTAAAGATTTGCTATTGGATCCATTTCTGGTTGCATGTCTTTCTGTTGATTTTACCCTTTTGTTATTATGAAGCGCCTCTTTTTCTCTCTGGTAATACATATTATTTGAAAATCTTTTACTGGTAGTAAAATAACCATTTCAATCCTCTGTGCTTAATGTTTGTATGGCATTGCTTTTTTCATCAATTTTTATTTATCTGTGCCTTCATATTGAAATTGCATGTTTTGCATGCAGATGTATGTTCATTGCAGCACTTGTCACAATAGAAAAGACATGGAATCAACCTAAATGCCCATCAATGGTGAACTGGATAAAGAAAATGTGGCACATATGCACCATGGAACATTATGCAGCCATAAAAAAGAACGAGATCATGTACTTTGCAGGAACATGGATGGAGCTAGAGGCCATTATCCTTTGCTAACTAATGCAGAAAAAGAAAACCAATTGCCACATGTTCTCACTTATGAGTGGGAGCTAAATGATGAGAACATATGGACATATAGAAGGGAACAACACACACCGGGGCCTACTTGAAGGCAACGGGTGGAAGGAGGGAGAGGATCAAGAAAAATAATGAATGGGTGCTAGGCTTAATACCTGGGTGGGTACTAATAGGTACAGAAACTATATGACTGTGGGCAGCAAGCCACCCAGGTGCCGAGGCAAGAGACTGAAGGCACAAGCTCTTCCAGTATAATAAAGAAAATACTTAAAATAAAAATAGTTGTATTAGACATAAAATATAGATATGGTTATGTATAAATATTACTAATCATTAGTTTATGACATTACTCTTTATTCCAATATTATAATAATCTTTGTTCTACAATTATAACCTAGAAAAAACCAGGCCATACAGAGATAGGAGCTGAAGGGACACGGTGAGAAGTGAACAGAAGACAAGAGTGTGAGCCCTCTGTCATGCCTGGACAGGGCCACTAGAGGGCTCCTTGGTCTGGCGGTAACGCCAGTGCCTGAGAAGGCACCCATCACTCAGCAGATCGGGAAAGGGAGTCTCCCTTTGCCCGGGGGAGTTAGAGAAGCCTCTGCTCCACCACCTCTTGTGGAAGGCCCGACATCAGTCAAGCCCGCCCACAGCCATCTGGAGGACTAAACGTCTCCCTGTGATGCTGTGCTTCAGTGGTCACGCTCCTGTTTGACTCTCATGTTCCACCCTCTACACCTGGCTCAGCCTTCTAAATAGCAGTAGCAAAAATTAGTGAAAGTACTAAAGTCTTTGAAATACATAGAAGAAATAATGACATAAACTGTCCCCTCTCTCTCTCCGCCTCGGCTACCGAACAGGGAAGGGCCCCCTGTCTGGTGGACACGTGACTCACGTGACCTTACCTATCATTGGAGATGGCTCACACTCCTTACCCTGCCCCCTTGTCTTGTATCCAATAAATAACAGCGCAGCCTGGCATTCGAGGCCACTATCAGTCTCCGTGCCTTGGTGGTAGTGGTCCCCTGGGCCCAACTCTCTTTTCTTCTCTTTGTCTTGTGTCTTTATTTCTACACTCTCTCATCTCCACACACAAAGAGAAAAACCCACAGGTCCTGTAGGGCTGGAGCCTACATATGACAAACTCTCATGATACAAATTTACCTATACAAAAACCTGCACATGTACCCTGAACTAAAAATAAAAGTTAAATTAAAAAAAATAAAGTTCATGTCTTGAAAAGAGCATATGGTTGGGTTATTTTTTTTAATCCAGTCACAGAATCTCTGCCCTTAATTGGAGTGCTGATTTATGTAGGTTTTTGTCATTATTGATATGATAGGTTTTAGGTTTGTCATGTTATTTGCTCAGTTTTTCTTTCTCTGTTTCTCTTTTCCTGACCAATGATTTCTCATCAGAAACCAGAGAAACAAAATAAACTAGAATAACATCTTTAAAGTTCTGGAAGAAATAAAAGGTCAACTAAGAATTCTATATCCAGTACAGATGTCCTTCAAGATAAATGCAAAATAAGGAGATATTTCAGGTAAAAGATAATTAAGAGAATTTGTCACCAGCAGATCTGTACGATAAAAATTGGTAAAGAAAGTGTCTCAGGCTAAAAGCAAATGATACCAGGTGGAAAATGAGATTATCAGAAAAGATGAAGAATGTGAGAAGTGGTAAATATTAAGTGCGAAAGGCTATCTTGCTCCCCCACCCCCATTTAATCTTACTTCATATACATAGAACTGTTTAAAGGTAAAATAAGATAGCTTTCTGATGGGGCTTATAACCTATGTAAATATATTACATATAATATCTATGGCATAAAAGATGGACGTTTTATAGAGGATAAATGGTTGCAAGATTTCTATATTTATGTGAACTAGTACATTATTAACTGAAAGTGGGCTGTGAAATGTTAAGAATGAGTTAAGTTCTGAAGGAAATCAAGACACAAAAAAATTCAATAGATCAACAAATTCAGGAGATGATTTTTGAAAAAGTTAATAGGATAGATAGGCTGATAGCTAGACTAATAAGGAAGAAAAGAGAGGCGATCCCAATAAGCATAATTAGAAATGACAAAACAGATGTTACCACTGACTCTGCAGAAGTAAAAATAACCATCAAAAGCTACTATGAACACCTGTATGCACACAAACTAGAAAACCTACAAGAGATCGATAAATTCTTGGAAACATACACCCTCCCAGGAAGAAATTGATTCCTTGAAAGGACCAATAATGAGCTCCAAAATTAAATCTGTAATAAATAGCCTACTAACCAAAAAAAGCCCTGAACCTGATGGATTCACAGCTGAATTCTACCAGATGGACGAAGAAGAGCTGGTACCATTCCTACTGAAACTATTCCAAAAAATTGTAAAGGAGGAACTCCTCCCCAACTCATTCTATGAGGCCAGCATCATCCTGATACCAAAACCTGGCAGAGACAAAACAAAAAAAGAAAACTTCAGGTCAATATGTTTGATGAACATTGATGTAATAATCCTCAACAAGGTACTTGCAAACCAAATCCAGCAGTCCATCAAAAAGCTAATCTCAATGATCAAGTAGGCTTCATATCCAGGATGCAAGATTGGTTCAACACGTGCAAATCAATAAATGTGATTCATCACATACATAGAACTAAAGACAGAAACCACATGATTATCTTAATAGATCCAGAAAAACCTTTTGATAAAATTCAACATTCCTTTATGTTAAAAACGCTCAATAAACTAGGTATTGCAGGAACATACCTCAAAATAATAAGAGCCATCTATGACAAACAAACAGCCAACATCATACCAAATGGGGGAAGCATTCCCCTTGAAACCCAGCACAAGACAAAGATGCCTTCTCTCACCACTCCTATTCAACAGAGTATTGGAAGTCCTGGCCACAGCAATAAGGCAAGAGAAAGAAATAAGGGCATAGGGGAAGTCAGACTACCCCTGTTTGCAGACCATTACCAGTGAATGTTCCCTTAAGGCTCACAGGCTCTTATATCAGCTTGTGGTGAGTGCTGCTAACTAGTCTTTAATGGATTAAAATGTATAATGTGTTTCACTTGTGTATTAGTATGTTTTCACACTGCTGGTAAAGACATACCTGAGACTGGGCAATTTACAAAAGAAAGAGGTTTAACGGACTTAATGGTTCCACATGGCTGGGGAGGCCTCACAATCACGGTGGAAGGCAAGGAGGAGCAAGTCACATCTTGTGTGGATGGCAGCAGGCAAGAAGAGAGAGCTCGTGCAGGAAAACTCCCATTTTTTTAAAACCATTAGATCTCATGAGACTCATTCGCTATCACAAGAACAGTGCAGGAAAGACCCATCCAAAAATTCAATCACCTCCCACTAGGTTCCTCCCATGACAGGTGGGAATTGTGGGAGTTACAACTGAAGATGTGATTTGGGTGGGAACACAGCCAAACCATATCAACTTGTAAATTACTACAAAACTGTCAACACTTAGCCACTTCTGCTTCCTCAGGAAGGTCGGGGCAGCAGATCTGTGTGTTAAATATCTATGTGAAGTTATTTCCAGGAAGAAGTTTCATCTGTGGTTTCTTCTTCCCCAGGTCCCACAGTCTTCATTACAACCTCACGGTGCTGTCCCAGGATGGATTTGTATAGTCAGGGTTTCTCGCTGAGGGACATCTGGATGGTCAGCCGTTCCTGCTCTATGACAGACAGAAAGGCAGGGCAGGGGCCCTGTGGACAGTTGGCAGAAGCAGTCCTGGGAGCTGAGACCTGGGACACAGAGACCGAGGACTTGACAGAGAATGGGCAGGACCTCAGGAGGACCCTGACTCATATCAAGGGCCAGAAAGGAGGTGAGAGTCGGCAGGGGCAAGAGTAATGGCAGAGGCCTTCTCCAGGAGAGTTGGAGGCAGAGAGCAGGGACCTGTCTCTTCCCACTGGATCTGGCTGAGGGTGGGCTGAGAAATAGGGGTCAGTGGGGCTCAGCAGGGAGGTGAGCCGGCACTCAGCCCACACAGGGAGACATGGAGGAGGGCCAGGGAGGGGTCCCAGCTGGGCTGAGTTCCTCACTTGGGTGGGAAGATGAGGGGTTCAGGAATGAACTGCTGGGTGGGGGCAGGCTTGCATTCCCTCCAGGAGATTAGGGTCTGTGAGATCCATGAAGACAGCAGCACCAGAGGCTCCCGGCATTTCTACTATGATGGGGAGCTCTTCCTCTCCCAAAACCTGGAGACTCAGGAATGGACAGTGCCCCAGTCCTCCAGAGCTCAGACCTTAGCTATGAATATCAGAAATTTCTGGGATGAAGATGCCACACAGGCCAAGACACTTTCACCCTGTGATGGCAGACCGTCTGCAGAAACTACAGTAACATCTCGAATCCTAGGAGGGCATCAGGAGAACAGGTACCGACCCTGGGCAGGGGCTTTCCTCTCCCCCATTTCACTAGAGTCACTCCCCTGCCAGCTCTGTCCTGGGAAACCCTCTCTGTGCTATGGATGCAGGCGTTTCCTGTTGGCGTATTGTGTCCTGACTTTCCTCTCTTGTTAGAGCCACTGGATAAAGACAGTGGGTTGGGGACTGAACCATCCAGTGTTGTAATCTGGGAAAGCAATGGCCCACTCCCAACAGAATCCTCACCCTGGGGTGGGTGTTAGGCAGGAGAGGAAGCCCTCAGGGCTAGGGCTGCCCCCTCTGCCTCCCAGCCTGCCCATCCCAGAGAGTTCCCTCCTGGCCTCATGACCCAGGAGTCCAATCCTGACATCCCTCCCCTTCAGCATCAATGTGGGGATCTCAGAGCCTGAGGCCATAGTCTGAGGCCCATCCTCCTGCCAGCCCAAAGGAATTGGGCCCCAGGGTAAGGACAGACTTGCAAAAGATCCGGGGTCCATGAGGGCTTCAGCCAGAGTGAGAACACTGGAGAGGAGCAGCCCTGTTCCCTGAGTCTCCCTTAGAGGGAGCGGGGCTTGGCCATGTGCCTCACTGGCTCTGCCCTTTCCTATCCAGTGCCTACCATGGTGAATGCCAGGCCTCAGAGAACAAAGTCACCCCCACATGCTGGGCTTCCGGCTTCTATCCCCAGAATATCTCTCTGGCCTGGTGTCAGGTTGGGGCATTTTCTGAGCCAGGATGCCCATCGGTCTGTGGGTGTCCTGCCCAATGGGAATGGGACCTACCAGACCTGGGTGGCCACTAAGATTCCCCAAGAAGAGGAGCAGAGGGCTACCTGCTATGTGGGACACAGCAGGAATCACAGCACTTACCCTGGTGTCCTCTGGTGAGCCTGGGGCGACCCTCAAGTGTTCTGACCTAGAAAGGGTCAGGCCAAGGTGGGCACAGCAGAGATAACTGGAACTCTGAGTGCCCAGTGTGCAACAAGGCCCTTTTTTTCAGGGAAAGCCCTGATGCTTCAGAGTCTATGGCAACCGTTCCGTATGTTGCGGCTGCTGCTGTTTTTGTTATCATTATTATTATTCTCTGTGTCCTTTGGTGCAAGAAGAAAATATCAGCTGCAGAGGACCCAGGTGAAAAAAGGGGGCAGTGGCTGGAGATGGGAGGGACCCTGTCTGGGCAGTAGGGTCCCCTCATAGCTCCTGCACAGACAGGCATGTAGGTGACAGGGCTTTGGAACAGGGTTTGGAAGTTGGGGTATTTGGGAGGGGAATAGGAGCTACAATTTCATCTAGACCCCTAAGTCCTGCCCAAGCCAGGGCCGGGCCAAAGCCCTCGAATGTCCATCTGTGGCCTCCTCTTGCTGCAGGTGAGGAGTGGGCAGCAAGGAGGGCCGTGGCACCTGCTCTGTCCTCATCCCCATCCCTCTGTCTCTCAGGCTCACCAGCGTGCATCAGCGTGGGGTGAGCTGGGAATCATGTGCTGATTGCTGAGGGCCTGGATGATGATGGCTTCAGAGGGGGCAAATAGTAAAGACGGCTGTGATCTGGGGAGGGCTAGAAACTGGAGAGGAATATGAGGAGAGGTGGTGCCTCTAGTCCCTTCCTCTCTGCATCCCCCTCCCCTGTTTCTCCAGCCATCAGGAGGACACCAAGAAAAAGACCTATGAGGCCCAGACTGGGGGGCCTGCCTGTGCAGCCCCTTGGAGACCCCCTTGTAACAGGGAGGGTTCTGAGTGCACACAGCCATCTTTGTCCACTTTGTAGCTCCCCACGCGCCTCCTCCAGGAGCTGTCTCGGGGGTGTCGTGTCTCCTGGATCACTCGAGGCCATGCTCTTTCCAGGTTCCCACCACATGGCCCTGCACCCTGAGTTCCCTTGCAGATAATATGGATGAGAAGATACGCAGATGTCTCTGAGCCATTTGGGGAGTGGTGACCAGCCCCTTGTCAGGGCAGCTGTCATCCCTGTTTTCATCCTACTTCTAGGTGTTTCCTTGTCCAGGCCCTGAAGGACACAGTCCCTCAGGGACACAGTGCTCAGGGACCATGTTTTTTGGGCTTTGTTCTGTGCTCTGTGGCCTCACCTTGCCCTCCCTGAGCCTTTCTCAAGGTGGTCACTTTCCTGTAAATTTGGAGTAAAGGATGGTCAGGATGATTTCCCCCACAGTCAGTTGTTTGAGGGGAAAGTAAAAGAGAAAACAGGAAGTTTTGTGTTTCTGCAAAGACAGAGGCAGTGCAGGGGACAGTGAGAGGCTGGGTGTCCAGGAAACTGGAGTCTTTCTGCCATTTCCCCACTTTTTTGCACCTGGTGGTGGGGGTGGGGGTTTTTCATCCTTGAACCTAATTGCACTGTCTGTTGGCCCCTCAGTCCTGGGCAGATGGGAAGGTTCATCCCCTGCCCTGCAGCAAGAGGGCCCCGTCCAGGAGGCACCCACAGCAGGGGCAGTGCAGGTTTGTGGTCGCTCCTGCTTTCACCTGCACTGTCTCCTATAGAGGGGTTGTCACTTCTGGGTCCCCGTGGGCAGGAAAGTTTGCCTTGTAGGTCACGGGGCATTGGCCAGGGAAAGGGTGTGAAAGTCATGTGCTAATTTCTCAAAAATTCTCCTTTAAATATTGATGTCCAATAAAGATGTTCACAATTTCCGCTGGATAATCTTAATAGGATTTCCTCTAATATTGATGTTGTAAAGCATGTACAATCAAATGAGAAGTCAAGCTTGGAGCTTCCTCTCCAGGAGGGTCCATGTTGGAGATGGTGGTTGTGGCAGTGGCAATCCTGGAGTGCAGAGGGTGGGTGGAGGCAGCCTCAGGCTGAGGGGTCTCCAGAAACCCCCTGCTCCACAGGGAGAAGAAGAAGATTCCCTGTGGGCTGTGAGGGCAGTGGCCTGGGTGGAAGCCCTGCTAGGAACAGGGCAGGAAGGTCTTGCAGCCTCAGCAAGCAGCAGCCCTGGGGTGGAGGTGCATTTCCAGGGGTGAGTGGACCAGGCAGGAGCAAGGATGGCCCAAGTGCAGGTCACGGACCCGGGTGGGTGCTGAGGGTCTGGAAAGGTTGGGTGTCCTCAAGCGTGGAGGGTCCCAGGATCCAGTCAGGTGCAGACCCGGTGGCAGCCACGTGTTTTTGTGCCGAGCCCCCAGGCTTCTTGATGGGCTCTGCAGTTAGGGGCTGGCTGCTCAGGGCTCGGAGGGTGGAACGCTGAGCTGCAGGTGGAGCGGGGAGCCCAGTGTGCAGGGTCTGCCCTGTTGTGCAAGTGCCTCTGTAGGTGAGGAGGGCCTGGGGACTGAGAGGGAGAAGGACCGCGTGCGTGACCCAGCCCAGGCCTGGTAGGACACGGAGCTAGGACCATCCTCTCTTTGGGGAGGTTTCCCACTGTGTCTAGGCTGGTGGGGCTTGGGAGGAGGGGAGGGCCCCGGGTTCCCTCCTGGATCTGATTCTTGTCCTTTAGTCATGAGGCCCTTTCATTCCCCACATGGTGGATGGTGGGCACAGGGCAGGTATCATTGTTGAGGGAATCACAGGAGGAGACTGGTGGAGGCTGGAGAAACTAGGATGGGAGGGAGGAAAAAGTGGGGGCGTCAGTTCTTCCCTCAGAGAAAGGGTGAATCTGATTTCGGAGTTTCTGAGGAGGGAGAAATCCTCAGGGAATGAAAAGCAGCACTCTGCACCCAGTGGAGCATTTACTGTTTCTCTCTTTTCTCCAGAGCACATGAGCCTACGAAGCCCAGATCAACACCTGGTTGGGACAGGAGACCACCAGGGCACCATACAGCTGGAATTTCAGTCTCTGGTGCCAGCTCCTGGGTCTGCTGGCTCCACTGGATTCAACTCCCTACCCAGGTCTCACCAGCACTTTCCCTCTTGATGCCTCAGTTTCCTCATATATTAAATGGGAAACTAACAGCACTTATTTCTTGTGGTCAGGGATTGACAACTGTTAGTTGCTATGAGGTGTTTGCAGCTGTGCCATAATATTCGGTATTATTATTTTTGTTGTTTTGTTATTATCTTATTAACTTTTATTATCTTTTAATGTATTGTATGTGCAGTAATTACATGCACAAAAGCACATATGTGCCTTTAAACACATTGTATGTGCATAAAAGCTTTATGAGTGTGTGTCCTGTTGACGGTTCCTCCTGGCAAGCCTGGGACCAGCCTTTTTGGCACCTTGAGGTCCCCTCACCCTTCGCACACTGTTATAAATTACCCCATGTCTACTATGTCTGCATAATTTTATACTGTGGATTTTTACTCTTTAAATAGACATTTCTGGCCTGTGCTTTATTTCATGCATCTGGGAAGAGTAGAATACAAGGTTCAGGGGAAAAGGAGAGGTCTGTCTCAATGCCTTGACACAGCATGAAGAAATCTCTCCCTCTTCCTACCTCTCCCTGCCAGTTCCCAGTGATTGACAGATTCACAGCAAAACAGAAAAGGAAAGGTTGGGGGTGGGGGTGCACATCTGGGGCCAAAATTCAGGGGCTGACTCTGGGGGAACATCTGCCCTGAAGAGTTGGATCCTTCATGTGATGATGTTGAGCTGAAGTGTAATATCAGAGATGGGGGCAGAGAGGGCTTTGAGTTTCCCTGGTATTGAAGAATAGGAGTCAGACTGCTTCTGGGGTGAAGCGACTGCTGGGAACATGTGAACCAAATTGATGAAGAATAAGTGAATGGGGAATGTGGGTGAGTAAAGCAAGCATCAGCAGTCAGTTTCTGCCATCAGTTCAGGCTGATCGGGGTAGGGAGGTGGGGAGATGGATATTCCCCACCCTGTTGCTCAATCCTTCCTGACTGCTGGGTGCACCAAAATCTCAGAAATCACCACTAAAGAATTAATTCAGGTAACCAAACACCACCCACCCCTAAAAACCTTGAAATAAAAAATAATTTTTTAAAAAAGTGGCCGGGCACGGTGGCTCACGCCTGTAATCCCAGCACTTCGGGAGGCCAAGGCGGGCAGATCATGAGGTCAGGAGTTCAAGACCAGCCTGATCAACATGGTGAAACCCCATCTCTACTAAAACGACAAAAATTAGCTGGGCATGGTGGCACATGTCTGTAATCCCAGCTACTCAGGAGGCTGAGGCAGGCGATTCTCCTGAACCTGGGAGGCGGAGTTTTCAGTGAGCCGAGATCGCACCACTGCAGTCCAGCCTGGGTGACAAAGCAAGTCTCCATCTCAAAAAAAAAAAAAAAAAAAGGAATGATATTGGATATCCTTATTTTGTCCCCAACACAGAGGAGTAGTTTTCAATATTTTTCTCATTAATTTTGACTTTAGATAGAGGTATTTCTTTTTTATAAATAACTTTATTAGCTTAAGGAAGTTCTCTTTTATTTCTGGTTTATTGAGTTTTTATAATGAATAGTTGTTGAATTTTATCAAATGATTCTCATGCATCTGTTGACATAACTGCACGTTTTTCTACCTTTTTCTATTCATGTGGTAAATTACTCTGATTTTTTAAAGTCACATTTCTCTTATAAATCCCATTCAGTCCCATTGTACATTATCCTCTCCATATATTACTTGCTTCTATTTTCTAATATTTTAGATGGAATTTTGGTGGCTGTGTTCATCAGTTCATTCAGATGGTGGATATCTTTTTTGTAATGTCATTGTCATGTTTAAGTTCTTCTCTGGGCTATGTTGTCTCATAAAATTAGTTGGAAGGTGTTTACTCTTTTTTTATTATCTAAAAGAATATATGATAGTCTGCCCTCCATGTCTGTGTGTTTCACATCTGTGAATTTAACTACCTGAGGATCGAAACTGTTGTTGCTGCTGATGTATACTATGTAGTTAGGCCTACCTACAGCGGTTACATCTGTACTGAAGATATATAGACTTTTTCTTATCATTATTTCCTAAACAATATAGTATAACAACTATTTGCGAATAATTTACATTGAATTAGGTATTAGTAATCTATAGGTGATTTAAAGTATATGGGAGGATGTGCATAGGTAATAAGCAAATACTAGACCATTTTATACATGGGACCTGAGCATTCATAGATTTTGGTATCCACAGGGGGCCCTAGATCCCATCCCAAAAGGATACCAAGAGATGACTGAATAAGACTGACTTTTTTAAAAAAAGTTTTGGAAGAATTGACAGGGGAAAAAACGTGGGCAAAGAGTGTTTTTGGTGGGAAAGAATTTAATTAGAATCCCATTTCTTAATGGATATAGGACTACTTATATTTTCTATTCAGTTTTCTGTTGGCTTGTTCAATTGTCGTTTTCAAGAACTCATTTCATTGCACCTAAATTTTAAAAGGTATTGTCAGGAAGTTGTGTCTAATATTCTCTTATTTTCATTTTAATAAAATATACGGTTTTATGTTGTTCTTTATAGTGTTCATTTCTGTTTTCTCTCTTTTTATGATTGATCTTTCTGGGGATTTTGAAATAGTTTGCCCATCTTTCCCTCTATTTTCCTTAACATATTAATCATAAATACTTTGAGAATGTTCTTGCTTGCCTGCTTCAATATCCACATCAACTCTTAGCCTGATTTTTTTTATTATACTTTAAGTTTTAGCGTACATGTGCACAACATGCAAGTTAGTTACATATGTATGCATGTGCCATGTTGGTGTGCTGCACCCATTAACTCGTCATTTAACATTAGGTATATCTCCTAATGCTATCCCTCCCCACTTCCCCCACCCCACAACAGTCCCCGGTGTGTGATGTTCCCCTTCCTGTGTCCACGTGTTCTCATTGTTCAATTCCCACCTATGAGTGAGAACACGAGGTGTTTGGTTTTTTCTCCTTGCGATAGTTTGCTGAGAATGATGGTTTCCAGTTTCATCCATGTCCCTACAAAGGACATGAACTCATCATTTTTTATGGCTGCATAGTATGATAGACTGGATTAAGAAAATGTGGTACATATACACCATGGAATACTTAGTCTGATTTTATCTCTACTTGTTGCATTTTCTCTGCTGCTTGGCATGCCACATATTCTGGATGATGTGTTATAGAGGCTCTGGATTTTGCCATCTTCCTCCACAGACTGCTAACAATTTGATAGTTCATTAATTATAAAAGAATTACCTTTGGTAAAAATCGGACCCACTTTGATTCTGCTTAGGCTTGATTTTATTTTATTTTATTTTATTTTATTTATTTTTTTGTTATACTTTAAGTTTTAGGGTACATGTGCACAATGTGCAGGTTAGTTACATAGGTATACATGTGCCATGCTGGTGTGCTGCACCCACTAACTTGTCATCTAGCATTAGGTATATCTCCCAATGCTATCCCTCCCCCCTCCCCCCACCCCACAACAATCCCCAGAGTGTGATGTTCCACTTCCTGTGTCCATGTGTTCTCATTGTTCAATTCCCACCTATGAGTGAGAATATGCGGTGTTTGGTTTTTTGTTCTTGCGTTAGTTTACTGAGAATGATGATTTCCAATTTCATCCATGTCCCTACAAAGGACATGAACTCATCACTTTTTATGGCTGCATAGTATTCCATGGTGTATATGTGCCACATTTTCTTAATCCAGTCTATCATTGTTGGGCATTTGGGTTGGTTCCAAGACTTTGCTATTGTGAATAGTGCTGCAATAAACATACGTGTACATGTGTCTATATAGCAGCATGATTTATAGCCCTTTGGGTATATACCCAGTAATGGGATGGCTGGGTCAAATGGTATTTCTAGTTCTAGATCCCTGAGGAATTGCTACACTGACTTCCACAATGGTTGAACTAGTTTACAGTCCCACCAACAGCATAAAAGTGTTCCTATTTCTCCACATCCTCTCCAGCACCTGTTGTTTCCTGACTTTTTAATGATTGCCATTCTAACTGGTGTGAGATGATATCTCATAGTGGTTTTGATTTGCATTTCTCTGATGGCCAGTGATGGTGAGCATTTTTTCATGTGTTTTTTGGCTGCATAAATGTCTTCTTTTGAGAAATGTCTGTTCATGTCCTTCGCCCACTTTTTGATGGGGTGGTTTTTTTTTTCTTGTAAATTTGTTTAAGTTCTTTGTAGATTCTGGATATTAGCCCTTTGTCAGATGAGTAGGTTGTGAAAATTTTCTCCCATGTTGTAGGTTGCCTGCTCACTCTGATGGTAGTTTCTTTTGCTGTGCAGAAGCTCTTTAGTTTAATTAGATCCCATTTGTCAATTTTGGCTTTTGTTGCCATTGCTTTTGGTGTTTTAGACATGAAGTCCTTGCCCATGCCTATGTCCTGAATGTAATGCCTAGGTTTTCTTCTAGGGTTTTTATGGTTTTAGGTCTAACGTTTAAGTCTTTAATCCATCTTGAATTGATTTTTGTATAAGGTGTAAGGAAAGGATCCAGTTTCAGCTTTCTACATATGGCTAGCCAGTTTTCTCAGCACCATTTATTAAATAGGGAATCCTTTCCCAAGGCTTGATTTTAGACTTTGCTACTTTGCTATTTCAGTGTGGTACTTACTCCAAGGCCACGGCCCTCACTCATAGTGCTTCACCATCCTCATGTCTCAACCCGGGTTTGGCTGGGCTAAATTAATTCCAATATCTCCTCACACTATGAAGCCTTTGGCATTTCTACATAGCATGCAATCCCCAAGCAGCTGTTCTCTGGTGGGCTTCTTACAGTATCACCTGGAGCATATGCAGCTTTGGAGTGCAGATTTTGGGAGTTTCTTCGCTGTAGCTCCCTCCTTCAGCACCCTACCCTTAAATCCCAGTCAAAGTGCCAAGCCTGAACTCTGATCTCTGATTCCTTTGCTACTGAGATTGATTCTCTCTGCTTGGGTTCCATTTCCCTTCATTGAATTTTGAAAAAAATCCTCTTAGAAAGAAAGCTGATGAGGATGTGAGTCTCTCTTTCAGGGACTCCATTCCCTGGAGGGTGATAGTCCTGCTCTGGCTGCTGTTTTGCAGCTGCACAACTGCATCGTGTTTTGTCTGGCTTTTATACTTGTTTACAGTGGGAGGATGAGTTTTAAATGAGCTAGTCTATCACAGTTCAAGTCAGAAGACCTCTAATCCTTCAATAGTCATTGCATTTGAAAATCTGAATAGGGTAATTTGACAATTCACAGGCAAAGTTAATATGTTATATCTTAGTGCCCAGTTGAAACCTCAATTTCATCTTTAACAACCTTATACACACAAAATACACACACACACACACACACATCACTGTGTTATACAGTCATGCACTGCTTAATGATGTTTCTGTCAATGATTGATCACGTATACGACTGTCATCCTATTAAACGGAGCTGAAAAATTCCTATCACCTAGTGACATTGTAGCCATTGTAATGTCATAACACAATGCATTAATCATGTGCTTGTGGTGATGCTGATGTAAATAAACCTACTGCACTGCCAATCCTATAAAAGTCTACCCCATACAGTTAAAAACAGCATGTAATACTTGATGATAATAAATATGTTACTGGTTTATGTATTTACTATACTTTTTATGGTGATTTTAGAGTGTGCTCTAATTATTTTTTAAGTTAAATTAAAACAGCGTCAGGCAGGTCCTTTAGGAGGTATTCCAGAAGAAGGCATTGTTATCACAGGAGATGACAGTTCCATGCTTGTTATTACCTGTGAAATAACAGTGGGACAAGATGTGAAGGCTGAAGTTGGTGATATTGTTGATCCTGACCCTGTGTCAGCCTAGGCTAATGTATGTCTTTGTTTTTACCAAAAAAGATTAAAAGGTTAAAAAATTAAGTAGAAATAGTTTCTAGAATGAGAATATAAGGAAAAATATTTTTGTATAGCTGAATAATGTGCTGGTGTTTTAAGCTAAGTGCTATTACAAAATAGTTGAATTTTTTAAAAAATTAAGGTTTATAAATATGAAAAAGTTCAAGACTTGAACTCAGCTTTGGATCAAGTGGATCTGATAGACACCTACAGAGCTTTCCACCCAAAAACAACAGAATATACATTCTTCTCATTGCTACACAGCACCTACTCTAAAATTGGTCACATAATCAAAAGTAAAACACTCCTCAGCAAATGCAAAAAGAACTGAAATCATAATAAACAGTCTCTCAGACCACAGCACAATCAAATTAGAAACCAAAAGTAAGAAATTCGCTCAAAACCATACAACTACATGGAAATTGAACAACCTGCTCCTGAATGACTGTTGGGTAAATTATTAAATTAAGGCAGAAATCAATAAGTTATTTGAAGCTAATGAGAATGAAGAGACAATGTATCAGAATCTTTGGGACACAGCTACAGCAGTGTAAAGAGGGAAATTTATAGCACTAAATGCCTATATCAAAACACCAGAAAAATCTCAAGTTAACAATCTAGTATCACAACTAAAAGAACTAGAGAAACAAAAACAAATCCCAAAGCTAGCAGAAGACAAGAAATAACCAAGATCGGAGCTGAACTGAAGGAGAGAGAGACACACAAAACCCTTCAAAACGTTAATGAATCTAGGAGCTGTTTTTTTGAAAGAATTAATAAAATAGAACACTATCTAGACTAATAGAGAAGAAGAGAGAGAAGAATCAAATAAACAAATCAGAAATAACAAGGGTGATATTACCACTGGCCCCACAGAAATACAAACAACAATCAGAGAATACTACGAACACCTCTATGCAAATAAACTAGAAAATCTAGAAGAAGTTGATAAATTCCTGCCCACATACACCCTCCCAAGACTGAACCAGGAAGAAATTGAAACTCTTAGCAGGCCAGTAATGAGTTCTGAAGTTGAGGCAATAAATAGCCTACCAACCAAAAAAAGCCGAGGACCAGACAGATTGATAGCTGAATTCTATCAAAAGTACAAAGGAGAGCTGGTACCATTTTCACTAAAACTATTCCAAACAATTGAAAAGGGGGGACTCTTCCCTAACTCATTTTAAAAGGCCAGCATCATCCTGATACCAAAACTTGGCAGAGATATAACAAAAAAAGAAAACTTCGGGCCATGCATGATGAACATCAATGCAACAATCCTCAATAAAATTCTGGCAAACCGAATCCAGCAGCACATCAAAAAGCTTATTCATCACAATCAAGTTGGCTTCATCCCCAGGATGCAAGGTTGGTTCAACATACACAAATCAATAAATGCGATTCATAACATAAACAGAACTAAAGAAAAAAACCACATGATTATCTCAATAGATGCAGAAAAGGCACTTGATAAAATTCAATATACTTTCATGTTAAAAACTCTTAATAAACTAGGTGTTGAAGGAAGAGATCTCAAAATAATAAGGGCAATATATGACAAACCCACAGCCAATATCATACTGAATGGGCAAAAGCTGGAAACATTCCCCTTGAAAACCGGCACCAGACAAGCCTCTCACCACTTATATTAGTTTCACCATCATGAGAACAGCAGTTTCTTAAGCTGATAAGGAACTTCAGCAACGTCTCAGGATACAGAATGTGCAAAAATCGCTAGCATTCCTATATACCAACAACAGGCAAGCAGAGAGCCAAATCATCAACTCCCATTCACAATTCCTACAGAAAGAATGAAATACCTAGGAATACAGCTAACAAGGGAAGTGAAGGACCTCTTCAAGGAGAACTACAAACCACTGCTCAAAGAAAAATCAGAGAGGATACAAACAAATAGGATAACATTCCATGTTCATGGATAGGAAGAATCCATATCATGAAAATGGCCATACTGCCCAAAGTAATTTGTAGATGTGATGCTATTCCCATTAAACTATCATAGACATTCTTCACAGAATTAGAAGAAAAAAAAACACTATTTTTTTTTTTAAGATAGAGTCTTGCTCTGTCACCCAGGCTGGAGTGCAGTGGCGTGATCTCGGCTCACTGCAACCTCCGCGTCCCCAGGTTCAAGCGATTCTCCTGCCTCAACCTCCCAAGTAGCTGGGATTGCAAATGCGCACCACCACGCCCAGCTAATTTTTGTATTTTTAGTAGAGATGGGGTTTCACAATGTTGGCCAGGCTAGTCTTGAACTCCTGACCTCATGATCTGTCCACCTCAGCCTCCCAAAGTGCTGGGATTATAGGCGTGGGCCACTGCGCCTAGCCTGAAAAAAAAAACAAAACTATTTTTAAATTCATATGGAACCAAAAAAAGAGCCTGAATAGCCAAGACAATTCTAAGCAAAAAGAACAAAACTGGAGGCATCACATTACCTGACTTCAAACTATACTACAAGGTTACAATACTAAAACAGCATGGTACTGATACAAAAACAGATACATAGACCAATGGAACAGAATAAAGAACTGTGAAATAAGATCACACACCTACAACCATCTGATCTTTGACAAGTCTGACCAAAACAAGTAATGGGGAAAGAATTCCCTATTTAATAAATGGTGCTGGGAGAACTGGCTTGCCATATGCAGAAAATTGAAACTAGGCCCGTTCCTTAAACTATATACAAAAATTAATTCAAGATGGATTAAAGACTTAAATGTAAAACCCAAAACTATAAAAACGCTAGAAGAAAATCTATGCAATACTCTTCAGAACATAGGCATGGGCAAAGATTTCATGATGAAGACTCCAAAAGCAATTGCAACAAAAGCAAAAATTGACTAATGGAATTAATTAAACTAAAGAGCTTCTGCACAGCAAAGGAAACTATCAGCAGAGTGAATAGACAACCTGCAGAATAGGAGAAGATTTTTGCAATCTATACATCTGACAAAGGTCTAATATCCAGAGTTTACAAGGAGCTTCAGCAAATTTACAAGAAAAAAACAAACAACCCCATTAAAAAGTAGGCAAAGGACATGAGCAGACACCTCTCAAAAAAAGACATACATGCAGCCAACAAACATATGAGAAAAGTTGAACATCACTGATAATTAGAGAAATGCAAATAAAAACCACAATGAGATACCAGAGTGGCTATTAATAAGTCAAAAAACAAGAGATGCTGGTGAAGTCACAGAGAAAAAGCAATGCTTTCACACTGTTGGTGGAAATGTAAATTCGTTCAACCATTGTGGAAGACAGTGTGGTGATTCCTCAAAAACCTAGAGGCAGAAATTGACCTAGCAATCTCATTACTGGATACATACCCAAAGGAATATAAATCATTCTATTATAAAGATATATACACGCATATGTTCATTGCAGCACTATTCACAATAGCAAAGACATGGAATCAACATAAATGCCCATCAATGATAGACTGGATAAAGAAAATGTGGTACATATACAACATGGAATGCGATGCAGCCACATAAAGGAATAAGACCATGTCCTTTGCAGGGACATGAATGGAGTGGGAAGCCATTATCCTCAGCAAACTGACCCAGGAACAGAAAACAAAACACCATGTGTTCTCACTTATAAGTGGGAGCTGAATGATGACAACACATGGATACATGGGGGAGAACAACACACACTGGGGTCTGTTAGAGGGCATGGGGCTGGGGGAGGGAAGCACCAGGAAGAATAGCCAATGGATGTTGGCCTTAATACCTAGGTGATGGGACGATCTCTGCAGCAAACCACCATGGCACACATTTACCTACGTAACAAACCTGCACATTCTGTACATGTACCCCTGAACTTAAAAAAAGGGTGGAGAAAAAAAGATTAAAAAGTTACAGTAAGCTAAGATTAATTTATTATTAAAGAAAGAAAATGATTTTTAAAATTAATTTAGTGTAGCCTAAATGTACAGTGTTTATAAAGTCTAAGTAGTGTATAGTAATGCCCTAGACTTCACATTCACTCGCCACTCACTGACACCCAGAGCAATTTCCAGTCCTGTAAGCTCCATTCATGGTAAGTGCTCTAGACAAATGTGCCAGTTTTTAAAAAATCTTTTAACCACATTTTTGTGGCAAAATTTTGTGGGAAAATTCAAAGTCTTTTTTCTACTGTTCTTACACCCCAACAACTATCAACACAGAAGGCTTCTGCGATGAAATGTAGGGGATTTCTCCCCAAAAACAAGCAAACAATTGGTTCTGTTATGGACGCCAGCTGGGTATCCTCTAACTCAATTCTGACACTATCTCCCTGGAGATAATTTTAGATCCCGCAAGTTGATGGCTCAGTCCTCACGACTGTCACCCTCTCACTTCTGATGACAATCTCAAGCCCCAGATTATTTTGCCTGTGTTGCTAACTCACTGACTATAAATCAGGGTTCCCAAAACCCACCCTCAGGTTTGATTGATTTGCTAGAATGGCTCATAGCATGCCAGGAAACACTTACATACATTAACCAGTTTATTTAAAAGGATATTTTAAAGGATAAAGAGCCACATGAAGAGATAAGAGCCACATGAAGAGATACATAGGGTGAGGTCTGAAAGGGTCTTGAGTGCAGGAGCTTCTGCCCCATGTGTTTGGGAAGTGCTACCCTCCCTGGCACATGTCTGAGTTATTGTTCACCTTCCTATAAGCCTCCCTGTGTTCAGCCATACAGAAGCTCTCTGACTCTTCCCTTTTGGGTTTTGATGGAAGCCATATTTCTTAGGCATGATTCATTACATCATGGCCATCAGCTTAACCTTCAGCCTCTCTTGCCTTCCTGCCAATGGTATAATCCTATGTCTAAAAAAATCTAAAGATGCCACCAAAAAACAATTAGATCCAATAAATAAATTCAGTAAAGTGGCAAGATGCAAAATCAACATGCAAAAATCAATATAATGTCTACACATTAGTAATGAAGTAGCTAAGAAAGAAATTTAAAAGCAGTCCCATTTATGATAGCGACAAAAACCCCCCAGAAAAACAGGAATAAATTTAAGCAAGGAAATGAACAATCTCTTTACAAAAACCTACACAACACTGGGGAGCAGTTCCAAGATGGCCAAATAGGAACAGCTCCAGTCTATAGCTCCCAGCGTGAGCCATGCAGAAGATGGGTGATTTCTGCATATCCAACTGAGGTACCAGGGTCATCTCACTGGGGCTTGTCGGACAGTGGGTGCAGAACAGTGGGTGCAGTGCACCGAGCATAAGCTGAAGCAGGGCAAGGCATCGCCTCACCCAAGAAGCACAAGGGGTCAGGAAATTCCTTTTCCTAGCCAAGCAAAGCTGTGACAGACGGCACCTGGAAAATCGGGTAGCTCCCACCCTAATACTGCGCTTCTCCAATGGTCTGAGCAAATGGCACACCAGGGGATTATATCCTGCACCTGGCTCGGAGGGTCCCAAGCCCATGGAGCCTCCCTCATTGCTAGCACAGCAGTCTGAGATCAAACTGCAAGGTGGCAGCAAGGCTGGGGGAGGGGCGCCCACCATTGCTGAGGCTTGAGTAGGTAAACAAAGCGACCGGGAAGCTTGAACTGGGTGGAACCAACTGCAGCTCAAGGAGGCCTGCCTGCCTCTGTAGACTCCACCGCTGGAGGCAGGGCATAGCCGAACAAAAGGCAGTAGAAACCTCTGCAGACTTAAATGTGCCTGTCTGACAGCTTTGAAGAGGGTAGTGGTTCTTCCGGCATGGAGTTTGAGATCTGAGAATGAACAGACTGCCTCCTCAAGTGGGTCCCTGACCCCTGAGAAGCCTAACTGGGAGGCATCTCCCTGTAGGGGCAGACTGACACCTCACACGGCCAGGTACCCCTCTGAGACAAAACTTCCACAGGAACGATCAGGCAGCAACATTTGCTGTTCAGCAATATTCACTGTTCTGCAGCCTCTGCTGCTGATACCCAGGCAAACAGGGTCTGGAGTGGACCTCCAGCAAACTCCAACAGACCTGCAGCTGAGGGTCCTGACTGTTAGAAGGAAAACTAACAAACAGAAAGAACATCCACACCAAAACCCCATCTGTACGTCACCATCATCAAAGACCAAAGGTAGATAAAACCACAAAGATGGGGAAAAAACAGAGCAGAAAAATTGAAAATTCTAAAACTCAGAGTGCCTCTCCTCCTCCAAAGGAATGCAGCTCCTCACCAGCAACGGAACAAAGCTAGACGGAGAATGACTTTGATGAGCTGAGAGAAGAAGGCTTCAGACGATCAAACTTCTCCAAGCTAAAGGAGGAAGTTCAAACCCATTGCAAAGAAGTTAAAAACCTTGAAACAAGATTAGACGAATGGCTAACTAGAATAACCAATGCAGAGAAGTCCTTAAAGGACCTGATGGAGCTGAAAACCATGGCAGGAGAACTACGTGATGCGTGCACAAGATTCAGTAGCCGATTCAATCAACTGGAAGAAAGGGTAACAGAGATTGAAGATCAAATGAATGAAATGAAGCAAGAAGAGAAGTTTAGAGAAAAAAGAATAAAAAGAAATGAACAAAGCCTCCAAGAAATATGGGACTATGTGAAAAGACCAAATCTACGTTGGCTTGGTGTACCTGAAAGTGACAGGGAGAATGGAACCAAGTTGGAAAACACTCTGCAGGATATTATCCAGGAGAACTTCCCCAACCTAGCAAGGCAGACCAACATTCAAATTCAGGAAATGCAGAGAATGCCATAAAGATACTCCGTGAGAAGAGCAACTCCAAGACACATTAATTGTCAGATTCACCAAAGTTGAAATGAAGGAAAAAATGTTAAGGGCAGCCAGAGAGAAAGGTTGGGTTACCCACAAAGGGAAGCCCATCAGACTAACAGCGGATCTCTCAGCAGAAACTCTACAAGCCAGAAGAGACTGGGGGCCAATATTCAACATTCTTAAAGAAAAGAATTTTCAACCCAGAATTTCATATCCAGCCAAACTAAGCTTCATAAGTGAAGGAGAAATAAAATACTTTACAGACAAGCAAATGCTCAGAAATTTTGTCACCTCCAGGCCTGCCCTACGAGAGCTCCTGAAGGAAGCACTAAACATGGAAAGGAACAACTGGTACCAGCCACTGCAAAAACATGCCAAATTGTAAAGACCATCGATGCTAGGAAGAAACTGCATCAACTAACAAGCAAAATAACCAGCTAACATCATAATGACAGGATCAAATTCACACATAACAATATTAACCTTAAATGTAAATGGGCTAAATGTTCCAATTAAAAGACACAGACTGGCAAATTGGATAAAGAGTCAAGACCCATCAGTGTGCTGTATTCAGGAAACCCATCTCATGTGCAGAGACACACATAGGCTCAAAATAAAGGGATGGAGGAAGATCTACCAAGCAAATGGAAAACAAAAAAAGGCAGGGGTTGCAATCCCAGTCTCTGATAAAACAGACTTTAAACCAACAAAGATCAAAAGAGACAAAGAAGGCCATTACATAATGGTAAAGGGATCAATTCAACAAGAAGAGCTAACTATCCTAAATAGATATGCACCCAATACAGGAGCACCCAGATCCATAAAGCAAGTCCTGAGTGACCTACAAAGAGACTTAGACTCCCACACAATAATAATGGGAGACTTTAACACCCCACTGTCAACATTAGACAGATCAACGAGACAGAAAGTTAGCAAGGATATCCAGGAATTGAACTCAGTTCTGCACCAAGCGGACCTAATAGACATCTACAGAACTCTCCACCCCAAATCAACAGAATGTACATTCTTCTCAGCACCACACCGCACTTATTCCAAAATTGACCACATAGTTGGAAGTAAAGCACTCCTCAGCAAATATAAAAGAACAGAAATTATAACAAACTGTTGCTCAGACCACAGTGCAACCAAACTAGAACTCAGGATTAACAAACTCACTCAAAACCGCTCAACTACATGGAAACTGAACAACCTGCTCCTGAATGACTACTGGGTACATAATGAAATGAAGGCACAAATAAAGATGTTCTTTGAAACCAATGAGAACAAAGACACAGCATACCAGAATCTCTGGGACACATTTAAAGCAATGTGTAGAGGGAAATTTATAGCACTAAATGCCCACAAGAGAAAGCAGGAAAGATCTAAAATTGACACCCTAACATCACGATTAAAAGAACTAGAGAAGCAAGAGCAAACTTTACATTCAAAAGACAGCAGAAGGCAAGAAATAAGTAAGATCAGAGCAGAACTTAAGGAGATAGAGACATAAAAAACCCTTCAAAAAATCAATGAATCCAGGAGGTGGTTTTTTGAAAAGATCAACAAAATTGATAGACCGCTAGCAAGACTAATAAAGAAGAAAAGAGAGAAGAATCAAATAGACACAATAAAAAATGATAAAGGGGATATCACCACCGATCCCACAGATATACAGACTACCATCAGAGAATACTATAAACACCTCTACGCAAATAAACTAGAAAATCTAGAAGAAATGGATAAATTCCTCAACACATACACCCTCCCAAGACTAAACCAGGAAGAAGTTGAATCTCTGAATAGACCAATAACAGGCTCTGAAATTGAGTCAATAATTAATAGCTTACCAACCAAAAAAAGTCCAGGACCAGATGGATTCACAGCCAAATTCTACCAGAGGTACAAGGAGGAGCTGGTACCATTCCTTCTGAAACTATTCCAATCAATAGAAAAAAGGGAATCCTCCCTAACTCATTTTATGAGGCCAGCATCATTCTGATACCAAAGCCTGGCAGAGACACAACAACAAAAAAAAGAATTTTAGACCAATATCCCTGATGAACATCAATGCGAAAATCCTCAATAAAATACTGGCAAACTGAATCCAGCAGCACATCAAAAAGTTTATCCATTGCAATCAAGTTGGCTTTGTCCCTGGGATGCAAGGCTGGTTCAACATATGCAAATCAATAAACATAATCCATCACATAAACTGAACCAATGACAAAAACCACATGATTATCTCAATAGATGCAGAAAAGGCCTTTGACAAAATTCAACAGCCCTTCATGCTAAAAACTCTCAATACACTAGATATTGATGAAACGTATCTCAAAATAATAAGAGCTATTTATGACAAACCCACAGTCAATATCATACTGAATGGGCAAAAACTGGAAGTATTCCCTTTGAAAACTGGCACAAGACAGGGATGCCGTCTCTCGCCACTCCTATTCAACATAATGTTGGAAGTTCTGGCCAGGGCAATCAGGCAAGAGAAAGAAATAAAGGGTATTCAATTAGGAAAAGAGGAAGTCAAATTGTCCCTGTTTGCAGATGACATGATTGTATATCTAGAAAACCCCATCATCTCAGCCCAAAATCTCCTTAAGCTGATAAGCAACTTCAGCAAAGTCTCAGGATATAAAATCAATGTGCAAGAATCACAAGCATTTCTGTACACCAATAACAGACAAACAGAGAGCCAAATCATGAGTGAACTCCCATTCACGATTGCTGCAAAGAGAATAAAATACCTAGGAATCCAACTTACAAAGGATATGAAGGACCTCTTCAAGGAGAACTACAAACCACTGCTCAACAAAATAAAAGAGGACACAAACAAATGGAAGAATATTCCATGCTCATGGATAGGAAAAATCAATATCGTGAAAATGGCCATATTGCCCAAGGTAATTTACACTTTCAATGCCATCCCCATCAAGCTACCAATGACTTTCTTCACAGAATTGGAAAAAGCTACTTTAAAGTTCATATGGAACCAAAAAAAAAGCCTGCATTGCCAATACAATCCTAAGCCAAAAGAACAAAGCTGGAGGCATCACGCTACTTGACTTCAAACTATACTACAAGGCTACAGTAACCACAACAGCATGGTACTGGTACCAAAACAGAGATATAGACCAATGGAACAGAACAGAGGCCTCAGAAATGACACCCCACATCTACAGCCATCTGATCTTTGACAAACCTGACAAAAACAAGAAATGGGGAAATGATTCCGTATTTAATAAATGGTGCTGGGAAAACTGGCTAGCCATATGTAGAAAGCTGAAACAGGATCCCTTCCTTACACCTTATACAAAAATTAATTCAAGATGGATTAAAGAATTAAATGTTAGACCTAAAACCATAAAAACCCTAGAAGAAAACCTAGGCAATACCATTCAGGACATAGGCATGGGCAAGAACTTCATGACTAAAACACCAAAAGCAACGGCAACAAAAGCCAAAATAGACAAATGGGATCTAATTAAACTAAAGAGCTTCTGCACAGTAAAAGAAACTAATATCAGAGTGAACAAGCAACTTATAGAATGGGAGAAAATTTTTGCAATCTACCCATCTGACAAAGGGCTAATATCCAGAATCTACAAAGAACTTAAACAAATTTACAAGAAAGAAACAAACAACCCCATCAAAAAGTGGGCCAAGGATATAAACAGACACTTCTCAAAAGAAGACATTTATGCAGCCAATAGACACATGAAAAAATGCTCATCATCACTGGTCATCAGAGAAATGCAAATCAAAACCACAATGAGATAGCATTCATGCCAGTTAGAATGGTGATATTAAAAAGTCAGGAAACAACAGATACTGGAGAGGGTGTGGAGAAATAGGATCACTTTTACACTGTCAGTGGGAGTGTAAACTAGTTCAACCATTGTACAAGTCAGTGTGGCAATTCCTCAAGGATCTAGAACTAGAAATACCATTTGACCCAGTGATCCCATTACTGGGTATATACCCAAAGGATTATAAATCAGGCTACTATAAAGACACATGCACACATATGTTTATTGTGGCACTATTCACAATAGCAAAGACTTGACACCAACCCAAATGTCCATCAATGATAGACTGGATTAAGAAAATGTGGCACATATACACCATGGAATACTAAGCAGCCATAAAAAAGGATGAGTTCATGTCCTTTGCAGGGACATGGATGAAGTTGGAAACCATCATTCTGAGGAAACTATCACAAGGACAGAAAACCAAACACTGCATATTCTCACTCATAGGTGGAAACTGAACAATGAGAACACTTGGACACAGGGCGGCGAACATCACACACCGGGGACAGTCATGGAGAGGGGGCTGGGAGAGGGATAGCATTAGGAGAAATACCTAATGTAAATGACGAGTTAATGGGTGCAGCAAACCAACATGTATACCTATGTAACAAACCTGCACATTGTGCACTTGTACTCTAGAACTTAAAGTATAATAAAAATAAATAAATAAAATTAAAAAGGAAAAAATATATATGTAGAATATATATAATATATGTATTTATTTATTTATAGAAAGAGAAATTGAAAAAATTCTGAAAATAAATGATAATGGAAATGCAACATACCAAAACCTAAGGGATACAGTGAAAGTAATACTAAGAGGGAAGTTTATAGCTATAAGTAGCTACATCAAAAAAAAAAGAAAAACTTCAAATAAACAATACAACAATGCATCTTAAATAGCTAGAAAAGCAAGGGAAAACCAAACCCAAAATTAGTAGAAGAAAAGAAATATGAAGATCAGAACAAAAGTAAATGAGTTTGAAATGAAGAAAACAATACCAAAGATCAATGAAACAAAAAGTAAGTTTTTTGAAAAGTTAAACAAAATTGACAAATCATTAGCCAGACTAACAGAAAAAGACAGAAGACCCAAATAAATAAAATCAAACATGAAAAAAGAGACATTACAACTGATACTGCAGAAATTCAAAGGATCATCAGTGGCTACTATGGGCAACTACATGCCAATAAATTGGAAAACCTAGAAGAAATGGGTAGATTCCTAGATACATATAACCTACCAAGATTGAATGGTGAACAAAATCCAAAACCTGAACAGACCAATAGCAAGTAATCAGATAAAAGTCATAACAAAAAGTCTCCCAGCAAAGAAAAGCCCTGATGGCTTCACTGCTGAATTCTACCAAACATTTAAAGAAAAACTAATACCAATCCTGTTCAAACTGTTCCAAAAAATTCAGGAAGGAATACTTCCAAAATCATCCTACAAGGGCAGTATTACCCTGATACCAAAACCGGACAAAGACACATCAAAAAAAGGAAGCTATAGGCCAATATTACTGACAAATATTGTTGCAAAAATCCTCAACAAAATACTAGCAAATAAAAATCGACAACACATTAAAAAGATCATTCCTCATGACCAAGTGGGATTTATCCTAGGGATGCAAGGATGGTTCAAAATATGCAAGTCAATCAATGTGATACATCATATTCAACAGAATGAAAGACAAAAACCATATAATCATTTCAATTGATGCTGTAAAAACAGTCAATAAAATTCAACATTCCTTCATGATAAAGACTGTCAAAAAACTGAGTATAGAAGGAACATACCTTAACATAATAAGCCATTATGTACAACAAACCCACAGCTAGTATCATACTAAATGAATGGGGAAAAATTGAAGGCCTTTCCTCTAAGATCAGTAACACAACAAGGTTGCCTGCTTTCACCACCGTTATTGACCATAGTATTGGAAACCCTAGCTAGAGCAATCAGACAAGAGAAAGAAATAGAAGTCAAATTATCCTTGTTTGCAGATGATATAATCTTATATTTGGAAAAATCTACAAGACTCCACCAAAGAACTATTAGAACTGATAAACAAATTCAGTAAAGTTGCATAATACAAAATCAACATACAAAAATCAGTAGTAGCCAGGTACAGTGTCTCATGCCTATAATCTCAGCACTTTGGGAGATAGAGGAGGGTGTATCACTTGAGCCTGGAAGTTTAAGACCAGCCTAGGCAACTTAGGGAGACTGCATCTTTACCAAAAAAAAAAAAAAATTGTAATTAGCTGAGTGTGGTGACATGTGCCTGTGGTCCCAACTACTTGGCAGGCTGAGGTTGTAGGTTGAGACTGCAGTAAGTTGTAGTCATGCCACTGCACTCCAGCCTGGGAAATATGGCAGACGCTGTCTCTTAAAAAAGAAAAATTAATAAGACGTGATAGTGCATACCTGTGGTCCCAGCTGCTCAGGAAGCTGAGGCAGGAGGACCACTTGAGCCCAAGAAGTCAAAGCAGCGGTGAGCTGTGTTCATACCACTGCACTCCAGACTGGGCGACAGAGCAAGACCCTGTCTCAGAAAAAAGGGAAACCCTGGACATTCCTACACCTGAGGCCTCTTCAATGGCTGCTGCCAATGACTTTGGCCACAAGGGATGATGTATGAAGGAAACATGGGCCCTGAAATAAAATTGGTCTGAATTTGAACATGGCCTTTACCATTTTTTTATTACTATGGACAAATTACCCTCATTACTGAGCATTGGTTTCTTAATATATAAACTGGGAGTAATATCCCCAATTAATAACAATGGGACATAGCAGGATGGGGTTGCCCTTTTCACCCTTTTCATCCCTCCTCTCACTCACTGGATGAGAGTTTCTACACAATAATCAATTGGTGCTGTGCTGTGCTGTGTCACTTTGCATCTGCTCATGAGAGGATATTTTGTCTTTAAGATGCCTACTCTAAAGATATGAAGAGCTAGGAAAATGGTAATTGCTGCCCTTAAGCAAGCACTTGGTGCAGTGGCAGAACAAAGTTGGAATTTTGGGGTTGGGGTAGACAAGGAAAGAGGGCTGCAGACTTAGGGAAGAAGAACACCTTGTTGGCCATGTGAGGAGCATCCAGCACTTGCTACAGTTAGTGGGAGCAAAACAGTACAGAGATAGGTAAATCATGCTGTGGACTGTGAGTATATTCTTGATCAGCCAGTGATTATTCCACTCTCTACTGCCTTTAATTGGAGATCTACATTAAGCTACACACACAAACACACACACAGCTTATCTGGGTAGGGATGAATAAGAAAACCGGTCCTTTTCACAAAGATCTGCAGCTGAAATTCACATCATCTGCATGGTCCAAAATGGGAATCCACTGATGCTGTAAGTCCATCCAGCCTAGTGGAGCATAGTGTGGGCTAGATAAGGATGATATGAAATAATGAATGCAAAACACCAGCACAGGAAGCGGAATATGGCACATGTGCAAAACACTGCCCATTCCTTGTAAAGCCAAAATAGTATGTATTTATTTAAAGGACCTGGGTCTTCGAGTCAGACAGACCTGGATATCCTGGGACTGCTCTGATCAGCATGACATACAGAAAGCTATTTGAGGCTTCATAGAGCTCAGTTCTTTGTCTGTAAATACTTTCTTTTGTGTGAAAATTAAATTAAATAGCAATAGGGCTTGTAACACATTTGACACAATTGCTGGTACTGCAATTTGTGGTGCTAATGACAACGTTAGTGATGATGATTTTCTTCTGTAGGGCACCATGTTCTCTAGGGAATGGTGAATTCTAGAGGCCAAGTCTTACCCTAAAGTTCCATGTCACCCTATGAAAAAGCATTTGGGATAAAACAGGCTTTTGAGTCCCTCTAAAAACAGAGCATGTGAGTAGTTGGTATGGGGATCCGAGTTGGGTTGGGGAAAGAGGCAATTATTTTTATTCCCTTCAGTATGTTCTATCCTCTCTGATATTTCTAAATTATCTACACTTTCTCCATCAACATTCCCTTTTTAATTTGTAAATATAACTTTTTCTCATTATAATGTAATATATATTCACTGCAGAAAAATTACCAAATATTTCAAATGATCAATTACAAATTTAAACTATCCCATGATCCTTACAGCAGAGATATGTGGTTTCATTTCCTTCTAGTCAGTTATATATTTTCCTGCTGCTGCCCCATTACTGGATGTGTGCCATTCTCTCTCTCTCTCTATCTCTCTCTCTCTCTCTCTCTCTCTCTCTCCCACCCCCAAAGTTATGACCACAGACCTCAGTGGCCCACAGCCCTGCACTCTCCAAATGCCATCTCCCAGGTCAGTTCACTCTTACAATTCCTCAGGGGGCTGTTTCTCACTTTGTTCTCTGCCCTCACATCCCTCCACTCCTTCCACACTCCCTATTTTTAGGTTATACATTTATTTCTCTTTCACGCAGGAAAAAAAGGAGGACCCAGGTGAGAAATGCATCACCATCCCATTACTATCCCCAAATCTGCACTTGTATCCTCAGCCTTCCCACCAGTGATGATGGATGATCCCCGCTCCTAAGACCACCCCTGCACTCAAGCATAAGATCAATCCTTCCTTCCCCTATATCATCAATTTCCACTCTCTACTGGCCCATCATTTCTACAGGCAGACGTGCTGTAATATCTCCCCCCAAAAAAACAAACAAAACTGGACTAAACAAATCAAAACAAAATCTTCCCATCGAAATTTATCCCTTGATCTCTGATCCCATGTCTCCCTGCAACTACTGCCCTATACTATGGCAGTCTTCATAGGACAATCTCTGAGTCTATTCTTCATGTAGTCTTTTGAAACATTGCATTTTTTGTTGTTTGTTTGTTTGTTTGTTTTTTTGATACGGGGTCTCCTTGTGTTGCCCTGGCTGGTCTTGAACTCCTGGGCTCAAGCAATTCTCTTTCCTTAGCCTCCAAAGCACTAGGATTATAGGCTTGAGCCACCACACTTGGCCTGATAGTATAATGTTCTTACACTTTTTCTTTCTTTTTTGCAAACATTTTTCCATTTTATTATGACTTTTGTCTTCCAAATTATCTAATGAATTGTTCATTTCTATGATTCTGTAATCACATTTTTAATTTCCAGAGCTCGTTCTTGTGTATAATTTTACATAAATGAGTTCCTATTTCATAAATGCCACTTATTTTCTTACATCCTTTATATATTATTGATAATAGTAGCAGGGGACTTGTTGGGTCTCCTTGTTATCTTCTTTCACGATATTATGAAATTTTCTCTCAGAATTCATAAATGTAGTGGTTTCACATTTATCTTGGTAATTTTTGCTAAATGTCCGTCTCTCTCATGACAGTGCAAGCTCCATATCATCAAGATCTTACTTTAGCTCTTCTTCTATCTTCAATGTCTAGCTAATATCTTGATTCACCTTGAAATATACACCGGATGATGGACTTTAGTGTGGTGTGGGCAGTGAAGTCACACATGCCCTTTTGTCCTCCCGAGCTCTAAGCCTAGCAGCTGCCTGTCATAGAATGTTCACGGACATTGAAATGGTTCACTTGCATGGGGTGCAGAGTCACACTCACCTACCTTATGGGCAGAGCATCAACAAAAGATGAGTCAATTAGGTGTCTGAGAGAAGATCTCCTGGCTTCAATCCAGCTTCACCACCTCCTCAACCTCTCTGAGTCACATAGTAGATTCCTGATGGGTTTTCTCTGATGATTAAATTATATATTGTCTATGTATTATACACATTATTACTGACTGAGACATATTAAGTGTCCACAATTCATAGCTAACATCATATTGATTATACTATTTTGGTTGTTTTCATTCTTTTGTTTTATAAACGATAATTCAAGGAATATTCTTGTTATATATTTTTAAAAACGTGTGATTTTCTTCTTAGGCTACATTTTTAGAAGATAAGTTTTTTGCATCAACATGATCTTCTTGAGACATTTTCCAAAAATGCTCTTTAGACACTGGGGTGTTTTTTCTTTGAGATGGGGTCTCACTCTGTTCCTCAGGCTGGAGTGCAGTGGTGTGATCACAGCTCACCGTAGCCTTGACCTCCCCGGCTCAGGCGATCCTCCTGGGACTACAGGAGGGTGCCACCATGCCTAATTTTTTTTGTATTTTTTGTAGAGATGGGGTTTCGCCATGTTGCCCTGGCTGGTCTGGAACTCCTGGACTCAAGCAATCTGCCCACCTCAGCTTCCCAAAGTGCTGGGATTACAGGCATTAAGCCAACATGCCTGACTCTTTAGAAATTGTATGCCAGTATTTAATCCCATCAACTTTTATGACAGTAAATTTCCCCTATTCTCCACTCAATATTATTATCTTTGACTTTCATCTTTGCCAAGCTAAGATATATTAAACTTCCATCCCATTTCCTAATCCACATTTTAATTTTGTTGACATTTACTTATTACTATTATATTTGACACTTGCATTTTCTATGCCAAATTATGCTCTAATATTCATTAATCCTTTTCCAAATGGGACGTAGATATTTTTAAATGTTGAATTTAAGAAAGAAAACAAGAAGCCTCTGATATCTAGGAACTGATCTGACACTTATGGCTGGGACTCCTTGTTATATGAAGCTGGCCCAATGTTCATTGTTAAGCCATGTTATTCTCCTATTGGACCACAATCACCACAAAACACCAACATTAGAAAGTTCACTCTGAGATGATGATAAAGTGAGGAAATACAAGAACACTTCATAATTTTGTCTAAGCACTCTCTCCACTAATACCAGGGGCTGATGCTTGTCTACCAATTACAGCTTTATTCTGCTCTAGTCCACCCTCACTAGAGCTAAGATTTGTTGAGACATTCAATTACAGAATTGCCCCTGCTTCCTGACGAGTACCCAATCTAGAGTGAAGCCCACTTCCTCACCCTCCCCAGGATCACCCAACCAAAGCCCAAATCCTTTAAGAATTTCTTTCTAACACCCTCTTACCAAAACACCACATGGCTCACAGCACCTATTCTTGCACTCAGGAACCAGTAATAAACCCAACTTCTTCACCCACTAGGATATGTTCCTAGTGGACTTTGGAAGAAAGCTTCGGACGCATTATTATTTTGTCTATAAATTTTTTATGTGTCTTTGAGGTTGATTATGAGAAACTGTCTGTATATATCTATGTTTGTGGTTACCAAAGAGAAGTTTTTTAATTTATAAGTACTTAAAACTACCCTCATACTTCTTTATGGTGTTTATTTTTAGGTCATGCTTAGAGAATCCTTCTTCACTGCCCAATTGTAGACACTTCATGTATTGTTCCAGCTAGGTTGTGACAATGAGGAAAGAGGAGTCCAAGGGTGAAGAAAACAAAATTGTTGGAATACAAGGGGAGGAGGGGCAGCAGGTAAAGAATTCTAAGGTTTAAGTCTCTTGTTTTATAATTTAAAAAATATGTCTACAGAGCCTTCAGGATACTTGACATATGTCATATCCAATAGTTTGTCTTGAGAAAAATGGATACTTATCTTCTCCTTGTATTCACCTGGTTAAAGCAAACAATAACAACAGAATTCCAGTGCAATATAGACAATGATTAGCCCTGGCAATGGGCATTTTTGAACACTTAAAATGTTGAGGTGATAAATCATGTTTCGGTTAATGTCTGTACCCTCCACTTATACATATACATATTAATTAGACTTTCGTGGGCTTGCTGTGTTTTAAGGACGTGTCTAAGGCCCATGTGGACAAATCCGTGACTTCTCGATGAAGATAATTTAATATATATTCAATCTGAGAGTCCCACCATATATTTTGGGGGAGATTGAAAACTATGAGCACTCTAGATATGCACTGTTAAATATGGTAACTACTGGGCATACATAGTGTAGGGTTTGTTTTTGTTTGTTTGTTTTCATTATTAGTACAAATCCATTCAATGGGCAAGATAGACCAATCTATTTTAACATAACAGAATACAAATAGTCAATGATAGGGTTTCAGGTTGTATCTAACCTTTAAGAAATTATCACTTGCTAGGACTTCCAGTACTATGTTGAAAGAAGTGGTGAAAGTGGGCGTCCTCGTCTTGTTCCAGTTCTCAGGGGGAATGCTTTCATCTTTTCTCTGTGCAGTATAAGGTTGGCTGTGGGTGTGTCATAAAGGGCTTTTATTACTTTAAGGTATGTCCCTTCTATGCTGATTTTGCTGAGGCTTTTAATCATAAAGGGATGCTGGATTTTATCGAATACTTTTTCTGCATTTTATTGAAACGATTATTTCAGAGAGAGAGAGAGAGAGGGAGGGAGGGAGGGAGAGAGAGAGAGAGAGAGATGGGGTGAAGGAACAGGCTGGGAACCTGGGAGGAGACCCGGCCGCAGGCGCGCAGCCTGGAGGCGATGGTGAGCCCTGCCACGCGTGAGTCACGGACCACCCCCGCCGCGCTCTGCTCCCCGCCTGGCTCTCTTCTTCCCAGCCCCTCCCTTCCTCCTCCTGCTCCACTGATCCCTACTCAGGCTTCTTTCGCTGAAGAATTCCAGAAGGGACAGAACTAAGGATGAAGTGTGGCATTTGAACAGGGTTTACGGCTAGATCCTAGGAGGTCATTCTAAGGGTTTACATTGCATCACCGTCTGTGGTTACAAAGAGCTTTCCGGGAGAACTTTCCATTTGTAGGTTTGGTCAGGGAGACCCTGTGATCACCCCAGTGCCCAGAGAAGGAAACTGAAGCCCAGGGTTCTGCAGAGGCTTGCCCAGGCTACACAGATCTTCAGCTAGATTCGAATAGTTAAAAATCCAGGTGATCAAAGGCGGAGCAGCGTCTTCCAAGAGCCCGGAGAGAGAGGACACCCCACTCCTGGACGTTATATTCTGCAGCCCGCTGCTGGGAAATCCCAAGGGGTATGCGACCAGGTTGGAGTATCCTGGGCCCAGGGCCCACGAAAATGGCTTTCACTGTTGGAGGGGATCTTGAATCCAGAATCTGTTCCCAAAAAAGAGAAAGAAAAGCAGATTTGGGTGACCTCAAAAGTTTCAAACTACCTTCCCACGTATCCTAAAAAAAAAAAAAAAAAAAAAAAAAAACCTTCATTTTTAATATATAAAGACACTGAAAATTCAACAGTTTAAAAAAATCAATAAAATAGGAAAGTGGACAAAACACATGACAAATATTTCTTTTAAAATGATATGTAGATGGGAAGTGAGGACACAAAAATGTGGTCCATATGCGGAGCTTGCAGTGAGCCGAGATCGCGCCACTGCACTCCAGCCGGGGCCACAGAGCGAGACTCCATCTCAAAAAAAAAAAGAAAAAAAAAAAATGTGGTCCATATGATTCATCATTGGGGAAATGTAATTAAAACCATTATGAGATATTACTACACCCCTATCAGAATGAATAAAATAAGAAATAGAAATAACACCACATGCTGGATGTGGAGAAAATGGCTGAATCACTCATTGCTGGTGGGAATGTAAAATGGTACAGCCACTCTAGAAACTAGAGTATGGCGAAAAAAAAAAAAAACTAAACATGCCATTGCACTCTAGGGCATTTATCCCAGAGAAATGAACACTTAAGTTCACACCGAAATCAGCATACAGCATATAAAGGTTCGTAGCAGAGCAGAGACCTGAGCAGGAAAAAAAAAAAAAAAAAAAAAACCCACTGTCACAGCCAGACAGAATCAGTTCTGGAAACTCCCAAAAGAACTAGAAGCCACCAAGACCGGCAGCCCACCTTGGGCAGTGACAGTTTCTGCTCAAGGGAGACACAACCTGAAGAAGGAAAACAAGACCAAAATTGAGAAGCAATCTTTTAATCACAGTGTTTGCAAACACATAGCCAGGAAAGAATGTTAGCACAGAGGTCAGAAAGGCAGTCACTCATGGAGCTAGGAAAGGGAAGAGGTGTGATGGGAGGGGGCAAGCAAGGCATTTGTGGGACACTGGACAACTGTGCTTCTTGACCTAGGTGGTGCTTGTGTGGTCATAGTCGCTAGTTAAATATTGTGTACATTTGTAAGTAACTTTTCTGCATATATTTTATATCTCACAAAAAAAGAAAAGAGATCAGACTCCTCCCAGAAAAACAATGAAAGAAGGAGGTGTCACACCAAGATCAGTCAAACCTCCTTCCTACATTTGTAAATCCATCCAAGCACTAGCTCTGTGACCCTCAGATTCCTCATCTCTATTGAGACTCAGCATCTGCAAGAGTTTAAGAACAAGACCATGGGTAGATCATACTGTCATAAAATAGAATCTGTTTCTTGTGATACAACATGAGGGACCCCACCTCACCCCCCAAAATAGGTACTGAACAAAGGTTCCTATTCCCAGAAACCCCCTC
This sequence comes from Homo sapiens, assembly GCF_000001405.40. Lineage (NCBI taxonomy): Eukaryota > Metazoa > Chordata > Mammalia > Primates > Hominidae > Homo > Homo sapiens. Next base: position 30,446,094 of record NC_000006.12, read on the forward strand.
TTCCATCTTTGGATTCATCCCTGAGATTGCAGAATGCTTCTGGCTGAAGGCAAAGCCCCATCTTTATGATTCCCCTCCTCCTTCGTCCACCTCTCCAAGATGTAGGCTTCTCCCTCATGCCTCAGACTCCAGGGCCTGTTTCAGGGTCAGGATCATAGTTCCCTTCTTCAGAGAGGAACTCTTAATGAAGCTGACCCAATTTGCTCTGGAGAGCACTGGAGGCACCTGCTAAGCCTCTCCCTTCAGTGGAGAGAAATTCCAGTGGAATCCCAGAGACCCTTGGCAAACCCACTGCAGACCACCCTGCTGAACCCATCTCCACACTCACCACTGCAAGGAAACTTCAAACTGAGTTCTACTAAAAAGCAATTTCGGCTCTTACACTTCCTCTTTAGTGTTCTTCTAGCTTACTAGGCAAGTAACCACAGTGTGCCTCCATTAATTAATAAATCCCCAAAACACTGGTCTTATGAACAGTGTATTGATCAGGGCTCTCCACAGAAGCAGAATGAATAGGCGACATATATCTCCAGTTGATCTGATGAGGCCCACTCACATTATGGAGGGCAATGTACATTAGTCAATTCCACTGATTTAAATGTAAATCATTTTTCGAACACACTCATGGGAATACCTAGAATAATGTTTGGCCAAATATCTGGGCTCCTTCGTGACCCAGTCATGTTGAGAAATCAAATTAATCCTCACAAGGAACAAATCAGATAATATTCACTTGGATATTAGACTAGAGCCTTGGACATACCAAGTGCTCTGTAAATGTTAGCCTTACAAATGTAAGGTGGTGTTTTAGATTTACAGAACACAGTATATCCTAAGGTATCACAGGCTTGTTGATGAACTCTGTTGGGAAAAATAATACATGGGAAATTTAGTTGTGGAAATTGAATTTTGTTATTTTATTTTTGTCTTTGCTTTTCTGTGTGAGTGAAGGAGTATAAGGCAAATTTCTGAGCACACGGGGCATGCACTAAAGGGGTTTCATTTGGCATTTGGAGCCAGTTTTGTCACACTATAGGAAAACTAAACCGTTATTTAAGAACTTCCCTGCCAGCTCTCACGTTGGGGACTGGCTGGTCCATCTAGCCTGGTTGGTTGATTCCAAAAATATGTGTAGGGAGGTAGAGTGACTAAACGTGAAGAATGGGGAACTCTGGAAGTGCAGAATTGAAGCCCAGAAGGGAACAGAAGCCTCCCTCTACTTCACAGAAGATGACTAGGACATGCTCATCCCTGGGATAGAAAATCCATTGGACTTGGAGACTCAGTGAGTTGTATTCCCGATCTCACCACTGGAGGGAGGTGGGAGAGGCATATGAGTGAGTGTGGAGGGGCTCAGAAGCCCAGCCAGCTAGTGTGCAGGTTGCCCTGCAGATTCTCACCAGGGCTGCTCTGAAGCCCAGAGGGCACCCCAGAGGAGGAAGGGAATGACAAAGCCTGCCTGGGGTCACAGGAAAAGAGGAGAGAGGCAGACTGAAGGAAGCCCAAGACTACAAAGTGAAAGAAAATGCCTTTTAGTCACTCAAGACATTGTCAGACACAGACTGGGAGCAGTGGCTCACACCTATAATATTAGCACTATGGTAGGCTGAGGTGAGGCCGGGAGTTCAAGACCAGCCTGGACAACAATGCAAGACCCTATCTCTACAAGAAATAAATTAATAAAAGACTTCTTCGGACATGACTAGAACCCAAGAGGTGGGTACCTGGTAGAGTTATATGGGAAGAATGGAGCAATGGGTTTGGCAGTTGGGGTGGGGAAACAGGGAGGAAGGGAATGAAAAAAACTCTTGAGGGTAGATGATGGTGCCAGTCTGAGAATCAAGCACCAGTTCCATTCTACTGTGCATCTAGTCACGTTGGCATAGACTTCCAGGCAGGAGGAGGAGCAAGCGGTGGGATCAGCTACATGTGGGCTTCCAAAGGTAATCCCAGGTGCCACCTCTCCTCCATACTTACTAGGAATCCCAGGCCCTTCCCTGAAGTGACACCATCCTGCATTCTTTGTACCTCTCTTTCCACTTCTTCTCACAGCTTTTCCCTCCCTCCTCCATTCTCCTGGCCAGGACCCACACTCACCCCACCTAACCTCTCTCTTTTGATCAGTCCCATAGTTCAGAAAGGAACAGAAATGCCAGCTGAATAAAAATTTATTTCGTGCTCTCTGGGCATGTATTTGAGAACAATAACATTGTTTCCGGTCTCAATGCACTTTCACCACATCTGATTTTCAGCTATGTGGGGAAGGCCATCTATCTGATCAACCCATCACCCAGTGAAGGAAACTGAGGCCCAGAGCCCTGAGGATGCTTGCCCAAATCACCCTGCCCTTCAGCTAAATCACCCAGAACAGGATCTTGCAAGGGCCCTAAGAGTCAGAGAAGACAGCAGCCCCTCGTGTTGGATTCTCCTGCCTGCCCAGGAAACTGGGTGGGAACCATTCAGATTCTTCCTGCATGAAAAGGGTGACCTGTGTCCTTGGGGATCCTCCAGTGGCCCTAGTTGCTCCTGCTGGGGATGACCTCAACTCCTGAATCCAACCCTGTAAAATAAGAAGAAATTCAGACATTGCAAGGCATGAAAAATTTTCTCCCAATAGCAAAGGTGAAGGATGTACTCGGAGAGGAGGGAACATACCAAGAAGAGAAGGAAGGAATATATATTGAAAAGAATACAAAACAAAAATAAACAGACCAAGACGTGGGATGTATAGAATCAGGCATCAACCCATGAAAAGGTGAAAAGGTGAAAAGGCAACAGGACCAGAAAGGAAGAGGGTCGCCTGGGTGGGTGGACAGCACAGCAGAGGGGACGCCATCTCCAAGAAGATGACCTTGACAAGAGCCACCATAAGTTTAAAGGTATGGAGAAGACATTTACTCAACTAAGGGACAGTTGGTGAATTCATTTGTTAAGGTTCATGGAAAGTAAGAAAATGAAAACGCCGGGCAATTATCAATTCTCTGAAAACATCAACATGTATGGAAAGAAAAACTAAGAGAGTTTACCATGTGGCTCAGGTCTGAGTAGCATTCACGTAAGTCAGTAATTTTAACTCTGGCTCTCAATGCACTCAAAATCTCCACCTGCCTACATGAGGAGGATGAAAATGTGTGTGCTGTGGAAGGTACTATGGACTGAAGGGATTTTGAAAAGTCAATACTTAATATCTAAAATGGAAATGTTTGAAGTGGCATAAATGTATATTATCAAGAGACATAAAGATAAAGAACAACATATGAAGTAAAAGGCTTCTATGTGGTTGTTTGCCAGGAAGCTGGTGGCTAGGAAGGATTGAGAGGGAGTAGAGGGGAGACCATGTTTTGTAACAGGGGAAATGAAAGGGAAGCAGGTAGCACCTGGAGCCTGCCTCATGTAGAGAACAGGGTTCCACGCAGTGGTCCAGGATCTCAGGGACTTACTGTGGCTGAGGCCACCTGCCCCCAGGACAAGCCCTTGGCACTGAGTCTACTGAAATGTGGGCAGGGAGAAGAGGAGGCCTTCGGACCTTTTACCTGAGCAGCCTGGTTTACTCTAGGCTCTGTCTTGTTTCCTGTCCAGAGATTAATGCAACAAACTGTCTCCAAATTCATCCAAGGGAGTGGAGTTCCTTCCCCTACTCCCGATCCCCCTCAACACCATCCTTTCTGGAAGTGTTATTCTGAACATGTTCTCGGATTTGTTTTTATCAGTGGAGAAAGAGAGGATAGAAGAGCACTCACCCAGCAGAGCCAGAGGGAGGCAGCTCCAAGGACTCCAGTGGCCACCAGAGCCCACCAGGACCCAGGGCTGGAGGTGCACAGTGAGATCCTCAGCGCAGAGGGAGAAATCTCCTAAGGGTAGGAAGGAATAACAGAATTGGGGAGCATTTCCTTACTTCACAGCAAGTGCAAACATGATGGGAAGGCATAGAGAAAAAGGAAGAAATTATAGGGAAATGTGCTTATTTAGGGGGAGGCAATACTGCGGGAGGGGTACAACAGACCCAGCACTGGTGGGGGCTAGGAGAAACAGGTATAATCCTTGACTAGAGAATGGATACTTGAGGTCAGAATAGTTACTAAATGAAGAGGATTACATACATTTTAAGGACGTTGATTTACGTTATACTTTGTCATTGGAATTTAAGGGAAAAGAAAGGAAATTAATAAATAAAAACAGGCTGCATGTGGTAAAATCAATAGTCAGCCCTGGGACTTGTGTTTGCAAAATGCTTTATCCAGGTGCGACACCGCTGACGTCCTGGATTCCCCACCCTCTAGCACCCAGTTCCCTCTCCTGTAATGAGACCGGGGTCAGGAGGAGAGATGGACAGATGAGCCCATGCTGAAGGCAGTCAGTCATCTGTGCCTGCAGATGAGAAACTGCAGTTTGCACCACTAGCCTCCAGCACAGAGATTCCATCCCAGCTCAGTATTTAGTATTTAGAGATGTAGTATTTAGTATTTAGAGATTCCTAAACACTGAGGGGCTCTGCCCAGTCTCCTTCCTCACACTGTGGGGCCTTGGCTTTCCCTCCCAACTCCACACCCCCAAATGCTGGTACAATGCTCAGGTTCATCCTGGACACCGCTCCATCCGACAGGGGAACACTTTTGATCCAGACGCTTTGACAACCTCGTTCAGTCTCCTCTGGAGAGAGCCGCCAAACCCTTTGCTGATGAGCTGAGACTGACCGGGGAACTGTGATCTCGGATGTGGTTGAGGATCAAAATCAAAATTATAGTCGACTCTTAAAGACCAAGTAGGCTCTAACCACGGAATTCCTCTCTACCCACTGATTCCCCCAAAAGAGGAAGAAGCCTCTTCTCTAAGTACACTAAGCTGAAAAACTAAGCTGAAGTACTAAGTACATTCAGCTTTCACTAAGCTGAAACAGCAAAGCGCTGAAACAGCAAACCGCAGGCATAACAGAAAAACCTCAACTTAAATAGTGCTGAGCTGCAACTTGTTTTCCGCGGCTTGTAGTCGAGGAGGAGCCCACGAGGCTTTAGCTGCTGCAAGATCCAAGCGCGCTCCCGCCCAGCGGTGGCCCCGGGCTCAGGGAACCAGCGCTGCTTCTCTCCGAGGCTCGCGGCCTGAGAAACCTTCCGCTCCGAATGCGGGCTGGCCTCTCCGGGAAGCCTTGAAACTCAACTCCTGGGTGGGCCAGGAAGGTTGTCCGAGTTGGGCAGCGCCGGCCGGGGCCCCCCTCAGAGCCGAGCTGCTCGCCTCCCTCGAGACCCAGCGCAGCCTGGAGGAGAGACCGGGTCCTCTCAGGTGGGGCACTTGGTGACTAGAGACCCCATGAGCCCCCACCCTCCAGCCTGGGGCGGGATAGCCCAATCGGATGCTGGGGGGTCCGTTTGGAAACCACTCTCTGCTTTGAGGACACGCGCGGAGCTTCCCTGGGAGCAGGAGGCTCTGAAGGAAGAGGGGCAGACGCGAAGCCTCTGGCCAGCCGCGCCTCCGGTCCAGGCCTCCCTGTGTCCACATCAGGTCTCCCGGCTTTTCACAACAGTGACCTTGACAGCGCCCAGAGTCCGCGGCTTCCATCCAGTCCCCTCTTCCCCTGCGAGGCCGAGAGGGTGCAGAGCTGGTGGCTTCAGGAGGTGGCTGTGAGCGCGGGTCTGGGGCCAAGAGCAGAGGACAGGAGAAGACTGCCAAGCCACCACCGGTCCTGCGACATATTCACCAGCTGCCGGCGGCGAGGTCAGACCCCAGATTCGGGTTTGCCCAGCAGGCGCTCGGCTTCCATGCTCGCTCTCCACCTCCCTGCCTCTCTTAAGGAGGACCTGGCCCATTAGGAAGCCCGGGGCGTTCTGTGGACTGGGTGGTCAAAAATGGTGTGTGGAGGAGGGAGTCAATTGAGATTAGACGTGAAAAACGGGGAACCTGGGGACCGCAGGTTGGGGCCCAGGAGAGGACCGAAGCTTCCATCCAAGACTAAGTGAGGAACACTGCGGCAAGAGGAAGGAAGATTGAGTCGCAGTTGACTTGTGGATTTTATCGGTTTTAGTCCCTGTGTGACCGCCAGAAGTCTGCAGCTTTATCCTTGATGAGTTCTGAAGGCCCCTGAGGAGAGCTGAGCCCAAGAGACTTTTTAATTCCACGGAGGTACTTCGCCTGAGGCAGGTCTCTTCTGTGCCCAGGGAAGGAAGGCTGGGAGTGAGGGTATCTGAAAATATTCACATGAGAAAAGGTCAAGTCCATTTTTGCTATCCTGTACTGAACACAGATCAATTAACTGGTCCCAGGATTGATAGCAACAGGCCTATAACTGGTCTCCTGGTTCCTATCCAGCCCTTCCCCCATAAAGGCAGAATCCTGTCTTCTTGGAACAGTGAATCCCCAGCAGAGGACCTCAGCCTGGGCTGCCTGGAACCTGCTACCCTGCCCAGGAGCTGTCAACACCTGGAGCGCAGTGCAGGAAGAATGCAGGGGCGCTTGGTGGGGAGGTGAGTGAGTGCAGAGGGTCTCCGGGAACTCCTTGGGCCTTTGGGGTAGCTCCCTCTCAGACTGTCCTGCAGGTCCTTACAAGGCCCACTACTGAGCAGGAAGAATGTCCCCAGGAGAGGCAAAGGGTGGGGCAAAGGCGGGTATGGGGTCGCTTGCACTTTGCAGCAAACTGGAGAGTGAGATGACAGGCAAGGAGTACTGGCCCTCACATGGAAACCTATATCACACTGCCCAAAGGGAATAGGAAAGGAACCACAGCGAGGTCCACAGGGGAGGGCTGGGGGAAGCCTTACCCAGGGCGGCGAGTGCAGCCTCAGTGGCAGAAATCCCAGCGGGCCCCCTCCTGCTGCAGACCCCGCTCCTCCTGCGAGGCCCCAGACGAAGCCCGACCCCCAGCTGCCTGCGCAGCCTCCAGGCAGGGGTCGCGGGGTGCTTCGACGAGAGAGTCTGGGCCAAAGCGCCAAAATCCGCCGCTGTCGCTCAGCCGCAGCCTGTTTGGGGCTGGGGAGCCTCTCCTGGTCGGTGATCGTCGCGGACAATAGACGAGACCAGAAATTAGATTTGGTTCCGGGATCAAGAACCTTTAATCAGGGAATGGAGATGGCAGGGGACGAGGCCTAAGAGATGTAGACAGCAGGTCCTGTCTGCTTAGGTCGCAAAGGGGAAGAAGGGGCGGGACTCGGGGTCCTGGACTGGGGCTGGGAAGGGTCCGCTCCAGGAGGGTGTGGGTTCCGATGCCTGGGTCCTGGAGGTCCGGGGAGTCGCGGAGGGACCTCCCTCCGGTAACCGACGGATTGGGGACAAATGCTCTGCCCAGTCTGATCCCAGACATCCTTGTAACCCAATATAGTTACAGCTCCGACGCCATGTTCTTCCTGGGTCCAGCTCCAACGCCATGTCCTTCCTGGGTCCCTCCAAAGTAGGGTTGGAGGATCAACTAGTGGATTCCGGCGAGGAGGTATCTTCCTCCCTGGAAGCAGCAGAACAAATTTCAGGGACTCGGGAGTCCAAGGCCTCATTCCAAAAACACTGAGAGATTGGGTACTGGGCGCACAGTATGTCTGTGGGGTCACGCAGACCTGGGAACCAGATCTTAGGGCCTGCAGACCTCCCTCTGCCTTGAGATCAGACTCCACCGCCAGTAACTGGGAGGAAACATCTGTACTCCAGGATTTAGAGACACCGACACGGGAGCAGGGCGCCCCCGTGTGCACAGAGCCCTGTTCTGCAGCTGGAAACCGAACGGGACCCTGTGGAAGTCGCGGGTGGGGAAGCGAAAGGGGAGCTGAGCGTCTGTCCTCAGTCCTTGGGCCACACGGGGGCGCTGCCGCTCTGCGCTCGGATTCTGATGAGCCGCTCTGGAGAGGATGGGGCGGTGGTCTGAGTAAGACACAGATTGTTGATCCAGAAAGGATGTATCAATGAGGTGGGGCTGGGGTTGTCCAGGGAGTGGAAAGGCCTTCTGAGAAGCCCTGGACTGCGCGGGGTTCCGGCTCTGCGGAACAGAGGAGGGCTCTGGAGCGGCCTGTCTCTGAGGTTTCCAACTCCTCCTTGCAAACCCTCCCTCCAGCCTTTTCATGGCAACACTCCAGGAAAATGGAAAGTTGATCATTTTTTTCTTCCACTCCTTAATCCTTTCCTGACTGCTACTTTTAAATAATTTTATTTTAGAAGAGTTTTAAATTTACATAAAAGTTGCAATGGTAGTACAGAGTTGCCATCCGCTCCACAGTCAGTTTCCCCTGATGTTAACATCTCTCATTACTATGGTCCATTTGTCACAGCTAATGAAGCCATTTTCATACCTTATTATTACTAAACTGCAGACTTTATTTGGAGTTCATTAGCGTTCCCCTAATGTCCTTTCTGTGTTTCAGGATTCCATGGAGAATATCACACTACATTTAGTCTCCGTCGTGCCTCCGCGGCATCCTCTGGTCTGTGACAGTTCCTGAGATTTTCCTAATTTTTGATGCCCTTCACAATATTGGGAAGTACTGACCAGATATATTGTAAAATGTCCCTCAAACTGAATTTAGTTGGGGTGTAGATCATGGTTAGACTATGGTTATGGGTGTTTAGATGAGGTGAAGTGCTATTCTCCAAACACCTTATCAAGGTTATAGAATATCAATTTCATGTACCACTGTTGATGTTGAAGTTGATCACCTGGTATATTAGCTTCCTGTAGCTGCCACAACAAATGCCCTCAAAGTTGGCAACTTACAACAACAGAAAATTATTCTTTCACAGTTCTGGAGGCCCAAACTGCAAAATCAATATGCAGGGCCTCACTCCCTCTGAAAGCTCTAAGAGCAAATCCATTCCTTGAGTCCTCCAGCTCTGGCAGCTGCAGGGCATTGGTCAGCGTTCTTTGGCTTGTAGCCCCATTGCTCTAGTCTCTGCCTCATTCTTCACATCACCTTCTCCTCTTCTGACTCTCTCTTCTGTGTACCTGTTAGAAAGACACTTGTCATTGGATCTAGAGCCCACCTGGGTCATCTAGGAGGATCTCCTCATTTCAGTATCCTCCGCTTAATTACATCTGCAAAGACCCTTTTTTTCCAAACAACTTGACATTCACAGCTGCTGGGCACTAAGACAGAAACATATCTTTATGGGGTCCACCATTCAACCCACTACATCTGGCTAAGCTAATATTTCCAGAATGGCAATCCATCAGTGCACCCTAGGTTACAATCCTCATTCTCATTCCCAAATAAACTCAACATATTTGGACATTTCTAATGTCATGTTTTTTAGGTTGAATAATCTAGTGTCAGAAATGATCCTGAAGAAAGATTATCTTTGGAAGAGACTTATACTGAGTTTGTTGCTTGATTTTTCCTCTGCTTCTGAATATCTTTTGAGAGCAAAATTTACTTTCTAAAATGGTAAGGATGAGTCAACTCCTTAAAAGCTGTTTGGGCTGTTGTCACCATTCTATGTGAGCCTTCAGTCTCCCCAAAGAGAAATTTTTTGTTGTCAGGATAAAGTGGTACATGAATAAACAAGATTTCCATTAGGCAGCGTGCCAGTCTCAAGAAAATTCTGGAGAAAATGGTGACAGGATAGACAATTAGATCACAGGCTGCCTGCACATCAAGTAAAAACAAAAATCCTATGCTAGGCACACACTATTAAAAAACAAATCGCTCCAACCCCTACCATTTCCTCACAGAGATTATAGAATTTTTCTTTTGCTGTTGAGAAATTAATAAGAGGCAGAACAGGATGCCAAAACTCCAAAGCATCCAATATAGGCCCTCTTCTGGGACTCCTGTCAGCTATATGTTCAAAAATTATTGTCAGTGGCTCATGCCTGTAATCCCAGCACCTTGGGAGGCCGAGGTGGAAAGATTGCTTAAGCTCATGAGTTTGAAACCATCCTGGGCAACATAGCAAGAGTTCATCTCTATTTTAAAAAATTAAGGCCGGTCGTGGTGCCTCACGCCTGTAATCCCAGCATTTTGGGAGGCCCAGGCAAGCGGATCGCCTGAATTTGGGAGTTGGAGGCCAACCTGACCAACATGGAGAAACCCCGTGTCTAATAAAAATACAAATTCAGCCAGATGTGGTTGCGCATACCTGTAATCCCAGCTACTCGGGAGGCTGCGGCAGGAGTACAGCTTGAACTCGGGAGGCAGAGGTTGCAGTGAGCCGAGATCATGCCATTGCACTCCAGCGTGGGAGAAAAGAGGGAAACTTCATGTCAAAAAAAAATAAAAATAAATAAGAAAAGAAAAAAATTAAGGTCGTCTCTTGTGTACTTTTTAAAATCAATGGATAGAGTATAGCAAAGTTAATTTGGATCTTCAATGGCCATCCTTGGGGTCTTTTGAGTTCCCCAAACTTGTCTTTCTTAAAACTAAAGTAGGCTGGGCGCGGTGGCTCACGCCGGTAATCCCAGCACTTTGGGAAGTCGAGGCGGGCAGATCACGAGGTCAGGAGATTAAGACCATCCTGGCTTGCACGGTGAAACCTCGTCTCTACTAAAAACACAAAAAAATTAGCTGGGCATGGTGGCAGGTGCCTGTAGTCCCAGCTACTCTGGGAGGCTGAGGCAGAAGAATGGTGTGAATCCGGGAGGCGGAGCTTGCAGTGAGCCCAGATCCAGCCACTGCACTACAGCCTGCCGACAGAGTGAGAATCCATCTTAAAAAAAAAAAAAAAGAAAAGAAAAGAAAAGAAAAAAGAAAGAAATTTCTGCATTACCTATGGATGTTAAATCTACTTGAGTAGACTTTAATTCCAAGTTTGTGAATAGCTTTTCTTCAAAACATGCTGAACTTGGTAAAAGAGCCAGCAATTTAGGGAAACTATGTGCACTTCTGATCTTGTCCATTTGATAAATCACCTGCCTGTCCCCTTGAGGACCCTACTAAGAAAACTGCTTAAAAACTTTTTTTAAAATTTTTTCTTTTTGAGATGAAGTCTCACTCTGTCACCAGGCTGGAGTGCAGTGGTGCAGTCTCGACTCACTGAAACCTCCACCTCCTGGGTTCAAGCAATTATCCTGCCTCAGCCTCCCGAGTAGCTGGGATTACAGGTGCCCACCACCATGCCCAGCTAATTTTTTGTATTTTTAGTAGAGACGAGGTTTCACCATGTTGGCCAGGCTGGTCTTGAATTCCTGACCTCAGGAATCCCTGACTCTCCAAATGTCCCCACTTGTTATGTCATTCCCACTGACAAAACAAAAATAATGCTATCTTGTGTTAGGCTGTTCTTGCATTGCTATAAAGAATACATGAGACTGGGTAATTTATAAAGAAAAATGAGTTTAATTGGCTCACAGTTCTGCAGGCTTTATGGGAAGCACGGTGCTGGGCATCTGATCAGCTTCTGATGAGGTCGCAGGAAGCTTACCATCATGGCAGAAGGCAATAGGGGAGCAGGCACGTCACATAGCGAAAGCAGGAACGAGAGAGAGAGTGGGAGGGGAAGGACGCCACACACTTTTAAACAACCAGCTCTCACTATTTCAAAGACAGCACCAAGGGGACGGTGCTAAACCATTCCTGAGAAATGTGCCCCCATGATCCAATCACCTCCCACCAAGACCCACCTCCAACACTGGGGATTACAATTCAACATGAAATTGGGGTGGGGACAAATATACAAACTACATCACACCCTTTCACTGCTGAATCTAATACCTGTCTCTGTATAGGCAAAACTGTTGATATTGGCAAACTTTATAATATACCTCCTATAAAAATCCAGCTTGATCCATCAAAACCCCTGCCTAATATCAAACAATATCCACTTAAACCAGATGGTGTTATAAGTCATTAAACCTATTACAGAAGGACATAAAAAGCAAGGCCTCATTATTCCATGTACTCATCCTTCTAACACCCTAATTATACCTATTAAAAACCAAACAACTGGGATTAAAGGTTTGCTCAGGAATTCTGAGCAATAAACTATATAGTGATTCCAAGACATCAGTGGTTCCAAATCCCTATATCTCATTAAACTCACAACCTATTGATAGGAGGTTTTTCACTGTCATTGATCTATGAAGTGCATTCTTCAGTAATCCAGTGGATCAGGCCAGCCAGTATCTTTTTGCCTTTACCTTGGAAGGCCAACAATTCACCTGGACAGTAATGCCTCTTGCTTTTACTGAAAACCCTTCCTGTGTTTTTCAAATATTAAAGGAACACTTGGAGGAGATAGTTTCTCCTTAAGGTTCCACCTTACTACAATATATAGATGGCCGCCTTCTTTGCTCTGCTTCACAGATAGCCTATGAAAAAAATGGTGTACAACTGTTAAAGCAACTGACTGCTAAAGACCATGAAGTCTCTGACGAAAAATTGCAGCTAGTGAAAACTCAGAAGAAATATTTGGGACACTTAACTTCAGAAAATGGATTACATTTAGACCCAGATTGGCACTTTGTAATTTCTTCAGTCAAGAACCAAGTGCCACAGAAAAACACAGAATATTATAATGCTGTATTTGTGGTGTGTAAACTACTCGTGTCTTAAGTAGAAAGCATAAAAGGTGAACCAATAAAAAATAATAACTACAAGACTTTTCAACACATAGACGGTACAAGGCCAGCTGCAGTGGCTCATGCCTGTAATCCCAGGACATTGAGAGGCTGAAGTGAACAGATCATTTGAACTCAGGAGTTTCAGACTAGCCTGGGCAACATGGCAAAACCCAGTCTCTTTTAAAAAATGGAAAAAATTAGCTGGTTATGGTGGCACGTGTCTGTGGTACCACCTACTTAGGAGGCTGAGGTGAAAGGATTGCTTGTGCTTCGGAGGCAGAGGTTGCAGTGAGCTGAGATTGTGACACTGCACTCCAGGCTGGGTGACAGAGTGAGATCCTCATCTAAAAAAAGACATAGATGGTATAAGAAGATATAAATAGAAACAACAAAAAGTTAAAAAGAAAGAGGATGGAGTTAAAGTGTGAATTCTTATTACATATCTTTCGGTTTTTGTTTATACAAGCAGTGTTAAGTTTTTATCAGATTAAAATAATGGTTATAAGATATCTGCAAGCAGCCTGGTGATCTCAAATCATAAAAAATGCAACAGATATACAAAAAATAAACAACAGGAAATTAAATCATATCACCAGAGAATCACCTTCACTAAAAGGAAGACATAAAGGAAGGAAAGAAGGAAGAGAAAACAAGCAAAACAACGAGAAAACAAATAAGAAAATGTCCTTCTTTATCAATAATAACACTGAATGTAAATGGTCTAAACTCTCCAATCAAAAGAAATGGAGTGGTGGAATGAATAAAAAAAAAAAAAAAAAAGGACCCAATGATCTGTTGCCTACAAGAAACACACTCACCTATAAACACACACATAGACTGAAAATAAAGGGATGGAAAAAGATTGGTCATGCCAATGGAAATCAAAAAAGTGCAGGAGTAGCTATACCTATATCAGACAAAATAGATTTTAAGATAAAAACTATAAGAAGAGACAAAGAGGGTCACTATATAATGATAAAGGGGTCAATTCAGTAAGATGCTATAACAACTATAAATATACATACCCCAACACTGGAGCACCCAGCTGTATAAAGCAATTATTATTAGAGCTAAAGAGAAAGATAGATCTCAGTACAATCATAGCCAGAGACTTCAGCAGCCCCCGTTTCAGCATAGGACAGATCGTTTAGACAGAAAAGCACCAAAGAAACATTGGACTTGATCTGCACTATACATTAAATGGATCTAATAGATATTTACAGCATATTTCATCCAAGAGCTGCAGAATACACATATTTCTTCTCAGGACATGGATCATTCTCAAAGACAGGCCAAATATTTGGTCACAAAACAAGTCTTAGAACATTCAAAAAATTGAAATAATATCAAACATCTTCTCTGACAACAATGGAATAGAACTGGAAATTAATAACAAGAGGAATTTTGGAAACTATACAAACACATAGAAATTAAACAATATGCTCCTGAATGCCTGGTGGGTCAATGAAGACATTAGGAAAGAAATTTAAAAATTTTTTAGGGAGAGGGGTGGAGCAAGATGGCTAGATAGAAGACTTCACTAACCGTCCCCCTGCAACAAAGATACCAATCTAACAACTATCTACATTTAAAAAAAGACAAAATCACCTTCACTAGAAACAAAAGTTATGTGAGCATTCACAAAACCTGGTTTTTAACTTCATATAACTGAAAGAAACACTGAGAAGGGTAGGATGTTGTCCCGAATTGCCAATGCCGCCCCAGCCCCATCCTCCAGCAGCAGCCCTGCAGTGTGGAGAATCATGCACTTGGGAGAGGGAGAACACAGCGATTGTGACACATTGCGTTGAACTCAGTGGTGCCCTGATATAGAGTTATATTGGAAGAATGGAGCAATGAGTTTGGTGGTTGGGGTGGGGAAACAGGGAGGAAAGGAATGAAACAAACACTCGAGGGTAGAAGATGGTACCAGTCTGAGAATCAGGTGCCAGTTCTTTTCTACTGTGTGTCTAGTCACATTGGTGTAGACGTCCAGGCAGGAGGAGAAGCAAGTTGTAGGATCAGCTACATCTGGGCTTCCAAAGGTAATCTCAGGTGCCACCTCTCCTCCATACTTACTAGGAATCCCAGGCCCTTCCCTGAAGTGACACCATCCTGCATCCTTTGTACCCTGCTTTCCACTTCTTCTCACAGCCTTTCCCTCCCTCCCTCCTTCATTCTCCTGGCCAGGACCCACACTCACCCCACCTAACCTCTCTCTTTTGATCAGTCCCATAGTTTAGAAAAGAACAGAAATGCCAGCTGTGGTCAGGTGTTTTAAAAATTTATTCAGTGCTCTCTGGGCATGCATTTCAGGACAATAACATTGTTTCTGGTCTCAATGCACTTTCACCACATCTGATTTTCAACTATGTGAGTTAGGACACCTATATGGTCAATCAATCAACCAGGGAAAGAAACTAAGGTCCAGAGCCCTAAGGATGCTTGCCCAAATCACCCTGATTTTGGCAGAACAGGATCTTCCAAGGGCCTTAAGAGTCAGAGAAGACCGCAGCCCCTTGTGTTGTATTCTGCTGCATGCCGGGGAAACTGGATGGAAACGATTCAGATTCTTCCTGCATGAAAAGGACAACCTGTGTCCTTGGGAATCCTCCAGTGGCCCCAGTTGTTCCTGCTGGGTGTGACATCGATGCCCGAATCCAACCCTGTAAAATAGGGTGAAATTCAGATATTGCAAGTCATGAAAAATTTTCTCCTGATAGCAAAGTTGAAGGATAACAAAACTGAAGGAGGGAACATACCAAACAGAGGAGGAAGGAATATACAAAAAATAACAACAACAACAACATCAACCAACAACAAGAACAAAAAAAATACCAAGATATGGGATGTATGAAATCAGGCATCAACCCATGAAAAGGTGAAAGGGCAACAGGACCAGAAAGGAAGAGGGTCACCTGGGTGGGTGGACAGCAGAGGGGAAGCCATCTCCAAGAAGATGACCTTGACAACAGCCAACATAAGTTTAAAGGTATTGAGAAGACATTTACTCAACTAAGGAACAGTTGGTGAATTCATTTAAGGTTCATGGAAAGTAAGAAAATGAAAATACTAGGCAATGATCAAATCTTGAAAACTTCAGCATATGTGGAAAGAAAAACTAAGAGAGTTTACCATGTGGCTCAGGTCTGAGTAGCAGTCACGTAAGTCAGTAATTTTAACTCTGGCTCTCAATGCACTCAAAATCTCCACCTGCCTACACGAGGAGGATGAAAATGTGTGTGCTGGGGAAGGTACTATGGACAGAAGGGATATTGAAAAGTCAATACATAATATCTAAAATGGAAACATTTGAAGTGGCATAAATGTATATTATCAAGAGACATAAAGATAAAGAACAAAATATGAAGTAAAAGGCTTCCATGTGGTTGCTTGCCAGGAAGCTGGTGGCTAGGAAGGATTGAGAGAGAGTAGAGGGGAGACCATGTTTTGTAACAGGGGAAATGAAAGGGAAGCAGGTAGCACCTGGAGCCTGCCTCATGCAGAGAACAGGGTTCCACGCAGTGGTCCAGGATCTCAGGGATTTACTGTGGCTGAGGCCACCTGTCCCCAGGACAAGCCCTTGGCACTGAGTCTACTGAAATGTGAGGAGGGAGAAGAGGAGGCCTTCAGATATTTGACCTGAGCAGCCTGGCTTACTCTAGACTCTGTCTTGGCTCCTGGCCAGAGATTAATGTAGCAAATTGTCTCTAAATTCATCCAAGGGAGTGGAGTTCCTTCCCCTACTCCTTATCCCCTTCCACACCATCCTTTCTGGAAGTGTTATTGTGAACATGTTCTCGGATTTGTTTTTATCAGTGGAGAAACAGAAGACAGAAGAGCACTCACCCAGCAGAGCCAGAGGGAGGCAGTTCCAAAGACTCCAGTGGCCACCAGAGCCCACCAGGACCCAGGGCTGGAGGTGCACAGTGAGATCCTCAGCGCAGAGGGAGAAATCTCCTAAGAGTAGGAAGGAATAACAGAATTAGGAAGCGTTTCCTTACTTCACAGTGAGTGCAAACATGATGGGAAGGCATAGAGAAAAAGTAAGAAATTATAGGGAAACGTGCTTATTTAGGGGGAGGCGATACTGCGGGAGGGGTACACCAGACCCAGCACTGCCGTGGGGTAGGAGAAACAGGTATAACGCTTGACTAGAGAATGGATACTTGAGGATCAGTATAGTTACTAGATGAAGAGGACTACATACATTTTAAGGACATTGATGTACATTATAGTGTATCATTGGAAGTTAAGGGAAAAGAAAAGAAACTTCATAAATAAAAACAGGCTGCATGTGGTAAAATCAATAATCAGCCCTGGGACTTGTGTTTTCAAAACGCTTTATCCAGGTGTGACACCTCTGACATCCTGGATTCCCCACCCTCTAGCACCCAGTTCCCTCTCCTGTAATGAGACCAGGGTCAGGAGGAGAGATGGACAGATGGGCCCATGCTGAAGGCAGTCAGTCACCTGTGCCTGCAGATGAGAAACCGCCGCCTAACCTTTCTGAACCTCATGCGGAAAAAATGTTTGCACCACTAGCCTCCAGCACAGAGATTCCATCCCAGCTCAGTATTTAGTATTTAGAGATTTAGTATTTAGTATTTAGAGATTCCTAAATACCGAGGACTCTGCCCAGTCTGGTTTGACCATGCTCCTCCTTCCTCACACTGTGGGGCCCCAGCTTTCCCTCCCAATTCCACACCCCCAGATGCTGGTACCATGCTCAGGTTCATCGTGGACACCACTCCATCCGACATGGCAACACTTTTGATCCAGCCGCTTTGACAACCTCGTTCAGTCTCCTCTGGAGACAGCCACCCAGACCTTTGCTGATGAGCTGGGACTGAGGGGAAAAGGCCTGCGATCTCTGATGGGGTTGGCAATGGACACCAAAGTCGTCTTCTAAAGACCAAGTACGCTCTAACCACGGAAATCGTCTCTAACCACTGACTCCTCCAGAAAAGGAAGAAAGAAGCCTCTCTACACTAAGCTGAAACACTAAATACACTAAGTGTTGATTAAGTAGACTAGGTACACTAAGTGGTAAACTTGGTAAACTTAGAGCACTAAGTACACTAAGTACAATAAATGGTAAACTTGGTAAACTTAGAGCACTAAGTGCACTAAGTTCACTAAGTAATAATATTAGTACTAAGTGGTACACTAAGCTGAAACCGCAAACCGCAGCCATGGCAGAGGAACCTCAGCTTAAATAGTGTGGAGCGGCCACTGGTTTCCGCGGCTCGTAGTCGCGCCCGCGAGGAAACGCCAGGGAGGCTTCCTGCCCCGCCCAGCGGTGGCCCAGGGCACAGGGAACCACGGCTGCTTCTCTCCGAGGTTTGTGGCCTGAGAAACTCTCCGCTGCGAATCTGGGCTGGCCTCTCCGGGAAGCCTTGAAACTCAACTCCCGGGTGGGCCAGGAAGGCTGCCCGACTTGGGCAGCGCCGGCCGGAGCCTTCTTCAAAGCCGAGCTGTTCGCCGCCCTCGAGGCCCAGGCGAGCCTGGAGGAGGGACCGGGTGCGCTCAGATGGGGCCCTTGGTGACTGGCGACCCCATGAGCACCCACCCTCCAGCCTGGGGCGGGATGGCCCAATCGGGCGCTGTGGGGGTCCGTTTGGAAACCGCTCTCTGCTTTGAGGATACGCGGGGAGCTTCCCTGGAAGCTGTGAAGAGGGGCAGACACGAGGCCTCTGGCCAGCCGCGCCTCGGGTCCAGGCCTCCCTGTGTCCACATCTGGTCTCCCGGCTTTTCACAACAGTGACCTTGACAGCGCCCAGAGTCCGCTGCTTCCGTCCAGTCCGCTCTTCCCCTACGTGGCCAAGAGGACGCAGCACTGGCGGCTTCAGGAGGTGGCTGTGAGCGCGGGGCTGGGGCCAAGAGCAGAGGACCAGAGAGGAGTCTCCAAGCCACCACCGGCCCCGTCACCGGCTACCGGCTAGGTCAGGCCCCAGATTCGGGTTTGCCCAGCGGGCGCTCGGCGTCCACGCTCCCTCTCCACCTTCTTGCCTCTCTAAGGAGGACCTGGCCCACTAGGAAGCCCGGGGCGTTCTGTGAACTGGGTGGTCAAACACGGTGTGTGGGGAAGGGGCCAATTGAGATTAGACGTGAAAAACCGCGAACCTGGGGACCGCAGGGTTGGGGCCCAGGAGGGGCCCGAAGCTTCCATCTAAGACAGGTGACTAAGTGAGGGGCACAGGTGCAACAGAAAGAAAGACTGATTTGCAATTGACTTGTAGGTGTAATCGGTTTTAGTCCCTATTTGACCACCAGAGGTCTGCAGCTCTATCCTTGGTGAGTTCTGAAGGCCCCTGGGGAGAGCTGAGCCCAAGAGACTTTTTAATTCCACAGAAGAACTTCGCCTGAGGCAGGTCTCCTCTGTGCCCAGGGAAGGAAGGCTGGACGTGATGGTTTCTGAAAAAAGTTACACAGAGAAAAGGTCAAGTCCATTTTTGCTATCCTGTACTGAACACAGATCAATTAACTGGTCCCAGGATTGATAGCAACAGGCCTATAACTGGTCTCCTGGTTCCTATCCAGCCCTTCCCCCATAAAGGCAGAATCCTGTCCTCTTGGAACAGTGAATCCCCAGCAGAGGACCTCAGCTCCCAAGCTCCATTCAGCCTGGGCTCCCTGGAACCTGCTACCCTGCCCAGGAGCTGTCAACACCTGGAGTGCAGTGCAGGAAGAATGCAGGGGCGCTTGATGGGGAGGTGAGTGAGTGCAGATGGGGTTCCTGGAACTCCTTGGGCCCTTGGGGTAGCTCCCACTCAGGCTGTCCTGCAGGTCCTCACAAGGCCCACTACTGAGCAGGAAGAATGTCCCCAGGAGAGGCAAGAGGTGGGGCAAGGGCGAGTATGGGGTCCCTTGCATTTGCGGCAAAATGGAGAGGGAGATGAGAGGCAAGGAGTACTGGCCCTCACATGGAAACCTATAGCACACTGCCCAAAGGGAATGGGAAGGGAAACACAGCCACGCACGTCCACAGAAGACTTGGCAGATGGGAGAGGGTAGCTTTGAGGACTGAAATCCCTACTTCACAGGACTCTGGATACTTGGACACTTGCTTCCTCCTGTGCTTCTGTACGAATCTCAGGACTGTGGGACACTCTCTGCACTCTTATTCTTGTAATTCTCTTCTCTCCGGATGGCCTCCTTTCCCTTGGAGTGCAGCAGTGGCCATCAGATTCTTGGGCTGAAGGTCACTGGGTGACTGTGGGATTCTGGGGCCAGTTACTTCCCTTTCTTAGCCACCCCATGCTTTACAGAACTGAACTCCACAGTCATACTCATCTCTCCCAGTGAAGCTCAAAGGAATTATTAATAAAAAACACAAAAACATAAATGGAATGATGTTTATGGAACCAATTGATTAACGTGGAAAAGTATGGGCTTCCCAGTTTTCTGCCCTTCGTGAGAACTTAATCCTGAAACACTGATCTCATGTCAACCTTCTGCCTTAACTGGGAATTCCTGTGGCCAGTCTGTTCTAAGGGTATCCCGTGAGCCCCTAGGGATGGAGAACAGAAGGCCACTTTTCCTAAACACACACGTGGTTCTGTCCTGGCCAGATCAGTGGACTTCCAGTGTCCTTCCTGAGTCACACCGAGGTGAATTGCATAGACCAGAAACCCACATTTTAAAAAGAATAAAATAAAATAAGTGGCCTGTAGTGTGGGGGCTGGGGTTGGTGCGGGCTTCCGGCTTGGCCGCGGGTGTCTGCATCGTTCAGCCCCGGGGCTT
The DNA here is from genome assembly GCF_000001405.40 of Homo sapiens. Classification (NCBI taxonomy): domain Eukaryota; kingdom Metazoa; phylum Chordata; class Mammalia; order Primates; family Hominidae; genus Homo; species Homo sapiens. Next base: position 30,466,303 of record NC_000006.12, read on the forward strand.
TTGTGTCGGGTCTGGCCTGGCTTTCTGTCCGCAAGTTTTTGCCCTGCTCCGCGGCGCTCCTCCGGGGCGGGAGCCGCGAGGCCCGGGCGAGCTCGGGCGGGACCGGAGGCTGCGAAGGCTGCCGGGAGCGGGACTCGCAGCTCCTGGATATGCCAGCGTTCCTGGAAGACTCCTGGGTCCTGACGAAAGACAAGTTGATGAGTGAGTTGGTCGCCATTAAAGTGAGGCTCCCGGCCCGGAGCAGCGCAGAGACCAGGACGCGCAGCCTCGCCTGCAGCACTCGGCCCTACCTCTACCCCGCCGCTACCTCTACCCCGCCGCGGCGCCGACAGCGAGGGCCCCGCCTCCCCCAGCTGGCTCCAGAGCCAAGCCACCCACAGCAGGAAAGCCACGAAGAAAACAGTTCAACTCAGACCAAAAGATAAAGCTGATCTCGAGGTAACCGCGCTCACTAATGAAGATCTCGTGGACCCGCTTGCGAGGTATAAAGAGAAACCTAGTCCTACTGGAGAACAACCAGGAAGCGATGTGAGAAAAAAACCTTGAAACCGAAGGAACGAGGACGATCTGTCGCCCAGGCTGGCGTGCAGTGGCGCGATCTCGGCTCTCGGCTCACTGCGGCCTCCGCCTCCCGGGTTCAAGAGATTCTCGTGCCTCAGACTCCTGAGTGGCTAGAACCACAGGCATGCGCCACCTCGCCTGGCTACATTTTTTTTTTTTTTTTTTTTTTTTTTTTTTTTTTTTTTTTTTGTATTTTTGGTAGGGACGGGCTTTCCCCGTGTTGTCCAGGCTGGTCTCCAACTCCTGAGCTCAAGGGATCTGCCCATCTCGGCGGATTAACAATTTAATCTTCAGCAGAAAATGGAAGGCAGAATTGAAATAAAGGTTCTAATAGATACTGTGACAATGAAGAAGACTAGAGTAAAGATCAAGCTTGAGAAGACAGAACCACTAAAGGGCAGAGCAAAGACTCCAGTAACACTGAAGAAAAGAAGACTTGAGATAGTCAGAGCTATTCTCACGCTGGAATAACTGAGGCTGAACGCACAAGTGGAGCTTCAGAAGGCGGAGCTCTGCAGGCCTGGAGTAGGGAGTCTACCAGAGACCGGAGGAGAAGGCCAAGGAAGAGGGTGGAAACCAGAACATTTTCCAATAGACAGTGCAGTAATTTCAGAGAGTGCTCCCACAGCTGAAACTCTAATGGCTTCAGGACACAAAACCTTCGTTGTCAGTAGGATGACTGGAAATTTCAAGCATGCAGCTCCTATTCTGCAACTCAGTAAATTTTCAAACATACCCCAAACTCCAAAGAGACCACTGGGGTTGGGGGGGAACAGAATAAAGAAGAGTAGAAAGGGATATTCTTAAGGAAATGTTGCCCTATGAAGCATCTACACCAACAGGAATTGCTGCAGACCAGTCAAAGGGGCTACAGGCAGGCCATTAGAACTCACTGAGTTCAGGATGGCAGAATCTTTTTCATCTAAATATGTTCCTAAGTGTGTTCCCTTGGCAGATGTCAAGTCAGAAAAGACAAAAAAAGAATGAGCCATTTCTGTATGGACAAAAATTTTGCTGTTTGTTGTTGTAGTAGGTTTTGTTTGTTTGTTTTTTGGTCTATCAAGCTATAGAAACCAAACAAGGAAATCTTTTCTCTAACGTTCTTCCTGATGACTCTAGAAACCCAACTGAATGGAATCCATCTGGCACATTCAAGTTGGCCTCCTATTTTTAATAACTGTATTGAAAAACACTTGTGTACCCTTGTTGACTTAAATAGCTAAAAAAAAAAAAACAGGTGATTTCACCTCAATAAATGTAGTATTCCATGAAAAGCAAACAAAATATATATAAATGAACTTCATTAGAGTGTTTTTGAACTCTGGACTAGCAGGAGATCACTTCATGCCATATGAAAATCTTTTATAGCTCTGAAACTTTTTTGTAGGCTTTTTAAAATTTTTTCTTCTCATTGTCCAAACCCATGCAGGGTTTCTTTAAAATGTGGACACCTGGTTTCCTTTTTGAAAAATGAGATATATATATATATATATATATATACATATATATATACACACACACACACACATATATATACATATATACACATATATATACATATATACACACATATATATACATATATACACACATATACATATATACACATATATACATATATACACATATATACATATATACATATATACACATATACATATATACACATATATACATATATACATATATATACATATATACATATATACGTATATATACGTATATATACATATATATACATATATATACGTATATATATGAAACAAGAAGGGAAAAACATGGTAATATAGTATGAAGTTACACATTTAAATACTTTGAATTCTTACAGAAAAGAGTGGAAGAATTATCTTCTACTGAATAAAAACTTTACAGACATGGAAGACAATGAAATTTGGTAAGAGAAAAAGTAACATGGTTGTACTTTTTGTAACTGCAACGAAATTTGATGGTGTTTATGAGGAAAACTACAGCAATAATCTCTTCTGTAACTTTTATTAATAGTAATGTTAGACTCAGAAATGGTGGCCTCCATGTTCTTCCGCCCGCTGTTGGTGGCCGCCACCCTTCGGACCACACTGCGGGCTGCTGCTCAGGTTCTGGGAAGTTCTGGATTGTTTAATAACCATGGACTCCAAGTACAGCAGCAACAGCAAAGGAATCTCTCACTACATGAATACATGAGTATGGAATTATTGCAAGAAACTGGTGTCTCTGTTCCCAAAGGATATGTGGCAAAGTGACCAGATGAAGCTTATGCAATTGCCAAAAAATTAGGTTCAAAAGATGTTGTGATGAAGGCACAGGTTTTAGCTGGTGGTAGAGGAAAAGGAACATTTGAAAGTGGCCTCAAAGGAGGAGTGAAGATGGTTTTCTCTCCAGAAGAAGCAAAAGCTGTTCCTTCACAAATGATTAGGAAACAGTTGTTTACCAAGCAAATGGGAGAAAAGGGCAGAATATGCAATCAGGTATTGGTCTGTGAGTGAAAATATCCCAAGAGAGAGTGCTACTTTGCAATAACAATGGAAAGGTCATTTCAAGGTCTTGTATTAATAGGAAGTTTACATAGTGGGGCCAACATTGAAGATGTTGCTGCTGAGACTCCTGAAGCAATAATTAAAGTACCTATTGATATTGTAGAAGGTATCAAAGAGGAATAAGCTCTCCAGCTTGCACAGAAGATGGGATTTCCATCTAATATTGTGGCTTCAGCAGCAGAAAACATGATCAAGCTTTACAGCCTTTTTCTGAAATACGATGCAACCATGATAGAAATAAATTCAATGGTGGAAGATTCAGATGGAGCTGCATTGTGTAAGGATGCAAAGATCAATTTTGACTCTAATTCAGCCTATCGCCAAAAGAAAATGTTTGATCTACAGGACTGGACCCAGGAAGATGAAAGGAACAAAGATGCTGCTAAGGCAGATCTCAACTACACTGGCCTCGATGGAAGTATAGGCTGCCTAGTAAATGGTGCTGGTTTGGCTATGGCCACAATGGATATAATAAAACTTCATGGAGAGACTCCAGCTAATTTCCTTGTTGGTGGTGGTGCTACAGTCCATCAAGTAACAGAAGCATTTAAGCCTATCACTTCAGATAAAAAGGTACTGGCTATTCTGGTCAACATTTGTGGAGGAATCATGCACTGTGATATTACAGCAAAGGGTATAGTCATGGCAGTAAAAAGTTTGGAAATTAAAATACCTGTTGTGGTACAGTTACAAGGTACACAAGTTGATGATGTTAAGGCACTAAAAGCAGACAGTGGACTTAAAATACTTGCTTGTGATGATTTGGTGGAAGCTGCTAGAGTGCTTGTAAAGCTCTCTGAAATAGTGAAGCAAAGCAAGCGCATGTGGATGTGAAATTTCAATTGCCAATATGATCTGAAAACCCAGTGATGGCTGAAGGTGTTAAATGTGCTACAATCATTAAGGATACTGTGTTCTGTGTTATTGTTCTTTTAAGTGTGTGGAGATTGTAGTTGCCATCTAGGCACACAAACATTTAAAAGCATTTGGTTTGCATTTAATTCTACCATTCAGAATGGACTGTTTGTAAGAAGCATGTATAATGCAAATATCTTCTTTATTTCGTCACAGCCAGTCTTTTTTGCTTCTACAAAATGCAACTTGCAATATGACAGTTTATTATTGTTGGATACAAAGTTCTTCATTGATAAGAGACCTACAAATAAAATAAATATGAAGATAAAGCTTTATTCTTCAGTGTTAACATACAGTATATCTAATAACTAGCCTCATTAGTAGACCAGTATATTAAAACACTGTTTTATGTAAAAAGTGTTTATCTTCAGCACCAAATACATAATAAATGTAACAATCACTATTTATAAACAGAGCTTTCAAACACTCCTCAGAAAATCAAAATACTTCTAAGTATTTTGATGAAGTAACTTTGTAATTATGTGAACATTGTTTTAATCATTAGGAAACGCTGATAACTGCAAGAATTCATGATTCCATGGTATTAAGAAGCACCTGTAGGTTTGTTTCAAATAGAGGCATATTAACCAAGGGAAAAAAATAGTAATGTTATTATTGTAGCCCTATCATATTCACTTTTTAAACGACTGGCTTTTAAAAGTATCATGAAAGTCCTACTTCAGTAAAACCCATTTAAGTACAGTTGATGTTTAGCAGGGATCTTTTAGTGCAGCATAAACATGCTTTAGAGAACTGTTGGCTGGCTGTACATGTTTTTAAAAGCTGTTAGCTAGCTATGAGGCTACAGCTGAAAATTACACTTTTTATGAGAAATTGTAAACACTGGTCTTATGTTTCATCTGGATTCCTTATTGCATCATCTTCTGTTAACAAAAACAAATTTTCCCAGTTTTTTTGCCTTGTATTTCCCAGCACAATTTCATTTAAAAGTACAAAAAGTGTTTGCTCTCAAATTGCATCATAAGCAAGTGTTAATACTCTGGGCTTTTTTATGTTTGTTTGTTTGTTTGTTTTTTGAGATGGAGTCTCGCTCTATTGCCCAGGCTGGAGTGCAGTGGTGCTATCTCGGCTCACTGCAAGCTCGGCCTCCCGGGTTCACGCCATTCTCCTGACTCAGCCTCCCAAGTAGCTGGGACTACAGGCGCCCGCCACTACGCCCGGCTAATTTTTTGTATTTTTAGTAGAGACGGGGTTTCACCGTTTTAGCCGGGATGGTCTCGATCTCCTGACCTCGTGATCCGCCCGCCTCGGCCTCCCAAAGTGCTGGGATTACAGGCGTGAGCCACCGCGCCCGGCCTGAAGGACACCCTTAGAGAAGTGCAAAATACTATGGCAGGTTTCAACAATAGAATCAAACAACTAGAAGAAAGAACTTCAGAGCTCTAAGACAAGGCTTTCAAATTAACTCTGACAAAAACAAAGAAAAAAGAATCAAATGAACAAAGCCTCCAAGAAGTTTGGGATCATGTTAAATGACCAAACTTAAGAATAATTGATGTTCCTGAGGAAGAAGAGAAATCTGCAAGTTTGAAAATTTTATTTGAGGGAATAATTGAGGAAAACTTCCCTGGCCTTGCTACAGATTTGGACATTCAAATACAAGAAGCTCAAAGAACACCTGGGAAATTCATCTCAAAAAGATCATCACCTAGACACATAGTCATCAGGTTATCTAGGGTCAAGATGAAGGAAAGAATCTTAAGAGTTGTGAGGCAAAGGCATCAAGTAACCTGTAAAGGAAAACCTATCGGATTAACAGCAGATTTATCAGCAGAAACCCTACAAGCTAGAAGGGATTGGGGTCCAATCTTTAGACACTTAAACAAAATAATTATCAACCCAGAATTTTGTATCCAGTAAAAGTGATGAAGGAAAAGATAAAGTATTTTTCTTTTTTTTTTTTTTTGGGACGGAGTCTTGCTGTCACCCAGGCTGGGGTGCAGTGGCACAATCTCAGCTCACTGCAAGCTCCGCCTCCTGGGTTCATGCCATTCTCCTGCCTCAGCCTCCCAAGTAACTGGGACTGCAGGCGCCCACCACCACGCCCAGCTAATTTTTTGTATTTTTAGTAGAGATGGGGTTTCATCATGTTAGCCAGGATGCTCTCCATCTCCTGACCTCATGATCCGCCTGCCTCAGCCTCCCAAAGTGCTAGGATTACAGGCATGAGCCACTGTGCCCAGCGGAAAGATAAAGTATTTTTCATACAAACAAATGCTGAGAGAATTTGCCACTAACAAGCCAGCACTATAAGAACTACTAAAAGATGTTCTAAATCTTGAACCAAAATCTTGAAATATACCAAAATGTGACCTGCTTAAAGCATAAATCTCACAGGGCCTATAAAATAATCACACTACAAAAAAAAAAAAAAAGGTATTTAGGCAACAACTAGCATAATGAATAGAATAGTACCTCACATCTCAATACTAACACTCAATGTAAATGGCCTAAATGCTCCACTTGAAAGATATGGAATTGCAAAATGGATAAGAATTCCCCAACTAAGTATTTGCTGTCTTCAAGAGACTCACCTAACACATAAGGACACATACAAACTTAAGATAAAGTGATGGAAAAAGATGTTCCATGCAAATGGGCACCAAAAGCAAACAGGAGTAGCTATTCTTCTATCAGAAAAAATAGACTTTAAAGCAACAACAGTTTAAAAAGACAAAGAGGGACATTATATAATGACAAAAGGACTAGTCTGACAGGAAAATATCACAATCCTAAATATATGTGCACCTAATACTGGAGCTCCTAAATTTATAAAACAATTACTACTAGACTTAAGAAATGAGATAGATGGCAACACAACAATAGTGGGGGATGTTAATACTCTACTGACAGCACTAGACAGGTCATCAAGATAGAAAGTCAACAAAGAAACAATGGACTTAAACTCTACCCTAGAACAAATGGATTTAACAGATATTTATAGAACACTCCACCCAACAACTGCAGAATGTACATTCTATTCATTAGCACATGGAACATTCTCCAAGATAAATCATATGATAGGCCACAAAACAAGTCTTAACAAATTTGAGAAAATTGAAATTATGTCAGGTACTCTCTCAGACCACAGTGAAATAAAATTGGAAATCAACACCAAAAGGAGCCCTCAAAACCATGCACATACGTGGAAATTAAGTAACCTGCTCCTGAATGATCAATGGATCAACAATACAATCAAGATGGAAATACAAAAATTCTTTGAACTGGCCTGTGTGGTGGCTCAATCCTGTAATCCCCACACTTTGGGAGGCCAAGGTGGGTGGATCACCTGAGGTCAGGGATTTGAGAGCAGCCTGACTGATATGGTGAAACCTTGTCTATACTAAAAATACAAAAATTAGCTTGGTGTGGTGGTGGGTACCTGTAGTCCCAGCTACTCAGGAGGCTGAGACAGGAGAATTGCTTTGCTTGAACCCGGGAGGTAGAGATTGCAGTGAGGCGAGATGGTGCCACTGCACTCTAGCCTGGGTGACAGAGCAAGACTCTGTCTCCAAAAAAAAAAAAAAAAAAATTCCTTGAACTGAATGATTATAGTGACCGAACCTATCAAAACCTCTGGGATACAGAAAAAGCAGTGCTAAGAGGAAAGTTCATAGCATTAAATGCCTACATCAAAAAGTCTGAAAGAGCACAAATAAACAATCTAGGGTCGCACCTCCAGGAACTAGAGAAACAAGAACAAACCAAACCCAAATGAGCAGAAGAAAAAAAAATAACCTAGATCGGAGCAAAACTAAATGAAATTGAAACAAAAAATTACAAAAGATAAATGAAACAAAAAGCTGGTTGTTTGAAAAGATAAATCAAATTGATAGACAATTAGTAAGATTAACCAAGAAAAGAAGGAAGAAGATTCAAATAAGCTCAATTAGAAACAAAACAGAAGATATTACAACCAATACCACAGAAATACAAAAGATCATTCAAGGCTACTATGAACACCTTTATGCACATAAACTAGAAAACCTAGAGGACATGGATAAATTCCTGAAAATATACAACCCTCCTAGATTAAACCAGGAAGAAATGGAAACCCTGAACAGGCCAATAACAAGCAGTGAGATTGAAATGGTAATTTAGGCTCTACCTCTCCCCCTCCCCCTCCCCCTCCCCCTCCCTCTCCCTCTCCCCACAGTCTCCCTCTCCCTCTCTTTCCACGGTCTCCCTCTGATGCCAAGCCGAAGCTGGACTGTACTGCTGCCATCTCGGCTCACTGCAACCTCCCTGCCTGATTCTCCTGCCTCAGCCTGCCGAGTGCCTGCAATTGCAGGCGCGCGCCGCCACGCCTGACTAGTTTTCGTATTTTTTTGGTGGAGACGGGGTTTCGCTGTGTTGGCCGGGCTGGTCTCCAGCTCCTAACCGCGAGTGATCTGCCAGCCTCGGCCTCCCAAGGTGCCAGGATTGCAGACAGAGTCTCGTTCACTCAGTGCTCAATGGTGCCCAGGCTGGAGTGCAGTGGCGTGATCTCGGCTCGCTACAACCTCCACCTCCCAGCCGCCTGCCCTGGCCTCCCAAAGTGCTGAGATTGCAGCCTCTGCCCGGCCGCCACCCCATCTGGGAAGTGAGGAGTGTCTCTGCCTGGCCGTCCATCGTCTGGGATGTGAGGAGCCCCTCTGCCTGGCTGCCCAGTCTGGAAAGTGAGGAGCGTCTCTGCCCGGCCGCCATCCCATCTAGGAAGCGAGGAGCGCCTCTTCCCGGCCTCCATCCCCATCTAGGAAGTGAGGAGCGTCTCTGCCCGGCTGCCCATCGTCTGAGATGTGGGGAGCACCTCTGCCCCGCCGCCCCGTCTGGGATGTGAGGAGCGCCTCTGCCCTGCCGCGACCCCGTCTGGGAGGTGAGGAGCGTCTCTGCCCGGCCGCCCCGTCTGAGAAGTGAGGAGACCCTCTGCCTGGCAGCCGCCCCGTCTGGGAAGTGAGGAGCGTCTCCGCCCGGCAGCCACCCTGTCTGGGAGGGAGGTGGGGGTCAGCCCCCGCCAGGCCAGCCGCCCCATCCAGGAGGGAGGTGGGGGTGTCAGCCCCCCGCCCGGCCAGCCGCCCCCTCCGGGAGGGAGGTGAGGGGCTCCTCTGCCTGGCCGCCCCTAATGGGAAGTGAGGAGTCCCTCTGCCCGGCCACCACCCCGTCTGGGAGGTGTACCCAACAGCTCATTGAGAACGGGCCAGGATGACAATCGCGGTTTTGTGGAATAGAAAGAGGGGAAAGGTGGGGAAAAGATTGAGAAATCGGATGGTTGCCGTGTCTGTGTAGAAAGAAGTAGACATGGGAGACTTTTCATTTTGTTCTGTACTAAGAAAAATTCTTCTGCCTTGGGATCCTGTTGATCTGTGACCTTACCCCCAACCCTGTGCTCTCTGAAACATGTGCTGTGTCCACTCAGGGTTAAATGGATTAAGGGTGGTGCAAGATGTGCTTCGTTAAACAGATGCTTGAAGGCAGCATGCTCGTTAAGAGTCATCACCACTCCCTAATCTCAAGTACCCAGGGACACAAACACTGCGGAAGGCCGCAGAGTCCTCTGCCTAGGAAAACCAGAGACCTTTGTTCACTTGTTTATCTGCTGACCTTCCCTCCACTATTGTCCTATGACCCTGCCAAATCCCCCTCTGTGAGAAATACCCAAGAATGATCAATAAAAAAAAAAAAAAAAATGGTAATTTAAAAAATTACCGGCCGGGCGCAGTGGCTCACGCCTGTAGTCCCAGCACTTTGGGAGGCCTAGGCGGGCAGATCACCTGAGGTCGGGAGTTTGAGACCAGCCTGACCAACATGGAGAAACTCCGTCTCTTCTAAAAATACAAAAAAATTAGCCAGGGGTGGTGGTACATGCCTGGAATCCCAGCTACTCGGGAGGCTGAGGCAGGAGAATCACTTGAACCCAGGAAGTGGAGGTTGCAGTGAGCAGAGACCGTGCTATTGCACTCCAGCCTGGGCGACAAGAGTGAAACTCCACCTCAAAGAAAAAAAAAAAGGTACCAACAACAAAAAAAAGCCCAGAACCAGATGGATGCACAGCGGAATTCTATCAGACATTCAAAAAATGGTACCTATACCACTGACACTATTCCAAAAGGTAGAGAAAGAGGGAATCCCCTCTAAATCATTCTATGAAACCAGTATCACCCTAATACCAAAACCAGGAGAGGACATAACAAAAAAAAAACAAAACTACAGGCCAATATACCTAATGAGCATAGATGCAAAAATCCTCAAAACATACTAGTGGCCGGGCGTGGTGGCTCACACCTGTAATCCCAGCACTTTGGGAGGCCAAGGTGGGCTGATCACTTGAGGCCAGGAGTTCAAGACCAGCCTGACCAACATGGAGAAACCCCATCTCTACTAAAAATACAAAATTAGCTGGGCGTAGTGGTGCATGCCTGTAGTCCCAGCTACTTGGGAGGCTGAGGCAGGAGAATCGCTTGAGCCCAAGAGGCGGAGGTTGGGGTGAGCCGAGATCTCGCCATTGCATTCCAGCCTGGGCAACAAGAGCGAAACTCCGTCTGGAAAAAAAAAAAAATGCTAGCTAACAGAATCCAACAGCATATCAAAACAATAATCCACCATGATCAAGTGGGTTTCCTACCAGATATGCAAGGATGGTTTAACATATGAAAGTCAATAAATGTAATACACCACATAAACAGAATTAAAAACAAAAATCACATGATCATCTCAATAGATGCAGAAAAATCATTTCACAAAATCCAGCATCCCTTTATGATTAAAACCCTCAGCAGGGTTGGGCATGGTGGCTAACGCCTTTAATCCCAGCACTTTGGAAGACTGAGGGGGGTGGATCACGAGGTCAGGAGATCAAGACCATACTGGCTAACGTGGTGAAACCCCGTCTCTACAAAAAAAATACAAAAAATTAGCCGGGCGTGGTGGTGGGCGCCTCTAGTCTCAGCTACTTGGGAGGCTGAGGCAGGAGAATGGCGTGAACCCAGGAGGCGGGTGAGCGGAGATCGTGCCACTGCATCCAGCCTGGGCCACAGAGCGAGACTCCATCTCAAAAAAAAAAAAAAAAAAAACCCTCAGCAAAATCAGCATAGAAGGGACATACCTTAAGGAAATAAAAGGCATCTATGACAAACCCAGAGCCAACATTATACTGAACGGGGGAAAGTTGAAACCATTCCCGCTGAGAACTGGGACAAGTCAAGGATTCCCACTTTCACCACTTCTATTCAACATAGTACTGGAAGTCCTAACCAGAGCAATCAGACAAGAGAAAGAAATAAAGTGCATCTAAATTGGTCATAAGGAAGTCAAACTGTCGTTGTTTGCTGATGACATGATTGTATACCTAGAAAACCCTAAGGACTCATCCAAAAGTCTCCTAGAATGGGTGAACAAATTCAGCAGTTTCACGATACAAAATTATTGTACAAAATCAGTAGCTCTGCTATACACCAACAGCCACCAAGCTGAGAATCAAATCAAGAACTCAACCCCTTTTACTTTAGCTGTGACAAAAATAAAGTACCTAGGAATATACTTAACCAAGGAGGTGAAAGATCTCTACAAGGAAAACTACAAAACACTGCTGAAAGTAATCACAGATGACACAGACAAATGGAAACACATCCCATGCTCATGAATGGGTTGAATCAATATTGTGAAAATGACCATACTGCCAAAAAAAAACTACAAATTCAATGCAATTTTCATCAAAATACCATCATCATTCTTCACAGAACTAGAAAAAATAATCCTAAAATTCATATGGAACAAAAAAAGACCCTGCATAGCCAAAGTAAGACTAACCAAAAAGAACAAATCTGGAGGCATTACATTACCCAACTTCAAACTATACTATAAGGCTGCAGTCACCAAAACAGCATGGTACTGGTATAAAAATAGGCCTATAGACCAATGGAACAGAATAGAGGACCCAGAAATAAAACCAAGTACTTATAGTCAACCGAACTTCAACAAAGCAAACAAAAACATAAACTGGGGAGAGGACACCGTATTCAACAAATGGTCCTGGGTTAATTGGCAGGCCATATATAGAAGAATGAAACCGGATTCTCTTCTCTCATCCTATACAAAAATCAACTCAAGGTGGATCAAAGACTTAAATCTAAGACATGAAACCATAAAAATTTTAAAAGACAACATAAAAAAATAACCTTCTAGACATTGCCTTAGGCAAAGACTTCATGACCAGGAACCCAAAAGCAAATGCAACAAAAACAAAGATAAATAGATGGGATTTAATTAGACTAAAAGCCTCTGCACAGCAAAGAAACAATCAGCAGGGTAAACAGACAACACACAGAGTGAAAGAAAATCTTTGATCTACACATCCGACAAAGGACTAATATCCAAAATCTACAAAGAATTCAAACAAATCAGAAAGAACAAAACAAACAATCCCATCAAAAAACGCACTAAGGACATGAATAGAAAATTCTCAAAAGAAATATACAAATAGCCAACAAACATATGAAAAAAAATGCCCAACATCACTAATGATCAGGGAAAGGCAAATCAAAACCACAATGCAATAACACCTCACTCCTGCAAGAATGACCATAATCAAAATACCAAAAAAAAAATAGATGTTGGCATGGATGTGACGAAAAGGGAACACTTTTACACTGCTGGTGGGAATGTAAACTAGTACAACAATTACGGAAAACAGTATGGAGAATCCTTAAATAACTAAAAGTAGATCTACTGTTTGATCCATCAATCCCACCATTGGATATCTACCCAGAGGAAAAGAAGTCATTATACAAAGAAGATGCCTGCATATACATGTTAATAACAGCACAATTTGCAATTGCAAAAATATGGAACCAGCCCAAATGCCCATAAATCATCGAAAGGATAAAGAAAATGATGTATATGTATACCGTGGAATACTATTGAGCCATAAAAAGGAATGAAATAATGGCATTCGCAGCAACCTGGATGGAAATGGAGACCATTATTCTAAGTGAAGTAACTCAGGAATGGAAAACCAAACATGGTATGTCCTCACTCATAAATGGTAGCTAAGCTATGAGGATGCAAAGGCATAAGAATGATAAAATGGACTTTGAGGACTCAGGGGAAGAGGGGTAGGGAGGTGAGAGATAAAAGACTACACATTGGGTACTTTGTATGCTGCTCAAGTGATGGGTGCACCAAAATCTCAGAAATCAACACTGAAGAACTTATTCATGTAACCAAACACCACCTGTTCTCCCAAAAACCTATTGAAATAAAAAAAAATAAAAAACAAAACAACCCCACCCCCAAAAAAAGAAATAAAGAAGACATAAATAAGGGCGGAGAAATACTATGTTCAAAGATTGGAATATTCAGTATTGTTGAGGTACCAAGTCTCCCACAACTGACCTGTGGATTAAGTGCAATTCCAATCAAAATCATGGCAGGGCTGAACCTAAAAGTTTAAAAAAATAAAAAATAAAAATAAATCCTGGCAGGTTTTTTTTAAAAAGAAATTACCAAGCTGATTTGTCAATTTATATGGAAATCTGAAGGACTTTGAATATCCACAATAATTTTTAAAAAGAAGAAACTTGGAAAATACACACTACCTGATTACAAGACTTACTATAAAGCTCCAGGAATCAAGGTTGTGTTACTGGCATAAGGATAGCCATGAATCGGTGGAATAGAATAAAGAGTAGATGAATAAAACCACACATATATGTCTCTGAAAAATGCTTTAAGGGGAAAGGATAGTGTTTTCAACAAATGGTGCTGGAAAAAAAAATGACAAGAAATAAGAGGAACACCATATCCAAAAACTCATTTGATATAAATCATAGATATAAACATAAGAGCTAAAGTTGCCAGCCTTCTAAAACAGTGCTACGCAATAGGCTATAATATGAGTCACAAATGTGAGCCACATCGGTAATCTTTAATTTTCTGGTAGCCACATTTTAAAAAGTAAAAAGTAATCAATGAAATTATTTTTAACAATGTTTTATTTAACCCAATACATCCAAAATATAATTTTAGCATGGAATCAGTATAAAAGATTATTGGCATATTTAACATTTTTTTCTCATACTTAGTCTTTCTTGAAATTATTCCTTAGAGCCTCCAGGGCTTAGAAATTCCTTAATTTTACATCCTGCCATGTCAAGATTTCTTCCAGTTCCGGGGATTCTAGGATTTGCAGAAGACATCAGTACCACTTACATTTCCAACTCTGGGTCCCGGAAAGAAAGAGTACAGAGACACAGTCGAGGCTGGCACCCACCTTAGCCTCCTCCTCTCCCAGCCTTCCTCCACACACCAGGCAACTCACCCTGCCGGCAAGCTCGGGGTTTCATGAAGTGCCAGGCACTGGTGGGAAGTGGTCAGGAGATAACACAAACCCTGATCTCCGCAACCAGCCTCAGGAAGTCCTTCTGAAACCTACCCAGCCCCATTCCTGCCGCAGCCTGGGTGCTTTCCCCGGCGGAGCCACACGTCTGCAGAGGGTGATTCTAGAACACCCTTCCTCCCAATAACCCAGGGCTTCCTCCTTCATCTGCTTCAGGACTCAGCTCGCATGGCACCTCTCGGGAAATCTCACTCTCATGATAATAACTTCAAATTGCACCTGGCTCCTTTCATCTTCCGTGCCTTGCTTTTCTCTTAATCATCCTTTATTTTCGGACACCCCTGTAGTTGACTTCAGTGACTTTTTATTGGCCACGTCTTTCAACCGAAGGTAAATTCCTTGAGAGCCATGATTTGTGCCTGTTTGGATTTGACCCAAGCGCCTAGAATAGCGCCTGACGAAAAGTAGATGCTCAACCAACAGTTAGGGGCTGAATAAATCTAGAGACCAGAACCTCTTAAAGTTGAGTCTGGGGCTGACAGGTCGGTATTTTCCCAATATATGATTTTTGAGGTCCACAGGGGAGCGGTGGGGAGAGGCTTACCCAGGGTGGTGAGCGCAGCCTCAGTGGCAGAAATCCCCGTGCGCCCCCTCCTGCCGCAGAGGAAGACAGACCCCTACGGAGCCTCCAGGGCGCAGTCTCCAGGGCGGAGTCCCGGGGCGCTTCGGGCAGGGAGTCTGGGCCAAAGCGCCAAAATCCGCCGCTGTCGCTCAGCTGCAGCACGTTTCGCGCTGGGGAGCCTCTCCTGGTGGGCGACCGTCATGGACAATCGACAAGACCAGAAATTAGATTTGAGTCCAGAATCAAGGACCTTTAAGCAGGGATTGGAGATGGCAGGGGGCCAGGATTAAGGGATATAGACAGCAGGTCCTGTCTGCTTAGGTTGCAAATGGGAAGAAGAGGCCGGATGCCAGGGTCCTGGACTCTCAGGGTTCGGGTGGGGCCAGAATCCTGGACTCTCAAGGCTGGGGAGGGGCCGCCCTCCAGGATCCAATAGGGTATAGGTTCAGATGCCTGGGTCCTGGAGGTCCGGGTAGTGGCGGAGGAACCGCCCTCGGGTTCCCGATGGATTGGGGACAAATGCTCAGCCCAGTCTGATTCCAGAAATCCTTGTAACCCAATATAGTCTCCAGCTCCGATGCCATGTCCTTCCCGGGTCCCAACGTGCTGGGGCTGGAGACTCATCTAGGGGATTCCGGGGAGGAGGGATCTTCCTCTCTGGAAGCAGCAGAACAAATTTCAGGGACTCAGGAGTCCAAGGCCTCATTCCAAAAACACTGAGAGGCTGCGTACTGGGAGCACAGTATGTCTGTGGGGTCCACCCAGACCTGGGAACCAGGTCTTAGGGCCTGCAGACCTCCCTCTGCCTTGAGGTCAGAGTCCACTGCCACTAACTGGGAGGAAACACCTGTCGCGGGACGGGGTCGCCCGCATGTGCACAGAGCCCTGTTCTGCCGAGATCCGAAGGGGAACCTGGGGAGGTCCCAGATGGGGAAGGGACAGGAGAGCTGGGTGTCTCTCCTCAGTCCTTCGGCCACACGGGGCCGCTGCCGCTCTACGCTTGGGTTCTGATGAGCTGCTCTGGAGAGGACGGGGCGGTGGTCTGAGTAAGACACAGATTGTTGATCCAGAAAGGATGTATCAATGAGGTGGGGCTGGGGTTGTCCAGGGGGTGGAAAGGCCTTCTGAGAAGCCCTGGACTGCGCGGGGTTCCGGCTCTGCGGAACAGAGGAGGGCTCTGGAGCTGCCTGTCTCTGAGGTTTCCAACTCCTCCTTGCAAACCCTCCCTCCAGCCTTTTCATGGCAACACTCCAGGAAAATGGAAAGTTGATCATTTTTTTCTTCCACTCCTTAATCCTTTCCTGACTGCTACTTTTAGATAATTTTATTTTAGAAGAGTTTTAAATTTACATAAAAGTTGCAATGGTAGTACAGAGTTGCCATCCGCTCCACAGTCAGTTTCCCCTGATGTTAACATCTCTCATTACTATGGTCCATTTGTCACAGCTAATGAAGCCATTTTCATACCTTATTATTACTAAACTGCAGACTTTATTTGGAGTTCATTAGCGTTCCCCTAATGTCCTTTCTGTGTTTCAGGATTCCATGGAGAATATCACACTACATTTAGTCTCTGTCGTGCCTCCACGGCATCCTCTGGTCTGTGACAATTCCTGAGATTTTCCTAATTTTTGATGCCTTTCACAATATCGGGAAGTACTGACCAGATATATTGTAAAATATCCCTCAAACTGAATTTAGTTGGGGTGTAGATCATGGTTAGACTATGGTTATGGATGTTTAGATGAGGTGAAGTGCTGTTCTCCAAACACATTATCAAGATTATATCAATTTGATGTACCACTGTTGATGTTGAAGTTGACCATCCATATTTTTACTTCCTGTAGCTGCCACAAAAATGCCCTCAAAGTTGGCAACTTACAACAACAGAAAATTATTCTTTCACAGTTCTGGAGGCCCAGGGCATTGGTCAGCGTTCTTTGGCTTGTAGCCCCATTGCTCCAGTCTCTGCCTCCTTCTTCACATTGCCTTCTCCTCTTCTGACTCTCTCTTCTGTGTACCTGTTAGGAAGACACTTTTCATTGGATTTAGGGCCCACCTAGGTCATCCAGGAGGATCTCCTCATTTCAATATCCTCAGCTTAATTACATCTGCAAAGACCCTTTTTTTCCAAACAACTTGAAATTCACAGCTTCTGGGGACTAGGACAGAAACATATCTTTGTGGGGACAACCATTCAACCCACTACATCTGGCTAAGCTAATATTTCCCAGAGTGGCAATCCACCAGTGCACCCCAGGTTACAATCCTCATTCTAATTCCCAAATAAACTCAACATATTTGGACATTTCTTTAATGTCTTTTTTTTTTTAGGTTGAAAAATCTGGTATCAGAAGTGATCCTGAAGAAAGATTACCTTTGGAAGAGACTTATGCTGAGTTCATTGCTTGATTTCTTGCCTCTGTTTCTGAACATCTTTTGAGAGCAAAATTTACTTTCTAAAAAGATGGGTATGTGTCGACCCTTTAAAAGCTGTTTGGGCTATTGTCGCCATTCAATGAGAAACTTCAGTCTCCCCAAAGAGAAATTATCTGTTGTCAGGATAAACTGGTACATGAATAAACAAAATTGCCATTAGGGGTCGCACCAGTCTCAAGAAAAATCTGGAGAAAATGGTCACAGGATGGACAATTAGATCACAGGCTGCCCACTAAGTAAAAACAAAAATCCTATACTAGGCACACTATTAAAAAACAAATCGCTCCAGCCTCTACCATTTCCTCACAGGGATTATGGAATTTTTCTTTTGCTGTCGAGAAATTAATAAGAGGCAGAACAGGATGCCAAAATTCCAAAGCATCCAATATAGGCCGTCTTCTGGGACTCCTGTCAGCTATATGGTCAAAATTTATGGTCGGTGGCTCATGCCTATAATCCCAGCACCTTGGGAGACCAAGGTGGAAGGATCACTTGAGCTCATGAGTTTGAAACCATCCTGGGCAACATAGCAAGAGCTCATCTCTATTTTTAAAAATTAAAATAAATAAGGAAAGAAAAAAAAATTAAGGTCCTCTCCTGTGTACGTTTTGAAATCAATGGGTAGAGTACGCCAAAGTTAATTTGGATCTTCAATGGCCATCCTTGGGGCCTTTTGAGTTCCCCAAACTTGTCTTCCTTAAAACAAAACTAGAAGACCATGGTCCTAAAATTAAACAATGTGAATGGGAGGCTTAGTTTACTTGGTACTTCAAAGTTTCATAATGCATTCGGGATTCAAACATTGCCTCCCTCTAAGATTCTATCACAAAATTAACTGAGACCAGCAAACAGTTAAGGAAGGACAACAAGGCTTTAGGGCCCCAGATTCTTTCCTCTCCAGAGGAGAGATTTCCTGTTCTCTTTCCTCTGTTCTTCTGTATCCACCTTTGGCTGAATTACCTTTCCCTCCAATTCCTCAGCTTCCACTACCCTTGAACCTGGACTGTTAAAACTTATCCCCTTAATGGCCGGGCACCATAGCTCACGCCTGTAATCCCAGCACTTTGGGAGGCTGAGGCAGGCAGATCACGAGGTCAGGAGATCGAGACCATCCTGGCTAACACGATGAAACCCCGTCTTTACTAAAAATACAAAAAATTAGCCGGGCGTGGTGGCAGGTGCCTGTGGTCCCAGCTACTCAGGAGGCTGAGGCAGGAGAATGGCGTCAACCAGGAGGTGGAGGTGGCAGTGAGCCGAGATCACGCCACTGCACTCCAGCCTGGGTGACAGAGCGAGACTCCGTCTCAAAAAAAAAAAAAAAGAAAAGAAAAGAAAAGAAAAAAGAAGAAGATACTTGAACAAGCATATTGATAGCAGCACAATTGGTGATTGCAAAAATATGGAACCAGCCCAAATGCCCATCAATCAATGAATGGATAAAGAAAATGTAATTTTATATATATCTATATCTATATATATCTATATCTATATATAGATATATAGATATATAATGGAATACTACACAGTCATAAAAAGAAAGGAAATAATGGCATTCAAAGCAACCTGGATGGAGCTGGAGACCATTATTCTGAGTGAATTAACTCCGGAATGGAAAACCAAGCATTGTATGTTCTCACTTATAAATGGGAGCTAAGCTATGAGAACACAAAGGCTTAAGAATGATACAATGGACTTTGGGAACTGGCGGGGGAAGGGTGGGAGGGAGCTGAGGGATACAAGACTACACATTGTGTACAGTGTACACTAATCAGGTGCTGGATGCGCCAAAATCTTGGAAATCACCACTAAAGAACTTATCCATGTAAACAAACACCACCTGTTCCCCCAAAACTATTGAAATTTAAAAATGTTTTAAATAAATAAAATTTAAAAGGATTAAAAATGGATTATTTGCTTTCAAAAAAAAAGAAATCACCACTTGCACAGTTTTTATGTAATGTGAAATATGAATATCCACAATTACATGAAAAGCTGTTAAAAATAATCCTCCCAGTCCGGGCATGGTAGCTCACACATGTTGTTCCAGCTACTGGGAAGGCTGAGGTGAGAGAATCCCTTGAGCCCAGGAGTTCTAGGCTGCAGTGAGCTATTATGGTGCCACTGCACTCCAGCCTGGGTGACAGAGCGAGACCCTGTCTCTAAACAACAGCAATAATAATCCTTCCTTCCTGAGTCAGACGGGCATGGAGACGCTTCTGGAAGGAACACCGCAATGGCTGCGCAGGGACAGCCCCAGGTCCAGTTCAAACTTGTATTGGTTGGTGATGGTGGTACTGGAAAAACGACTTTCGTGAAACATCATTTGACTGGTGAATTTGAGAAGAAGTATGTAGCCACCTTGGGTGTTGAGGTTCATCCCCTAGTGTTCCATACCAACAGAGGACCTGTTAAGTTCAATGTATGGGACACAGCCGGCCTGGAGAAATTCAGTGGACTGAGAGATGGCTATTATATCCAAGCCCAGAGTACCATCATAGTGTTTGATGTAACATCGAGAGTTACTTACAAGAATGTGCCTAACTGGCATAGAGATCTGGTATGAGTGTGTGAAAACACCCCCACTGTGTTGAGTGGCAACAAAGTGGATATTAAGGACAGGAAAGTGAAGGCGAAATCCATTGTCTTCCACCGAAAGAAGAATCTTCAGTACTACGACATTTCTGCCAAAAGTAACTATAACTTTGAAAAGCCCTTCCTCTGGCTTGCTAGGAAGCTCATTGGAGACCCTAACTTGGAATTTGTTGCCATGCCTGCTCTCGCCCCACCAGAAGTTGTCATGGACCCAGCTTTGGCAGCACAGTATGAGCACGACTTAGAGGTTGCTCAGACAACTGCTCTCCCGGACGAGGATGATGACCTGTGAGAATGAAGCTGGAGCCCAGCGTCAGAAGTCTAGTTTTATAGGCAGCTGTCCTGTGATGTCAGTTGTGCAGCGTGTGTGCCACCTCATTATTATCTAGCTAAGCGGAACATGTGCTTCATCTGTGGGATGCTGAAGGAGATGAGTGGGCTTCGCAGTGAATGTGGCAGTTCAAAAAATACCTTCATTGTTTGGACCTGCATATTTAGCTGTTTTGGAACACAGTTGATTCCTTGAGTTTCAAATATAGACTGCTACAGTCACATCACAATATTCAGCGGTGAAATCTTGTTTGTTACTGTCATTCCCATTCCTTTTCGTTTAGAATCAGAATAAAGTTGTATTTCAAATATCTAAAAACAAAAAATCCTTCCTTTTTCAACTCAATATTTGTGTAAGGCTAGATTTTTTAACATATACACTTCAATCAAAGTAAGAAAATGGCTGGGATGCAGCTGGAGGCCATAATCCTAAGTGAATTAATGCAGGAACAGAAAACCAAATACTGCATCTTCTCACTTATAATTGGGAGCTAAACACTGAGCACACATAGACATAAACATGTGTATAACAGACACTGTAGACGACTAGAGTGGAGAGGGTGGGGACGTGGGTTGAAAAACTACCTGTGGGTACTATGTTCACTACCTGAGTGACAGGATCCATACCCCAAACCTCAGCATCAGACAACATACCCATGTAACAAACCGGCACATGTAACCCCTGTATCTATTTTTTTCTGGTTTTTTTTTTTTTTTTTTTTGAGACAATTTCACTCTTGTTGCTCAGGCTGGAGCGCAATGGCGTGATCTCGGCTCATCGCAACCTCTGCCTCCCGGGTTCAAGCGATTCTCCTGCCTCAGCCTCCTGAGTAGGTGGGATTACAGGTATGCGCCACCACCTCCAGCTAATTTTGTATTTTTAGTAGACATGGGGTTTCTCCATATTGATAAGGCTGGTCTCGAACTCCCGACTGGGATTACAGGCGTGAGCCACCGCGCCTGGCCACCCCCTGTATCTAAAATAAAAGTTAAAAATTTAAAAATAAGTACATAAGAGAATGTATGCTATGAGCCAAGAATGATGCTTGCAAAATTTTGCAAGAACAACACTTATGAAAATGAAAAATAATCACTCTTCTTGTTACCAAAAATCTTGGTAGCTGCAGAAGGTGGGATCTTTCCTCACTGGGAGTCGCAGAGCCAATACATGAAACCAAAAGTGAGCCTTAAGCAGAGCAAGCTTTATTTCCTGCACAGGACTTGTAAAGAGGAGAGCAGCTCTGCCAAGTCAACTTCTCCACTAGTGAGGCGGCTAGTGAGGGGTGAGGGGGCTAAAATGTAGGATTGCTCTAATGAAGGGGTTGGGCATTAAAAGTGAGGGGGAGGAATATTCATATGTTTTATGGGAACAGGCAGTGAACTTCTCCAAACTGGTAATACCGCTTTCCTTTTGGTCCTTTTAGGACTTCTTCTACTCATCGTCATGGAGATCGTCAACTGTCATGGCATGGATGGGAGCGCAATTTAGCCTGGAAACGGGATTACAATGAAGCGTGAGGTCTTTTTGAAGTCATTTGGCCGGCTCTCTTGGTTGTAACGAGTCTCAGCTGGTTTGACTACAAAGGCAACTTCTTGAAGCAGATCCTGTTTTTTTGTTTTTGTTTTTGTTTTTTGTTTCTTGTTTTTTCCCCCTAGACATCTCACTCTGTCGCCCAGGCTGGAGTGCAGTGGTGTGATCTCGGCTCACTGCAACCACCACCTCTCGGGTTCAAGCAATTCTCCTATCTCAGCCTCCAGAGTTGCTGGAATTACAGGCGCGCACCACCACACCCGGCTAATTTTTGTATTGTTAGTAGAGACAGGGTTTCATCATGTTGGCCAGGTTAGTCTTGAACTCCTGACCTCGTGATCTGCCTGCCTCGGCCTACCAAAATGCTGCGATTACAGGCGTGAGCCACCGTTCCCGGCCTATACGTTGTTTATTTTGGAAAAATTAAAAATTAAGTTTTTTTTCATTAAAGATATGTTATTTCCGATCAAGAGATCAAGACCATCCTGGCCAACATGGTGAAACCCCGTCTCTACTAAAAACACAAAAATTAGCTGGGTGTGGTGGCACACGCCTGTAGTTCCAGTTACTGGGGAGGCTGAGGCAGGAGAATCGCTTGAACCCGGGAGAAGGAGGTTGCAGTGAGCCGAGATCATGCCACTGCACTCCAGCCTGGGGACAGAGCAAGACTCTGACTCAAAAAAAAAAAAAAGTTGTTTCTATTAACATGTAATGGGTTATTAATATTCTCTTAAATGAATTAATATTTTTAATATTTTGTTTTAATATCTTTTAATTTATATATGATAAAAATTGATACAATCCACAGAAACAAAATTTATTTGGGTCCTCACTAATTTCTTTTTTCTTGTTGCCCAGGCTGGAGGGCAATGGCACGATCTTGGCTCACCGCAACCTCCTCCTCCTGGGTTCAAGTGATTCTCCTGCCTCAGCCTCCCAAGTAGCCAGGATTACAGCCATGCGCCACCACGCCGGCTAATTTTTTGGACTTTTAGTAGAGACAGGGTTTCTCCATATTGGTCGGGCTGGTCTCGAACTCCCAACCTCAGGTGATCAGCCCGCCTTGGCCTCCCAAAGTGCTGAGATTACAGGCGTGAGCCACCGCGCCCAGCCAGGACTAATTTCTAAGAGTGTGCAGAGATACCGAAACCTAAAAGTTTAAGAACTGCTGATTGCTGGGAAACTCTGCAGTTTCCCGTTCCTCTCGTAACCTGGTCATGTGTCCTTCTTCCTGGATACTCATGACGCAGACTCAGTTCTCATTCCCAATGGGTGTCGGGTTTCTAGAGAAGCCAATCAGCGTCGCCACGACTCCCGACTATAAAGTCCCCATCCGGACTCAAGAAGTTCTCAGGACTCAGAGGCTGGGATCATGGTAGATGGAACCCTCCTTTTACTCCTCTCGGAGGCCCTGGCCCTTACCCAGACCTGGGCGGGTGAGTGCGGGGTCGGGATGGAAACGGCCTCTACCGGGAGTAGAGAGGGGCCGGCCCGGCGGGGGCGAAGGACTCGGGGAGCCGCGCCGGGAGGAGGGTCGGGCCGATCTCAGCCCCTCCTCGCCCCCAGGCTCCCACTCCTTGAAGTATTTCCACACTTCCGTGTCCCGGCCCGGCCGCGGGGAGCCCCGCTTCATCTCTGTGGGCTACGTGGACGACACCCAGTTCGTGCGCTTCGACAACGACGCCGCGAGTCCGAGGATGGTGCCGCGGGCGCCGTGGATGGAGCAGGAGGGGTCAGAGTATTGGGACCGGGAGACACGGAGCGCCAGGGACACCGCACAGATTTTCCGAGTGAATCTGCGGACGCTGCGCGGCTACTACAATCAGAGCGAGGCCGGTGAGTGACCCCGGCCAGGGGAGCAGGTCACGACCCCTCCCCATCCCCCACGGACGGCGCGGGTCCCCTCGAATCTTCGGGTCCCAGATTCACCCCAAGGCTGCGGAACCCGCCCAGACCCTAGACCGGGGAGAGTCTCAGGCGCCTTTACCCGGTTCTTTTTCAGTTTAGGCCAAAATGCCCACAGGGTGGTGGCGACGGGGGCGGGGCTTGGTGGGCGGGACTGACTAAGGGGCGGGGCCAGGGTCTCACACCCTGCAGTGGATGCATGGCTGCGAGCTGGGGCCCGACGGGCGCTTCCTCCGCGGGTATGAACAGTTCGCCTACGACGGCAAGGATTATCTCACCCTGAATGAGGACCTGCGCTCCTGGACCGCGGTGGACACGGCGGCTCAGATCTCCGAGCAAAAGTCAAATGATGCCTCTGAGGCGGAGCACCAGAGAGCCTACCTGGAAGACACATGCGTGGAGTGGCTCCACAAATACCTGGAGAAGGGGAAGGAGACGCTGCTTCACCTGGGTAAGAGGGTCCACAGGGCTACTCTCCCATCTCCTTCTTGGGCTAGGACTGTGCCCACAGCTGACAGACCTCAAACAGTAGAAGAAACAGGGATGGAGGCCAGAATACCACTCCTCCCTTGGATCAGGAGAGGGAGCTGTCACCTGAGGTACAGGAGATCCTATACCACAGAGTGACTCTCTTAAAGGGCCAGACCTCTCTCAGGGGCAATTAAGGAATCTAGTCTCGCTGGAGATTCCATCCTTCAGATGAACTGATGAGCAGTTCTCTTTGACTCCCAGTATTAGGAATCACGGGGGAGTTTCTCTCGTGCCTGATTCTCAGCCCCACACCAAGAGTTTTTGGAGGTCTGACTCCAGCTTTTCTCAGTCACTCAGCATCCACACAGGCCAGGACCAGAAATCCCTTTTCACCTTCTACCCTGGGCTAGCTCATCCCGATTCTAGAACTTTCCAAGGAATAAGAGGCTATCCCAGATCCCTAAGTCCAGGCTGGTGTCAAGGTTTTGTCCTCTTCTCCTACTATAATTGTCCTCTTCCTTCTCAGGATGGTCACATGGGTGCTGCTGGAGTGTCCCATGAGAGATACAAAGTGCCTGAATTTTCTGACTCTTCCCCTCAGAGCCCCCAAAGACACACGTGACTCACCACCCCATCTCTGACCATGAGGCCACCCTGAGGTGCTGGGCCCTGGGCTTCTACCCTGCGGAGATCACACTGACCTGGCAGCAGGATGGGGAGGGCCATACCCAGGACACGGAGCTCGTGGAGACCAGGCCTGCAGGGGATGGAACCTTCCAGAAGTGGGCAGCTGTGGTGGTGCCTTCTGGAGAGGAGCAGAGATACACGTGCCATGTGCAGCATGAGGGGCTACCCGAGCCCGTCACCCTGAGATGGAGTAAGGAGGGGGATGGGAGGTCATGTCTCTTCTCAGGGAAAGCGGGAGCCCTTCTGGAGCCCTTCCGCAGGGTCAGGGCTGAGGCCTGGGGGTCAGGGCCCCTTACGTTCCCCTCTTTTCCCAGAGCCGGCTTCCCAGCCCACCATCCCCATCGTGGGCATCATTGCTGGCCTGGTTCTCCTTGGATCTGTGGTCTCTGGAGCTGTGGTTGCTGCTGTGATATGGAGGAAGAAGAGCTCAGGTGGGGAAGGGAGAAGGGTGGGGTCTGAGTTTTCTTGTCCCACTGGGTGTTTCAAGCCCTAGGTAAAAGTGTGTCCTGCCTCGTTACTGGGAAGCACCATCCACACACACGAGCCTACCCAGCCTGGGGCCCTGTGTGCCAGCACCTACTCTTTTTTTTTGAGACGGAGTCTTGGCTCTGTCACCCAGGCTGGAGTGCAATGGCGTGGTTTCAGCTCACTGCAACCTCCGCCTCCCAGGTTCAAGCAATTCTCCTGCCTCAGCCTCCCTAGTAGCTGGGACTACACATGCGTGCCACCACACCTGGCTAATTTTTTTTTTTGTATTTTTAGTGGAGATGGGGTTTCACTATGTTGGCCAGGCTGGTCTCGAACTCCTGACTTTGTGATCTGCCTGCCTCGGCCTCCCAAAGTGCTGGGATTACAGTCGTGAGCCACCGCACCCAGCCGCACCTACTCTTTTGTAAAGCACCTGTGACAATGAAGGACAGATTTATCACCTTGACGATTGTGGTGATGGGGACCTGATCCCAGCAGTCACAGGTCACAGGGGAAGGTCCCTGCTGAAGACAGACCTCAGAAGGGCAGTTGATCCAGGACCCACACCTGCTTTCTTCACGTTTCCTGATCCTGCCCTGGGTCTGCAGTCACAGTTCAGGAAACTTCTCTGGGATCCAAAACTAGGAGGTTCCTCTAGGACCTTATGGCCCTGCCTCCTCCCTGGCCCCTCACAGGACATTTTCTTCCAACAGGTGGAAAAGGAGGGAGCTACTCTAAGGCTGAGTGTAAGTGCGGGGCGGGAGCGTGGAGGAGCTCGCCCACCCTATAATTCCTCCTGCACCACATCTCCTGTGGGCTCTGACCAGGTCTTGTTTTTGTTCTACCCCAGGGAGCGACAGTGCCCAGGGGTCTGAGTCTCACAGCTTGTAAAGGTGAGATTCTGGGGGTCTGAAGTGGGTGGAGGGTGGGGCAGAGGGGACAGGACTGGGTTGTGGGGATTTTTTGATTCAGAATTTTTGAGTGTGTGGTGGGCTGTTCAGAGTGTCATCACTTACCGTGACTGACCTGAATTTGTTCATGACTATTTTCTTCTGTAGCCTGAGACAGCTGCCTTGTGTGCGACTGAGATGCACAGCTGCCTTGTGTGCGACTGAGATGCAGGATTTCCTCACGCCTCCCCTATGTGTCTTAGGGGACTCTGGCTTCTCTTTTTGCAAGGGCCTCTGAATCTGTCTGTGTCCCTGTTAGCACAATGTGAGGAGGTAGAGAAACAGTCCACCTCTGTGTCTACCATGACCCCCTTCCTCACACTGACCTGTGTTCCTTCCCTGTTCTCTTTTCTATTAAAAATAAGAACCTGGGCAGAGTGCGGCAGCTCATGCCTGTAATCCCAGCACTTAGGGAGGCCGAGGAGGGCAGATCACGAGGTCAGGAGATCGAAACCATCCTGGCTAACACGGTGAAACCCCGTCTCTACTAAAAAATACAAAAAATTAGCTGGGCGCAGAGGCACGGGCCTGTAGTCCCAGCTACTCAGGAGGCGGAGGCAGGAGAATGGCGTCAACCCGGGAGGCGGAGGTTGCAGTGAGCCAGGATTGTGCGACTGCACTCCAGCCTGGGTGACAGGGTGAAACGCCATCTCAAAAAATAAAAATTGAAAAATAAAAAAAGAACCTGGATCTCAATTTAATTTTTCATATTCTTGCAATGAAATGGACTTGAGGAAGCTAAGATCATAGCTAGAAATACAGATAATTCCACAGCACATCTCTAGCAAATTTAGCCTATTCCTATTCTCTAGCCTATTCCTTACCACCTGTAATCTTGACCATATACCTTGGAGTTGAATATTGTTTTCATACTGCTGTGGTTTGAATGTTCCCTCCAACACTCATGTTGAGACTTAATCCCTAATGTGGCAATACTGAAAGGTGGGGCCTTTGAGATGTGATTGGATCGTAAGGCTGTGCCTTCATTCATGGGTTAATGGATTAATGGGTTATCACAGGAATGGGACTGGTGGCTTTATAAGAAGAGGAAAAGAGAACTGAGCTAGCATGCCCAGCCCACAGAGAGCCTCCACTAGAGTGATGCTAAGTGGAAATGTGAGGTGCAGCTGCCACAGAGGGCCCCCACCAGGGAAATGTCTAGTGTCTAGTGGATCCAGGCCACAGGAGAGAGTGCCTTGTGGAGCGCTGGGAGCAGGACCTGACCACCACCAGGACCCCAGAACTGTGGAGTCAGTGGCAGCATGCAGCGCCCCCTTGGGAAAGCTTTAGGCACCAGCCTGCAACCCATTCGAGCAGCCACGTAGGCTGCACCCAGCAAAGCCACAGGCACGGGGCTACCTGAGGCCTTGGGGGCCCAATCCCTGCTCCAGTGTGTCCGTGAGGCAGCACACGAAGTCAAAAGAGATTATTCTCTTCCCACAGATACCTTTTCTCTCCCATGACCCTTTAACAGCATCTGCTTCATTCCCCTCACCTTCCCAGGCTGATCTGAGGTAAACTTTGAAGTAAAATAAAAGCTGTGTTTGAGCATCATTTGTATTTCATTTGTGCGTTTTGTGCCTTGTTGTTTTAATTTTTTAACCACATTCAAGCTATCCTTTGGCTTCCAATGCCATGGTCCACCCAGAACTGCATTCACTGGCCCATGTTCTAGTTCTGGTCATGCCGACTTTCCCGTTTTCCTGGTGAATCCCTGTAATCACCTGAGTCTCATTCTGTCAGGTGATATCCAGTAAGAAGGCAACATGTGCGGTGAGAAAGCCCAGGGAGTCCTGGGTGTGAATTTTTACTTTGCCATTTCTTCCTGTGTGACACGCGGTGGGGCTTCACCTGTCTGAGCTCCAGTTCCTCATCTTGTACGTGGCACTGTTTTCTTGGGAGAGTCATTATAAAGCTAATATAAAGTACCTGTACTGTGGTTTGAATGTGTCCTCCAAAAAGCATGTGTTGGAAACTGAATCCACAATGCAACCATATCGGGAAGTGAATCCTAATGGCTGGCTGGCCATGGAGGTTCCAACTTTATGAATGGATTAATACTGATTATAAAAGGGCTTGAGGTTGAGGCAAGTTCAACCTCTTGCCCTCACTCACCCACTTGCCTTTACCAAGAGATGATACAGCAAAAAGACTCACCAAATGCCGGGATCTTGATATTAGACTTCTTATCCTCCAGAACCATGAAATAGGCTGCTTTGCTTTATAAATTACTCAGTCTGCGTATTATATTACAGCAACACAAGATGGGCAACCTGATACTTAGGTTTCAGTTAGTGGTAGATATTTTTATTTCAAGCATTCCTACTGGAGTATTAGTTTCTTCATAAGCCCAGAATCTTTGCATTTTAGCAACAACAAATAAGTCTTTTTTTTTTTTTTTTTTGAGACTGAGTTTCACTCTTGTCACCCAGGCTAGAGTGCAATGGCATGACCTTGGCTCACTGCAAACTTGGCCTCCCAGGTTTAAGTGATTCTCCTGCTTCAGCCTCCCAAGTAGCTGGGATTACAGGCGCCTGCTACCACGCCCAGCTAATTTTTGTATTTTTAGTAGAGACAGAGTTTCATCATGTTGGCCAGCTGGTCTCGAACTCCTGATCTCAGGTGATCCACCCACCTTGGCCTCCCAAAGTGCTGGGATTATAGGCATGAGCCACCACGTTCCACCAGAAGTCTTAATTAATGCAAAGAAAATCAATCTATAGATTTGATGGAAATTTGGACTCCTATATCCTACTTTTTATCCCACTCCTATATACTACTCATAAGGAGTATAGAACTATTTTCCTTCTCTACTTGGTCTGCCCATTTCTACTTCCTGCCATATCGGCAGGCTATGTTTGCCTCACCTCAAAGATCTGCCTTCCTCAGTTTTAGATCTTAAATCTTTTTAAGCCAGACTCCAAGGGATCTTTAACAAATATTTATCGAACCCTTCCTGTGTTCAAAGAATGTTGTGAGGTCCAGGGTGGGACTAGGGGGCGAGAAAGGTTCCTGCGCTGAAGGAATCTAAGATTTAGTAACAATGAATAAACAGACTTGAAGATAACTATTGTGGTTAGCGCTGAAAGAAACGTACAAAATGCCAAAAGTCAAGGAGGAAACTATGTTTTCTAGGACAGTGGTTCCCAACATTTTTGGCATCAGGGACCGGTTTCATGGAAGACAATTTTTCGGAGGGGTGGTTTTGGGATGATTCAAGCGCGTTACCTGTATTGTGGACTTTATTTCTATTATTACATTATAATACATAATGAAATAATTATACAACTCACCATAATGTAGAGTCAGTAGGAGCCCTGAGCTTGTTTTCCTGCAACTAGACAGTCCCATCTGAGGGTGATGGGAGACACTGACAGGTCATCAGGCATTAGATTCTCATAGGAGCGAGCAACCTAGATCCCTCGCATGCACAGTTCACAATAAGATTCACACTCCTATGAGAATCTAACCCCACTGCTGATCTGACAGGAGGCAGAGCTCAGGCGCTAATGCTTGGTCACCTGCCACTCACCTCCTACTGTGCAGCCCAGTTCCTAACAGGCCATGGACCGGTACCAGTCCATGGCCCAGGGCTTGGGAACCCCTGTTTTAGGAGACTTAGGTTTTTCTAAAGGAAAAAATGTTTGAGTTATGCTTTGAAAAATGTAAGACACCACTGTAGATGTTTTAATCAGGGAATTGGGTTATTACCAAAAAAAAAATGTTGGAAGATGAAAGAGCAGGTTCTTTATGCCTCCTGGCTTGACCCTGGAACAATTTAGAACCAGCCCAGTGAGGCATGTACTCCCCATGAGGCCACACAAGAGCTGTGCTTTCTTAGATCTGGATCCCACTACCACATAGGGGTTCCTGGGCACCTGGACACCAGGGAAGAGGGGTCAACCAGGTCCCACTCCTCTGGCATGACACTCAGTGATTCAGTCAAGATACTGTTGGGAAAACAGCCCATGCCATGGGACTTCCCCATGGTCGGAAAAGTCTTGAATAGCTAAAAGCAAAACAGGATAGTTAGGCTGCATTATGTAGATAATGGTGACTCATGGGCAGGCCCTGCCTCCTTGGGCCATTGTATGTGAACAGATCTTTGTGTGATTATGGGATAATTCTGGGTTCTTTTCTCCATGTGCCTGTTCTTAATTGGCCCAGGAGAGGGAACCCAAGGGAAGGAGGAACCCGAGTGATCTTGTCCTCTTTTGACATCTCATTTCTAGCCACAAGGTTATGAATCATAGATCTCCAGAAGTCAGTGGTCCTAGAGGAAAAAAGCATCTGCCATAGCAGCAGAATGACAGGGAGACAGCTATTCCTATTACTAGAGTTTTAACAGCCCCTCTCAGCCAGCTAGCCCAGACTAGGATCTTAACGGGGGCTGGGACTTACTTCCATATATTGTAAATGATGTAACCTTGTCTTCATGATGACCTTAAATATATCTTGATGAACAGTATAAGAAAGCAAATGAAGCCTGGGCGCGGTGGCTCACGCCTGTAATCCCAGCACTTTGGGAGGCTGAGG
This sequence comes from Homo sapiens, assembly GCF_000001405.40. Lineage (NCBI taxonomy): Eukaryota > Metazoa > Chordata > Mammalia > Primates > Hominidae > Homo > Homo sapiens. The sequence goes on from NC_000006.12 coordinate 30,497,177, forward strand.
CGGGTTGATCACCTGAGGTTGGGAGTTCAAGACCAGCCTGACCAACACGGAGAAACCCTGTCTCTACTAAAAATAAAAAATTAGCTGGGCGTGGTGGCGCATGCCTGTAATCCTAGCTACTCAGGAGGCTGAGGCAGGAGAATCGCTTGAACCCAGGAGGCTGAGGTTGTGCAGTGAGCCAAGATCACACCATTGCACTCCAGCCTGAGCAAGAAGAGTGAAACTGCGCTTCGAAAAGAAAGAAAGAGAGAGAGGGAGGGAGGGAGGAAGGAAGGAAGGAGAGAGAAAGAAAGAAAGAGAGAGAGAAAGAAAGAAAGGAAAGAAGGAAAGAAGGAAAGAAAGGAAGAAAGGAAGAAAGAAAGAAAGGCAAATGATCACTTAGAGGATTTTGTTTGGTAGTTAAAACCATTTTGAAACAGAGGGAGGGAAGAAATCACCTATGCTTCCTCAGTGGTAAAGAGACTGGGAACCACCACGCCAGAGTTAGAAAATATGAGGCAACAGAAGGGCTGTTATATGTAGTGAAAATTTCCAAACCCGGTCCCCTGGAGGGAATACTTGGTGACTGGGCCTTAGAGGAAAGAGATGCTTGTCCAGCCCATTGCCTGTGTGTCCAGGAGAGACTGTGCCCACCTTGAGAGACTGAGAGAAGACCCTAGTGAGGAGAAGCCCCCAGGCCAGCCGTCAGCACAGGGCATTGGAGGTCCCCAACCAGCTCCAAGTCCTGAACAGAGCACAGCCTCCAGAGGTTTGTACTGTTCATACCCAGCAGAGGCTGTGTGCCAGCCCTCCCCATGCAAATCAGCGTCCCTGCAGGGTATGTAAAGGACCTCTACCTATGCTTTCTATGGGGGAACAAATATCCCATGGGACACTGAAAGACTATGGAACATTGTAGAACATGTATTTACCAAACTGTGTCCAACTCAGAGCCTAAATTGTTTATTGGTGCTGTTTCAACCAGTACACGTGATTCTTTTTTTTTTTTTTTTTTTTAGTATTTATTGATCATTCTTGAGTGTTTATCGGAGAGGGGGATTTAGCAGGGTCATAGGACAATAGTGGAGGGAAGGTCAGCAGATAAACATGTGAACAAAGGTCTCTGGTTTTCCTAGGCAGAGGACCCTGCGGCCTTCTGCAGTGTTTGTGTCCCTGGGTACTTGAGATTAGGGAGCGGTGATGACTCTTAATGAGGATGCTGCCTTCAAGCATCTGTTTAACAAAGCACATCTTGCACCGCCCTTAATCCATTTAACCCTGAGTGGACACAGCACATGTTTCAGAGAGCACGGGGTTGGGGGTAAGGCTATAGATCAACAGCATCCCAAGGCAGAAGAACCTCTCCCAGTACAGAACAAAATGGAGTCTCCCATGTCCACCTCTTTCCACACAGACACAGTAACAATCTGATCTCTCTTTCTTTTCCCCACATTTCCCCCTTTTCTATTCGACAAAACCGCCATCGTCATCATGGCCCGTTCTCAATGAGCTGTTGGGTACACCTCCCAGACGGGGTGACGGCCGGGCAGAGGGGCTCCTCACTTCCCAGACGGGCCGGGCAGAGGCGCCCCCCACCTCCCGAACGGGGCGGCTGGCAGGGCGGGGGCTGCCCCCCACCTCCTGGACGGGGCGGCTGCCGGGCGGAGACGCTCCTCACTTCCCAGACGGGGCGGCTGCCGGGCGGAGGGGCTCCTCACTTCTCAGACAGGGCGGCCCGGCAGAGACGCCCCTCACCTCCCAGACGGGGTGGCGGTCGGGCAGAGACACTCCTCAGTTCCCAGACGGGGTCGCCGCCGGACAGAGGCGCTCCGCACATCCCAGACGGGGCGGCGGGGCAGAGGCGCTCCCCACATCTCAGACGATGGGCGGCCGGGCAGATACGCTCCTCACTTCCTAGATGGGGTGGTGGCCGGGCAGAGGCTGCAGTCTCGGCACTTTGGGAGGCCAAGGCAGGCGGCTGGGAGGTGGAGGCTGTAGCGAGCCGAGATCACGCCACTGCACTCCAGCCTGGGCAAGATTGAGCACTGAGTGAGCGAGACTCCGTCTGCAATCCCGGCACCTCGGGAGGCCGAGGTGGGCAGATCACTCGCGGTCAGGAGCTGGAGACCAGCCCGGCCAACACGGGGAAACCCCATCTCCACCAAAAAATACAAAAACAAAAAAAACCAAAAAAAAAACCAAGTGATTCTTTCTGCAGAGGACATCTTGGCTCTTGGCACTCCACCACAGACTTGGTATGAGATCCTGGCTGAGCACTTTTTTTTTTTTTTTTTTTTTTTTTTTTTTTTTTGAGACAGAGTTTCGCTCTTGTTTCCCAGGCTGGAGTGCAGTGGCATGATCTTGGCTCACTGCAACCTCCGCCTCCTGGATTCAAGCGATTCTCCTGCCTCAGCCTACGGAGTAGCTGGGATTACAGGCATGTGCCATCACGCCCCGGCTGATTTTGTACCTTTAGTAAAGACGGGGTTTCTCCATGTTGGTCAGGCTGGTCTCGAACTCCCGACCTCAGGTGATCCACACACCTTGGCCTCCCAAAGTGCTGGGATTACAGGCGTGAGCCAACGCACCCAGCCTGGCTGAGCACTTTCAAGTCTCATTCCTAACATCTGTCAGTTAAGCTGGGATAACAATTATCTGACTGACTGCACGGAATTCTGAATGAATTGAATTGGATAATACATGTAAATCCTTGTGGTGGGAATTTGGGTGCCATTTTCTTTGCATTATGAAAATCCAGGTCAACTCTTCTTTCTTCTCCCAATTGTTTTTATTGCACATCTATAAAAACAAGAAAAGAATTTTCTTGCTTTTCTTTTTTTTGAGACACAGTCTCGCACTGTCGCCCAGGCTGGAGTGCAATGGCACAACCTCTGCTCACTGCAAACTCTGCCTCCTGGGTTCATGCCATTCTCCTGCCTCAGCCTCCTGAGTAGCTGGGATTACAGGTGCATGCCACCACGCCCAGAAAATTTTTTGTATTTTTAGTAGAGACGAGGTTTCACCGTGTTAGCCAGGATGGTCTCAATCTCCTGTCCTCATGATCTGCCCACCTCCGGCTCCCAAAGTGCTGGGATTACAGTCATGAGCCACCGCGCCTGGCCAAGAATTTTCTAATAAACAAGAAAAACCTCACCTGTAATCCCACTACTTGGTACAATAATCATACTTATTTTTCTTTATTTCCTTCCAGTGTGAGCAAGGACAATTTAGCTTTGGGAACCCACAAAGAAACCATTTCAATTAAAAGCACAGGAAGCCCCACCAGTCCCATGAGGTTTTTGCCACCCCTAAGTAGTTCCATATGAGAAATTAAGAGTAGCGATGCTTGCTTTGAGGAATTGGAGGGAAAACTAAAATGAAAGTTGAATTTGGATAAGAGAAAAATCAAGGGCACTCACTCTTCCCAACCCCAGCCTGTCTGACTCTCTCCCCATCATCCTCCTCACTACTTTCAGGCAGGGTGGAGATAGCACCAGGGGGAGATTCTGGGAGACAGGGCACTACTGCAAGAACAGCAGGACAGCCCCACTGGTGGCTGTGGGATGCTCCGTGGCCCTGCCTACTGCTGTTCTGGAGGATGCACCGCCTCGCTTTCCTTTCTGGTGTTAGAGCCAGGTGACTCTGTCCAAAGAGTAGGTTCTTTTTCCCCACAGAGGCAAACAGGAAACGTTTCCTTTCCTAACTAGCTCTGCCTAGTGCCTGGAATCTTACTGAGTCAGTCCCGCAGTAAGTCAGCAGCTCAGGAAATCTACCCTCTCTGAGCCTCCCTGCAGTTCAAGCTGCTTAGGGAACTTGATATTTTCAAGACATCTGTCTACACATGGGCAGCCCAGCCGCCGAGTTAGTGGTGGCAACCAAAGCGAACAGAGGACTTGGCTTCCTGAAAACAGAGGCAAAGAAGTATAGCTATCCAACCTTCTGAGTCTTGTCTCTATATGGAGATGCCCATATGGACAAATAGGGTCTGGACAAGGGGAAGGGTTAACATGAGAAAGTCACATGATTTCTGCTATGCTATTCCTCTGTGCGCTTACCCTTTCTGTTTCTAAATATTTCAGCTAAAAGACAATAAATACTGCAACCCTTACATTCCTTCAGCCCTGCTTTCACTTGTCCTGGGTGTCCTGACTGTCATCTTCATTCATTTATATCAAACACCATTCAATCAATACTTACTACAAGCAAACTATATGTGAGATCAAGAGTACTATTCAAAATAGTTGACAGCTGGTATGGCAATGGAAATTAATATATAAATAAAATTTTCCCAATTATGCTATTTTTCTGTCCTAACTAAATGATTATAAAACTACTTACCAAGTGACACAGTTGAAATATAAATAATTTCTTAAATAGTTATAACAATTTCCAAATTATTTATTGATTTTTAAACATTTTTTGCATTTCTTAGGTGGTAATTATTGGTTAAGTGATATATGCCTATGTTAGCCATGATTTGACAAAAGAGCCTTGTATAAGCTTCTGATAATTTCCCCATTAAATTGTTTGTATATTATGACGTATGTAATCAACTATATTGTTCATGGTGCCAAATCCTCTCTCACTTTAGCAGCTATGTTAAAGATTTTTTAGCCCTTGAACTGCTGTCTGAAATTCTTTTTCTTTCTTTTTTTTTTTTCTTTTTTTGAGACAGTCTCACTCTGTCGCCCAGGCTGGAGTGCAGTGGTGCGATCTTGGCTCACTGCAACCTCCACCTCCCCGGTTCAAGCAATTCTCCTGTCTCAGCCTCCCGAGTAGCTGGGATTGCAGGCACATGCCACCACGCCCAGCTACTTTTTGTATTTTTAGTAAAGAGGGGGTTTCACCACGTAGGCCAAGCTGGTCTCAAACTCCTGACCTCAAATGATCCACCTGCCTCGGCCTCCCAAAGTGCTGGGATTACAGGCATGAGCCACCACGCCTGGCCTAGAAATTCTTTTTTTTTTTTTTGAGACGGAGTCTCCTGTCGCCCAGGCTGGAGTGCGGTGGCGCGATCTCAGCTCACTGCAAGCTCCTCCTCCCGGGTTCACGCCATTCTCCTGCCTCAGCCTCCTGAGTAGCTGGGACTACAGGCGCCTGCCACCATGCCTGGCTCATTTTTTGTATTTTTAGTAGAGACGGGGTTTCACCATGTTAGCCAGGATGGTCTCGATCTCCTAACCTTGTGATCTGCCCGCCTCGGCCTCCCAAAGTGCTGGGATTACAGGCATGAGCCACCGCGCCCGGCCTAGAAATTCTTATTATTTAATATCTCCGTTCACTCCACCACAAAAATCAATTAATAAAAGCCATCTTTAATAAGTAGGCTTAATTGTATTGATTAAATTAAAAATTGTCTTGATTTAATTGGTTACATCTATGAAGCTTTGTAAACATCCTTCATGGTTGACTTAATTTAAAAATTTTAAGTTCTTAATATATTTTACTTTTGTCATCAAACTACAATTGCAATCACATAAATTATTAGATAATCTAATTGACTTTTTCTCTTGAAGTTGACATTTTTCTTTCAAATGGTATATCATATTTTTAAACAATACTATCTACTTTTTCCCCTTTGCTTTATGTATTTAATTTTATATATTAACTGATTCTTATTTTTCTACAATTAATCCAGCTTCTGTAATTTTTAATATTTCCTCTGGAAAGGATAAAGATAACATTGACATCTCTGTTAATATATAAGTTATTAACGTCAAATTTCTGGGAAAAAAAGTTTATGTCCTAAACACTTACTACTCCCATTTCACAACTTCTATTAAAGTGAATATAAAAGGTTTGGTACAATTCCCTAATGCTCTTGGCATCCCACTATTACAGAGTGCCCAAATATGCTTTCTAGTTTCATGACTTCAATTCCAGTATCTTTAGAAATATTTTTAATTTTCCCAAATGCTTATTTCATATGTAGTTGTGAATATAAAGTTTAGTGAGGCAAATATTTGAAGTAATTTTTCATTTAAACATTTTACTGCATCATCCTGACATCACTGAATACAGTAACTTATATAGTACCAATTTAAAATATAAAGAGACTTTTTTTTTTTTTTTTTTTGAGACAGATTGTCGCTCTGTCACCAGGCTGGAGTGCAGTGGCATAATCTCTGCTCACTGCAAACTCTGCCTCCCAGGTTCAAGCGATTCTCCTGCCTCAGCCTCCCAAGCAGCTAGGACTATAGGTGCATGCCACCACGCCCAGCTAATTTTTGTATTTTTTTGTAGAGACAGGGTTTCACCATGTTGGCCAGGATGGTCTCAATCTCTTGACCTCGTGATCTGCCTGCCTTGGCCTCCCAAAGTGCTGGGATTACAGGCATGAGCCATTGTGCCTGGCCATATAGAGACTTCTCTAAAACTTTGGCTTCTCTGAACTTTCTCTGTGACATATACTAGAACCATCTGTAGCATTGTGTAACCATTTCACATCAAAACCACTTTTCTTGAGCACTGATGAGTAAGTAAGCTTGATACATCATTTCAGTTCCTCAGATGAGCAAAAATCATTAGTTTTATATCATCAGTTTTATAAGTCTGAAATTTAGTATTTAAGTCACTAATAAAAACACATTTTTGTGGCCGGGCGTGGTGGCTCACACCTGTAATCCCAGCACTTTGAGAGGCCAAGGTGTGCGGATCACGAGGTCAGGAGATCAAGACCATCCTGGCTAACACAGTGAAACCCCGTCTCTACTAAAAATACAAAAAATTAGCCGGGCATGGTGGCAGGCGCCTGTAGTCCCAGCTGCTCGGGAGGCTGAGGCAGGAGAATGGTGTGAACCTGGGAGGTGGAGCTTGCAGTGAACCGAGATCGCGCCACTGCACTCCAGCCTAGGTGACAGAGTGAGACTCCGTCTCAAAAAAAAAAAATTTTTTTTTGTTACATAATTGAAGCTTTCTTGGTGATGATTGATTGCCTAGATTTATAAATTTACTAAAAAGTTGTCTCATCATGGTAGATATACGTTTTGTGACCATTGTAACCATTAATGTAGACTGCAATGATATGCACTATTTACAACCTTTTTTAAGACTCTATTTAGCAGTAGACTAATTACACAGTAGGTAATATTAGCATTCTAATGGTACTTTTTCAATGTTTTGTTCTTTTTATGATACAAAGTATTTCAGGGGATTTATTATTTCAAAGACTTCATTATGTGAAGCTCATTCATAATATTCTTCAAATTCTTCTTATTACTAGTTTTTCCCTGAATTCTGAGCACCGACAATATGCTAGAACATTCACCTTTTCACACATCCACAAGATGTGTGCTTTGCATATCGTTTTCATTTAATATTTACATTTCAAGCAATAATCAGCTACCTGTGAGTTTTGTCAAAATTATCAGGGGTTTTTTGTTTGTTTGTTTTTTGACATGGAGTTTTGCTCTTGTTGCCCAGGCTGGAGTGCAATGGCGCCATCTCAGCTCACTGCAACCTCCACCTCCTGGGTTCAAATGATTATCCTGCCTCAGCCTCCCCAGTAGCTAGGATTACAGGCATGCACCACCACACCTGGCTAATTTTATATTTTTAGTAGAGACAGGGTTTCTCCATGTTGGTCAGGCTGGTCTCGAACTCCCAACCTCAGGTGATTCACTCACCTTGAGCTCCCAAAGTGCTGGGATTACAGGCATGAGCCAATACACCTGGCCAATTATCAGGTTTTTAATTAAATTTTAGAAATGTGAATTATTGTTTCCTTTGAACTGAATCTTATGCAATACTGAAAGCATTCCCACCTGCCATAATCTTTGCATATCAGTTGTTCCAGGCTGTGATTCAATATTAATACCATTGGTTTCATGATTTGTCTCAGATTCAGAAGAGTCATGTTTACAGTATCTAAAAGCAATGTTTAAAATGTATGTAGGCCTGGCACTGTGGCTTATGCCTGTAATCCCAGCACTTTGGGAGGCTGAAGCTGATGGATCACCTGAGGTCAGGAGTTTGAAACCAGCTTGGCCAACATGACGAAACCCCATCTCTACTAAAAATACAAAAATCGGCTGGGCGCGGTGGCTCATGCCTGTAATCCCAGCACTTTGGGAGGCCAAGGCAGGTGGCTCACCTGAAGTCAGGAGTTCAAGACCAGCCTGACCAACATCGTGAAACTCCGTCTCCACTAAAATACAAAAAATTAGCCAGGCATGGTGGTACATGCCTGTAGTCCCAGCTACTTGGGAGGCTGAGGCAGGAGAATTGCTTGAACCCGGGAGGCAGAGGTTGCAGTGAGCTGAGATTTCGCCATTGCACTCCAGCCTGGGCAACAAAAGTGAAACTCTGTCTCAAAAAAAAAAAAAAAAAAAAAACCCTTCTGTCTCAAAAAAAAAAAAAAAAACCCTTCTGTCTCAAAAAAAATAAAATAAAACAAAAATATAAAAATTTGGTGGGTGTGGTGGCACACACCTGTAGTCCCAGCTACTCAGGAGACTGAGGCAGGAAGATCGCTTGAACCTGGGAGACAGAAGTTGCAGTGAGCCGAGATCACACCACTGCACTCCAGCCTGGGCAACAGAGTAAGACTCTTATCTCAGAAAATAAGTAAATAGATAAATAAATAAAATGTATTTAAACTTTGTCACTTCACTCTTACTGTTTACTATTCTAAGTTCTTGAATTTATAGATATCAAAACACTGCACAGTTATTATTTCCAGATGAATAATAACACAATAACAATAGAAACAAGGAAAAGCCAAACAAATATACTATTTATAAGTTACAGCATGTGAGGATAACAATTAACTGATGATTTTCCTAAACCACAAAACAATGAATGTACAATGGTGACATGGCTGAACCAGCCGGTGGTGCCATAAATGATTCTCAGATGCTGCAGTGCAGGAGACCCATCCATTGATGATCACTGTGATAGACTAAGACAAATAGTTAATTAGTTAATGAGATATTAGAATTTCTAGTACTTATTAATTTTACCACCTATCACGATAACCATTCTATTTTCTGTAACAATCAGTATTGGCTGTACTAGTGCACACTGGCTGGATGCCAGTGTGTAAGACAATGCCATAAAGGGCTATATGAGCATTAGCTACTATGCTATGACTTTTAACATTGAGTTGATTAGGTTCAAGGGTCAGGTGGGGCACTTTTAGAAATTACAGTAACAGAGGCCCTCAGGAGGTAGGATTCCCTTTTCTTTTTGGAGACAGAGTCTTACGCTGTCACCCAGGCTGGAGTGCAATGGCGGGATATCGGCTCACTGCAACCTCCGCCTCCCAAGTTCAAGCAATCCTCCCACCTCAGCCTCTTGAGTAGCAGGGATTACAGGCATCTGCCACCACGCCTGGCTAATTTTTGTATTTTTATTTTTATTTTTGTTTTGAGATGGAGTTTCATTCTTGTTGCCCAGGCTGGAGTGCAATAGCGCAATCTTGGTTCACCGCAACCTCCACCTCCGAGGTTCAAGCAATTCCTGCCTCAGCCTCCTAGGTAGCTGGGATTACAGGGATGTGCCACCACACCTCGCTAATTTTGTATTTTTAGTAGAGACGGGTTTTCTTTTTTTCTTTTTTTTTTTGGGGGGGATGGAGTCTGGCTCTGTCGCCCAGGCTGGAGTGCAGTGGCACGATCTCGTGAGGATGGCTCACTGCAAACTCCATCACCCGGGTTCAAGGGATTCTTCTGCCTCAGCCTCCCAAGTAGCTGAGATTACAGGCGTCTGCCACTGTGCCTGGCTAATTTTTATATTTTTGATAGAGACGGGGTTTCACCATGTTGGCCAGGCTGGTCTCAAACTCCTGACCTCAGGTGATCAGCCCACCTTGGCCTCCCAAAGGGCTGGGATTACAGGCGTGAGCCACCGTGCCCGGCCAAGGCAGGGTTTCTCCATGTTGGTCAGTCCGGTCTTGAACTCCCGACCTCAGGTGATCCACCCACCTCGGCCTCCCAAAGTGCTGGGATTACAGGTGTGAGCCACTGCGCCCGGCCTAATTTTTGTATTTTTAGTAGAGTAGAGCTGTGATCATGCCACTGTACTCTAGCCTGGGTGACAGAGTGAGATGAGACCCTGTCTCTTAAAAAAAAAAAAATGGCCAGGCGCCATGGCTTATGCCTGTAATCCCAACACTTTGGGAGGCTGAGGCAGGTGGATCACTTGAGGTCAGGAGTTTGAGACCAGCCTGGCCAACATAGTGAAACCCTGTCTCTACTAAAAATACAAAACTTGCCAGGCGTGGTAGAGGGCGTCAGTAATTCCAACTACTTGGGAGGATGAGGCAGGAGAATCGCTTGAAGCCAGGAGGCGGAGGTTGTAGTGAGCCAAGATCCCCCCATTGCACTCCAGCCTGGGCAACAGAGCAAGACTCCGTCTCAAAAAAAAAGAAAGAAAGAAAAGAAAAGAAAAGAAAAGGAAATATGCAGTCTATTTAGGAAAGAATGCATGAGTTTGTTCATAAAGCATAACAGTGGGCGTGGGTAACCAATGAAGACTGCTCGGAATATCCATTAAGCACAAATTCCTGCGAAAATACATAAGACCACAGGCACCAGATTCCACAACAAAGTGTGTGTGTGTGTCGACATGCATGTGTGTGTGTGTGCACGCACATGCATGTGTGTGGGGGGTGTGCCTGTGTGTTTGTGTGCACATGGGTGTGTATGTGTGCTGGTGTGGAGAAAACCTGATTAATAATGTCCAAGCCACACTCCAAGACCTCTTCCACTCAGGCTGGGGTCCCAGGAGCAGATGGTGGGCAAAGGGCAGGAATAACCTGTGCCTCAAGCTGCAAACAGGATCCATAAAATAGCCAAAAGACAGTGTTCGGGGTGTAACTAAACTTATGAGGCAAAGAGGAGAGACTGGGAGAGGACTGAGAGGAAAACCAGGTGTGAGGCTGTCATGCAAAGCAGGTCCCTTGGGGTCACCACCTGTTGTTCACCAGGGCTCAGGATAAAAGCCAGAATATCGCATGCTATGGGTTAAGAAATAGGCTTTTGAGGGAATTTTCAATTCAGTGTCAGCAAGTAAAGAGAAAGCATGAGTCCAATTCCTTTTATTTTTCCATAGAAGAGCAAACCAGGCACACTACTGGACATGCAGGTGGAGGGGAGGGATGAGGCAGTGTGTTATTGCTCTCCATTATGAGTCAAGCATGAGAGCAGCCTTATCAATGAAGAGGCACACAAACAGCGTAGGCACCTAGCACTCTTGATTAGAGTGTCAGTTATTGACAGGTTGTGCTAACCTGACTTCTAAGATGGTCTCCAGTGATCCCCCATCTTAGTATTCGAGTCTTTGTGGAATCCTTCCCACCTTGAGTTTGGTATGGACCTTGTCACTTAATTCTAACCAATGGAATATGACAAAGGTGAAAGTCTATCATATCCATGAGTAGACAATAAGAGTTTGTGGCTTTTATCTTGCTAGCAGACTCATTTACTGACTCAAGTAATCAAGCTGCCATGTTAAGGAGGTCCATGTGGTGAGGAACTGAGAGTGCTCTCAACTCAACATTCAAGAGGAACCAAACCTTCAGTCCTACCACCCTTCGTGCTTCCTACCAACAACTAAGTTAGTGAGCTTGGAAGCTCATCCTTTCCTAGTTGAGTCTTCAGGGAAGACCCCAACTATGATTGCAGCCTTGAGGGGCCCTGAAGAGAGGACCCAGCTATGCTGTATTGAATTGCTGTCCTTCAAATATTGTGAGATAATAAGGGTGTGTTGTTTTAAGCCACTTATTTTAGGACAATTTTTATGCTGTAATGATAACTAATATACAGGAGATGTTCAAAAATACAAGCTACCCAGGAACTGGAGACCTAGGGGCCCATGGCTAGTCACACGTCCCTCTGCCAGGAGTGAGAAAAACACCCCTGGTTCCACTGGATTCTAACTTTTGGAAACCCCACTCACTGGAAGAAGAGGGAGCCCCAGGTTCTAATGAGTTTGTTTTTCAGGCAACCCAGAATGACCTCCCAGCATCATTTCCAGACAGTGTGGCTCCTGACATCACAAATATAGTAGAATAACACCAAACTGAGTAAATAGGACAGTAGGCTGCAGACCCCCTCATGTGCCAATGATCTTTATAAAGACTTAAAACCTCACTATGCATAGAGTTGATAAAGGCACCAAATGAACCAGAGAAAGGAGACTCAAGTCAAGAAAATGTATCTCAACTAGGAAATGTTTTTGTGACCACAAAGGGGAGGAACCAGGAAGTTGTGGTAAACTGTAGCGGAAGTTAAAGCTAAAAAAAAAAATGAGAGAGAACCAGTGAATTTAAAAATACTTAACAGACATAATGACAAAAAGTAGTAAGTACATCTCTTTGGATCGTGAGAAAGAAGATCAGGAATGAAAGATCTAGCTGGGCCTTCCCCCACCCTCCCCAGCCTTGGTTCCCTGATTAGTGCTCCAGGCCTCTCCAGGGCCTGACACTCAATCTTCTCTTGGGAACTAATTATGGCAATGTACCACGAGGTACTGTTCCTCAGACTAAACGTGGTTTTTTGTTTGTTTGTTTGTTTTTTAGACAGGCTCTCACTCTGTCACCCAGGCTGGAGTGCAGTGGCACAATCTCAGCTCACTGCAACCTCTGCCTCCCCAGTTAAAGCAATTCTCCCACCCACTTCAGCCTCCCCAGTAGCTGGGACTACAGGTGCACGCCACCATGCCCTGCTTTATTTTTATTATTATTATTATTATTATTATTTGTATTTTTGGTAGAGACGAGGTTTCACCATGTTGGCCAGGCTGGTCTCAAACTCCTGGGCTCAAGTGGTCTGCCCGCCTCAGATTCCCAAAGTGCTGGGATTACAGGCATGAGCCACTGTGCCCAGCGTAAACGTGGTTTCTTATGTTTTTAAATTCCCCTTGAAAATATTCTCTTGTGACCAAAAAAGACCCTTGGGTGTACAGAGAATAGGTTTTGTCATAACTGTAACTAATGTGAGCTTCCACTAAAAACCCAAGATACAAATATATTCACAACTTTATTTTTCCAGTGATCCATTCTAATACCTCTTGGGGCTTCCTGTGAAATGTCTAAGCACCCCACAGCCAAAGGGTACACTCGTAGTCCCCTTCAGTGCTAAGAACAGAAAAGAAGCTGTTGCTTTTCTCTGCTATAGGTGTTGCTGTTGAAAATTCATCCCACACAATTGATGGAGATAATTTTCACTGCTTTAGTCACCTAAACAGGCCTTGCTGATCCACATTCCTGTTCAGATTACTAGGATTCTCTAAGGGAGGGATGATTGTTGAAGCTGAGTGATGGAAACACTTTGCTATTCTTTCTAATTTTTTATAAATTTTAAGTTTTCAATAATAAAAAGTTAAAAACCAAAAATTAAAAGAATCTGACAGGCCAGATATGGTGGTTCACGCCTGTAATACTAGCACTTTGGGAGGCTGAGGCAGGAGGATCGCTTGAGGCCAGGATTTCGAGGCTAGCCTGGGCAACATAGTGAGACACTATCTCTACACAAAAAAAATTTAAATTGAAAACAAAACGGCATTCCGGCTCCTTGGAGAAACGGTCGATTCTAGGACTGGGGCATCCTATGATGTCAGAAAGTATTTACATGCTCGATTAAAAGGTGAGAACCATATCAAAGGGACACAGGAGCCAACTGGAAATAATTCCAATAGTTAAAATGGAAACAATTTGAGCAACAAAATAAGTAATAATGGAATTGGATTATAACCCATAGAATAAAATAAGTATCCATTAGCCCATATTGATAAAAGAAATTCTTAAATAAATAAATGGGAAGATGTGGCAGTACTTTTTCACAGAAGAATTCATTAGCAAAGCCTAACGGTGTGGCTAGCCTGCGTCATGACAATGGTTGGGAGAAGCAGCAAAATAGCAGACTAGCCAGAAATTTAAAAGGGAAATCAAAGGAACAAAACAGACAAAGAATGCCTTAGTAAAATACCATTTAACTTTGGTAGTTTAAAAAGCTATGTGCAGCACACAGGGTTATAACTGCTTAGAAGAGAGACTTGAGAAGGCTATAGGAAGCTACTCCTCCCTGCAACTAAATATGAGGTCTCAGAAATAAAGAGAAAGCCATGGCTCACTTGTAAACTCTCTGAACTTTGAAAGTACCCTCCAAATCACACACAGCTCCAACAGCAGGGTTAGAAGCCTTACTGGCTTAAGGCATTTAAGCACAAACTCTAACAGATCACTGGCTGACCATTAAGCTATGCTGATCCAGGGGCAACCCCTAAGAATTCAGGCTTAAAAATAAAAATAAGAATTAAAAAAGGACGGGAGGCTGAGGCAGGAGAATCGCTTGAACCCAGGAGGCAGAGGTTGCAGTGAGCCGAGATCACGCCGTTGCACTCTAGCCTGGGCAACAAGAGTGAAGCTCTGTCTCAAAAACAAAAAGGAACCTGAGCAGAAATATCTGAGCAGAAATATCTGAAGCCTCATACTGCATACTGCAAGGGAAAAGGACTCCACTGAATTAGTACAGGCAAGTCACTATAAAAATATCTGAACCCTCATACTGCAAGGGAAAGGGACTCCACAGAATTAGTACAGGCAAGTCACTATAAAAACAAACAAAACAACAACCACCTTCACCCCCAAGAGAAAGAAATTGGAATCCAGAGCTAGCATATATTGTCTAAAATTTTCAGTTTTCCAAAAAAGTTACAAAAGGGCAAAGAAATAGGAAAATGCAATCCATTTGCAGGGAGAAACAGTCAATAGAAATTGTCGGCCAGGCACGGTGGCTCATGCCTGTAATCCCTGCACTTTGGGAGGCTGAGGTGTGTGGATCATTTGAGGTCAGGAGTTCGAGACCAGCCTGGCCAACATGGTGAAATCTGTCTCAATAAAAATACAAAAATTAGCTGGGCATGGTGATGCACACCTGTAATCCCAGCTACTCGGGAGGCTGAGGCAGGAGAATTGCTTGAACCACGGAGTCAGAGGTTGCAATGAGCTAATATCATGCCACTATACTCCAGCCCTGGAAATGGAGTGAGACTCTGTCTCAAAAAAAAAAAAAAAAATTGATTCACACCTAAACATTAATATATTATACTGAAACTATTACCAGCCAAAAATAGAAATGACATCTTAAAAGCAATGAGAAAAAACTCATCTCATACAAATACACTCATACACACAGACACAATAATCTTAATAGCTAACCTCATCAGTAACAATGGAGGTTAGAAGGCTGTAACATGGGCTGGGTGCCGTGGCTCATGTCTATAATCCCAGCACTTTGGGAGGCTGAGGCAGGCAGATCACGAGGTCAAGAGTTCAAGACCAGCCTGGCCAACATGGTGAAACCCCATCTCTACTAAGAATATAAAAATTAGCTGGGTGTGGTGGTACATGCCTGTAATCCCAGCTACTCGGGAGGCTGAGGCAGGAGAATTGCTTGAACCCGGGAGGCGGAGGCGCAGTGAGCCAAGATTGTGCCACTGCACTCCAGCCTGGGCAACAGAGCAAGACTCTGTCTCAAAAAAAAAAAAAAATTAAAGAAGACAGTAACATATGCAAATTTGGGGGTTAGTGGGGAGAAGCTAGCAATCAAGAATTTTACATCAAGAAAAATTATCCTTCAAAACTGAAGACCGGTACAGGGACAGTGGTTTGCACCCATAATCCCAGCACTTTGGGAGGCCAAGGTGGGAGGATCGCTTGAACCCAGGAGTTCAAGACCAGCCTGGGCAACAAAGTAAGACCCTGTCTCTGCAAAAAAAAAAAAAAAAAAAAAATTTAGCCATGTGTGGTAGTGCACACCTGTAGTCCTAGCTACTCAGGAGGCTGAGGCAGGAGGCTCTCTTAGGCCCGAGAGATTGAGGTTGCAATGAGACATGATCATGCCACTACACTCCGGCCTGGGCAACAGAGCGAGACCCTGTCTCCAAAACCAAAATTTATTCTAAAGAAAACAAAAAGAGAAGCCAACATGAACATATTCTTACATAAACAAAGACTAGGGAGATTTATCTCTTGCAGATATGTCTTACAAGAAACACTAATGTAATACTAAAGTAAGTTCTTCAGACTGAGAAGAAATGACACCAGATAATAATCCCAATCCAATGAAAAACAATTATTGTATGTCAATTAAAGATAAAACTTGTAGCTAGGCACAGTGGCGCACACCTGTAATCCCAGCTACTTGGGAGGCTGAGGCACAAGAATCACTTGAACCCAGCAGGTGGAGTCTGCAGTGAGCCAAGATCACACCACTGTAGTCCAGCCTGGGCAACAGAGCAAGACTCCATCTCAAAAATATTACATTAAAAAAAGTAAAATTTGTAAAAGAAACAAACAGCATCAGAAAAAATAATATGTTGGTAATTATTTTTTAAAAACTAAAAACTAAAAACTACAAATCTCTTCTTTTTCTTTTTCTTTTTTGAGAGACAAGGTCTCACTCTCTCACCCAGGATGGAGTGCAGTGGTTTGACCATCGCTCACTGCAGCCTCAAATCCTGGACTCAAGTGATCCCCTCACCTCAGCCTCCTCCTGAGTAGCTGGGACTACAGATGCACACCGCCATGCCTGGCTCCTTTTCATTTCTTAACTGTTTTAAAAGAAATTACATAAAACAACAATTATAAAATTACAGTGTTGGGTTTGTAACATCTAAAGATAATGTGTGTGTATATATGCACTCACACACATATGACAATAATGGTACAAAGGATAGGGAAAAGATGGAGTTACATTGAAACAAAGGAACCACATCAGATTGTAAGTCCAATCCACAAGAACAAATCATCAGAAACACTAAATAAGTTTCATACGAAAAACTTTAAGTGTATTTTACTAATTTCTTCTCTTAATTTTTTAAAAGACGTAGAATTTGGCTGGGCACAGTGGCTGACGCCTGTATTCCCAGCACTTTGGGAGGCCGAGGTGGGTGGATCACCTGAGTTCAGGAGTTCCAGACCAGCCTGGGAAACAGGGCAAAACCCCGTCTCTACTAAAAATACAAAAATTAGCTGGGCATGGTTGTGCTCACCTGAAATCCCAGTTACTCAGGAGGCTGAGTTGGGAGGATCTCTTGAGCCTAGAAAGCAGACGTTGCAGTGAGCCGAGATCATGCCACTTCACTCCAGCCTGGAGTACATCCCTACACCCCCTCAGGTTCAGTCTGAACTGAACAGGGGATACCTGTGAAAGGAAAATAAATCTTGGGGCCCGAAAATCACTAAGCTAAAGGGAAAAGTCAAGTTGGGAACTGCTGAGAGCAAACCTACGTCTCATTCTATTCGGTCACTCCTCTGCTTACTGAGATAAATGCTATCTGATTGCCTCCTTTGGAGAGGCTAATCAGAAACTCAAAAGAGGCCGGGCACAGTGGCTCACACCTGTAATCCTAGCACTTTGGGAGGCCGAGGCGGATGGATCACCCGAGGCCAGGAGTTCGAGACCAGCCTGGCCAACATGGTGAAACCCCGTCTCTACTAAAAATACAAAAATTAGCTCAGCGTGGTGGCACATGCCTGTAATCCCAGCTATTCGGGAGGCTGAGGAATGAGAATCGCTTGAACCTGGGAGGTGGAGGTTGCAACAAGCCAAGATCGCACCACTGCACTCCAGCCTGTGCAACAGGAGCGAGCCTCCATCTCAAAAAAAAAGAAACTCAAAAGAAAGTAACCATTTGTCTCTTATCTACCTATGACCTGGAAGCCCCCTCGCCACTTGGAGTTGTCCCACCATTGCTTCAAGTTGTCCCGCCTTTCCAGACCGAACCAATGTTAATCTTACATATGTTGATTGATGTCTCATGTCTCCCTAAAATGTATAAAACCAAGCTGTGCCCTGACCAACTTGGGCACATGTCATCAGGACTTCCTAAGGCTGTGTCACCGACACACATCCTCAACCCTGACAACATAAACTTTCTAAATTAACTGAGACCTGTCTCAGATATTCAGGGTTCACACTCCCCTGGACCCCCTGACTTTCTTCAGGGCACTGGCCACTTTCTTGTCTGTCTTTGGACACTCTCCTCTAGAAGTCTTTGAAATTCTTGAGGCAGGAAGGACCAATTCCCAGCCCTGAATCTTGCATAAAGTGGGTCCTTTTTAAATGGAAATACGGCTACTCCTCAAAGGAAGGCTAGGAATTTTGCTCTGTGTGACCCTAGTCGTAGTTCTTCACAGAGGGCTCCATTTCACTTGCCTTTCCTTCTGCTTTTTTCTTCACTCGTTTCCCCACAGAGCAAGACAAAAGAAGCCGGCAAGGATGGCTCTGGTCAGGGTCTGCCTTCAGCCACCCAAATGGGATTGCAAAGAGGAGGACAGGGATGGAAAGGGGAAAGTTTGATTTGGTTTGGTTTGCTTAGTCTTTCTATTGGTACCACTTCCTTATCCCAACCTCATCATCTTCCCCGATCCCTACCAACCCACTGCAGGCATATGAGCCCTAAAATCTGGGAAAGGCTTTTTTCCCTAGGGGCCCTGGCCTCACAGACTTGCCCAGGGGGGTAAATTCTCAGTGGCTCAGTGGCACGTGCCTCACGTCCTCACCGGCAGCCTAGATAGATAGATAGATAGATAGATAGATAGATAGATAGATAGATGATAGATAGATATATAGTTTTTTTTTTTTTTTTTTTTTTGAGACGGAGTTTCGCTCTTGCCGCTGCCCAGGCTATAGTGCAATGGCGCCATCTCGGCTCACCGCAACTTCCGCCTCCCAGGTTCAAGCGATTCTCCTGCCTCAGCCTCCCGAGTAGCTTGTATTACAGGCATGCGCCACCACACCCGGCTAATTTTGTATTTTTAGTAGAGAGGGGGTTTCTCCATGTTGTTCAGGCTGGTCTCGAACTCCCAACCTCAGGTGATCCGCCTGTCTTGGCCTCTCAAGTGCTGGGATTACAGGGGTGAGCCACCGCGCCCAGCCGGGAGCCCCTATTTTAAGGACGCTATTGCTGTGGAGGAGTAACCCCACTTTTAGGAATCCTTTTCCGTGCGAAAGGCTGTTTGAGATCAGGCGCAACAACTTCTCCCGCTCAGGTTACCCTCAGAAAGGCTATGGACCCCGGACTCCGCCCCAGATTGCATAACAACTGAGGGGTGGGTCCCTATTTCCTCTCTGGGATCTGTAGCCAATCATTCACGAGGTAAACAGAACGACCGAGTTTCTCTCAGCCGAGAACTGTGGCTGCCCCTCCGGTGAAAACAGAGGAAGTGGGAGCGGCAGGAAGCGCTTTGGGACCAGGGCGACCCCTGAAGCGTAGAGGAACCAGGTCACAAGCATACGTGAATGCTCACATTCCATAGTTATCAAATGTATTCAGGTTTAAATTTTACTTTTCTAGAAAAAATGTAAATAATCCGTTGAGAATATTTAATGAAAAATGTTGGTCGTATCTTTATCTGGTCTGCGGCTCTGTCCCTGTTTCCTGGATAGGAGACTACGTCTGTATCTTGTATCACAGGAGGCACCTTCTTCCTGTTTCCTGGCACAGACTTGTAAGTGAATTTCCTGCCCGCCTCCGCCCACAGCGTAAGCCGCGCTGGAACAGCTCACTTATTGCCCCAGATGTATGTGGAGTAACCGCCTTCAGTTTCCTGGTTCTGAGTTTCCGTGTTACTCAAGCAATGCTTCTGCTGAATTTGTCTTTTTTTTTTTTTTGAGACAGAGTCTTGCTTTGTCGCCCAGACTGGAGTGAAATGGCGTGGTCTCGGCTCACTGCAGCCTCCACCTCCTGGGTTCAAGCGAGTCTCCTGCCTCAGCCTCCTGAGTGTGCAACTTATCTTTTTATTTTATTTATTTATAATTTTTTGGCTAATTTTGGCTATTTTGTGTCTGTGTGTGTATTTTTAGTAGACATGGGGTTTCACCATGTTGGGCAGGCTGGTCTCGAACTCCTGACCTCAGGTGATCCGCCCACCTCGGCCTCCCAAAGTGCTGGAATTACAGGCGTGAGCCACCGCACCTGGCCTATTTATTTATTTATTTATTTGTGACTGAGTCTCGCTCTGTCACCCAAGCTGGAATGCAATGGCGTGATCTCGGCTCACTGCTACCTCCACGCCCCAAGTTTAAACAATTCTCCTGCCTCAGCCTCCCGAGTAGCTGGGACTACAGGTGTGCACCACCACATCCAGCTAATTTTTTGTATTTTTAGTAGAGATGGGGTTTCACCATGTTGGTCAGGCTGGTCTCGAACTCCTGACCTCAAGCGATCCACCCACCTTGGCCTCCCAAAGTGTTGGGATACAGGCGTGAGCCACTGCACCTGGTTGAATTTCTCCTTTTAATTGGAGGTTTCATTTTATTTTTCTTTATTTATTTTTTTGAGACGAAGTTGCACTCTTGTTGCCCAGGCTAGAGTGCAGTGGCGCGATCTGGGTTCACTGCAACCTCTGCCTCCCAGATGCAAGTGATTCTCCTGCCTCAGCCTCCTGAGTAGCTGGGAATACAAGCACCCACCACCATGCCCAGTTAATTTTTGTACTTTTAGTAGAGACAAGGTTTTGCCATGTTGGCCAGGGTGGTCTCAAACTCCTGAGCTCGTGATCTGCCCACCTCAGCCTCCCAAAGTGCTGGGATTACAGGCGTGAGCCACCGTGCCTGGTCTCGTTCTTTATTTTTTATTTTATTTTTTGACACCAGATCTGCTCTGTTACTCAGGCTAGAGTGCAGTGGCATTGAGAGGTGACAACCTGCTAGCAGCCCTTGCTTGCTCTTGGCGCCTCCTCGGCCTCGGTGTCTGCTCTGGCCGGGCTCGAGGAGCCCTTCAGCCCACTGCTGTGCTGTGGGGGCCCCTCTCTGGGGCTGGCTGAGGCCGGAGCCGTCTCCCTCTGCTTGGGGGGAGGTGTGGAGGGAGAGACGCCAGTGGGAACAGGGGCTGCGCGTGGTGCTCCCGGGCCAGTGGTGTTCCGGGTGGGTGCGGGCTAGGCAGGCCCTGCACTGGGGGCAAGGTTGGCGTCGCCTGCTGGGCTTGATGGGGGGGTGGGGGAGGAGCGCCCTCTGGGCTGCCGGAGTGCCCCACTAGGCGCGGCAAAGTCCCGGGAGTGCCATTGAGAGGTGAAGCCAGCTGGGCTTCTGGGTCTGGTGGGGACTTGGAGAACTTTTGTGTCTAGCTAAAGGATTGTAAATGCACCAATCAGCACTCTGTGTCTAGCTAAAGGATTGTAAACACACCAATCAGCACTCTGTGTCTAGGTAAAGGATTGTAAACGCACCAATCAGCACTCTGTGTCTAGCTAAAAGTTTGTAAATGCACCAATCACCACTCTGTGTCTAGCTAATCTGGTGGGGATTTAGAGAACTTTTGTGTCTAGCTAAAGGATTGTAAACTCACCAATCAGCACTCTGTGTCTAGCTAAAGGATTGTAAACACACCAATAAGCACTCTGTCAAAACGGACCAATCAGCTTTCTGTAAAATGAACCAATCAGCTCTCCGTAAAATGGACCAATCAGCTCTCTGTAAAATAGAACAATCAGCAGGATGTGGGTGGGGCCGGATGGGGGAATAAAAGCAGGCCACCCAAGCCAGCGGCGGCAACGTGCTCGGGTCCTCTTCCACACCGTAAAAGCTGCTTTGTTCTTTTGCTTTTTGCAGTAAATCTTAGTGCTCCTCACTCTTTGCGTCTACGCTGCTTTTATGAACTGTTAACACTCACTGTGAAGGTCTGCAGCTTCACTCCTTAAGCCAGCGAGACCACAAACCCACTGGGAGGGATAAACAACTCCAGACGGGAGGAACAAACAACTTCGGGTGCACCACCTTTATGAACTGTAGCACTCACTGTGAAGGTCTGCAGCTTCACTCCTGAGGCCAGCAAGACCACGAACCCACCAGAAGGAACGAACAACTCCAGATATGCCACCTTTAAGGGCTATAACACTCACCGCGGAAGTCTGCAGCTTCACTCCTGAAGTCAGTGAGACCATGAACCCACCAGAAGGAAGAAACTCTGGACACATCTGAACATCTGAAGGAACAAACTCTGGACACACCATCTTTAAGAACTGTAACACTCACCGCGAGGGTACACGGCTTCATTCTTGAAGTCAGCGAGACTAAGAACCCAACAATTCCGGACACAGCATGATCTTGGTTCACTACAACCTGGATCTCCCAGAGTCAAGCAATCCTCTCGTCTCAGTCTCCCAAGTAGCTGGAACTACAGGTGTGTGCCACCATGCCCCACTAATTTTTGTATTTATTGTAGAGACGGTTTCAGCATGTTGCCCAGGCTGGTCTCCAACTCCTGGACTCAAGTGATCCTCTCCACCTAGGCCTCCCACAGTGCTGGGATTACAGGAATGAGCCACCACGCCCGGCCTAATTGGAAGTTTTAGAGTGCAGTGGGGATCACGTGCGTAGAGGTTACTGCTGCCTTAATTAAAGGAGACAACATGTTTCATAAAACTTGGAAATTGTAGAGGGTGTGGGGAACCACTCAAATTCAGAATATCAAAACAGAACTTTATTTTTTGTGTATTTGTTGCCAATCTTTTTCCCTACATATGTAATGTTTGTTTGTTTGACATGACTACCATTTCTGTTTTCATAATATGTTTAATACTTTTCCTCCACTTAACAAACATGGCTACGATTTGCCAAGTTGCTGATCATCCTTTTTTTTTTTTTTTCGAGACAGAGTTTCACCCTTGTTGCCCAGGCTGGAGTGCAGTGGCAGATCTCAGCTCACTACAACCTCTGCCTGCTGGGTTCAAGTGATTCTCCAGCCTCAGCCTCCCAAGTAGCTGGGATTACAGGTACCCGCCACCACTCCTGGCTAACTTTTGTATTTTTAGTAGAGACAGAGTTTTGTCAGGTTGGCCAGGCTGGTCTCAAACTCCTGACCTCCAGAGATCCACCCGCTTCAGCCTCCCAAAGTGCTGGGATAACAGGCGTGAGCCACTGAACCTGGCCCAGATCATCCTTTTAAGTGTTCTTTTTCATTTGTAGGTTTAACATTGGCTTTGGGGTGAGAAAGAAACCAAGACTCACCCAGAGTCATAAGCCCAACAAGAGAATGGGTCTGTCTGGGCTAGCCCTGGGCTACTGGATGAGCAGGGTTGGCCTTTTCATTCTCTGAGTCTTCGTTTCTCTGGCCTTTACATTTCTCTGGAGGGACTTTTCATTTTCTCTGGAAACCAACTCCAAGTGCACTTTTCCAGAAGGCATTTTTGTAATGCCTGGTTGGCTGCATGCGACCTCTGGTTTTCCTCCTTCACCCTTTCCTGCTCAGTCACTGCATTTTCTGTTCTCAAAAGAACCCTCTCATATAGCACGTGCAGAGAGCAGTAGCGAGTCAGGCTGTCCCGCGGTGTGTGTCCGGACTCCTGTGTGCTCTGGCAGTGGGGCCAGTGGGCTGGGAAGAGTTGCAGGAGAAACCCAGTGGGAGAGAAAGACTCCAACCTGGGAACCTCGGGGCATCTGGTAGCGCCAGAATGACTTTCCAAAATTTTGGTTGGGGCAGTCACAGGCCCCTGCTCGCCACGGTGGCCTCTGGCAAAGAAACACATGTGGGGCAGACAAGAGGGATGCTCGCCAATCTCCTCTGAATTTTGCAACCCTGTGTGTTAAAAACAGGTATTTCTGGTCTTTAAAGACACTTGGAAAAGACAGACTTGTTGAATACTTAGAAAGGCCAAGCCACAGCCAGAAGCTTGGTGTCTGGGATCCATCATCTCTAAGGTTTTAAAAGCATCTTGCTGGAATAGGAACAGCTCCGGTCTGCAGCTCTCAGCAAGACCAACACAGAAGATGGGTGATTTCTGCATTTCCAGCTGAGGTACCTGGTTCATCTCATTGGGACTAGTTGGACAGTGGGTGCAGCCCATGGAGGGCGAGCCAAAGCAGGGCAGGGCATCGCCTCACCTGGGAAGTGCAAGGGGTCAGGGGATTTCCCTTTCCTAGCCAAGGGAAGCCGTGACAGACTGTACCTGGAGGAACAGTACACTCCTGCCCAAATACTGGGCTTTTCCCATGGTCTTCACAACTGACAGACCAGGAGATTCCCTCCCGTGCCTGGCTCGGTGGGGCTCATGCCCATGGATCCTTGCTTACTGCCAGTGCAGCAGTCTTAAGATTGGCCTGGCATGCTGCAGCTTGTTGGGGGGGTGGGAGGGCGTCCGCCATTCCTGAGGCTTGAGTAGGCAGTTTTATGCTCACAGTGTAAACAGGCCGGGAAGCTTGAACTGGGTGGAGCCCACTGCAGCTCAGCAAGGCCTACTGCCTCTCTAGATTCCACCTCTGTGGGCAGGGCATGTCAGAACAAAAGGCAGCAGACAGCTTTGGCAGACCTAAACGCCCCTGTCTGACAGTTCTGAAGAGAGCAGTGGTTCTCCCAGCATGGCATTTGAGCTCCGAAAATGGACAGACTGCCTCCTCAAGTCGGTCCTTGACCCCCGTGTACCCTGACTGGGAGACACCTCCCAGTAGGGGCCAACAGACACCTCACACAGGCAGGTGCCCCTCTGGAACAAAGCTTCCAGAGGAAGGATCAGGCAGCAATATTTGCTGTTCTGCAGCCTCCGCTAGTGATATCCAGGCAAACAGGGTCTGGAGTGGACCTCCAGCAAATTCCAACAGACCTGCAGCTGAGGGTCCTGACTGTTAGAAGGAAAACTAACAAACAGAAAGGAATAGCATCAACACCAACAAAAAGGACATCCACACCAAAACCCCATCTGTAGGTCACCAACATCAAAGACCAAAGGTAGAAAAAACCACAAAGATGGGAAGAAACCAGAGCAGAAAAGCTGAAAATTCCAAAAACCAGATTGCCTCTTCTCCTCCAAAGGATCACAGCTCCTCACCAGCAAGGGAACAAAACTGGATGGAGAATGAGTTTGACAAGTTGACAGAAGTAGGCTTCAGAAGGTTGGTAACAAACTTCTGCGAGCTAAAGGAGGATGTTCAAACCCATCGCAAGGAAGCTGAAAACCTTGAAAAAAGGTTAGACAAATGGCTAACTAGAATAAACGGTATAGAGAAGACCTTAAATGACCTGATGGAGCTGAAACCCATGGCACGAGAACTACATGACTCATGCACAAGCTTCAGTAGCTGATTCAATCAAGTGGAAGAAAGGGTATCAGTGATTGAAGATCAACTCAATGAAATAGAGCAAGAAGACAAGATTAGAGAAAAAAGAATGAAAAGAAATGAACAAAGCCTCCAAGAAATATGGGACTATGTGAAAAGACCAAATCTACATTTGACTGGTGTACCTGAAAGTGACGGGGAGAATGGAACCAAGTTACAAAATACTCTTCAGGATGTTATCCAGGAGGACTTCCCTAACCTAGCAAGGCAGGAAAACATTCAAATTTAGGAAATACAAAGAACACCACAAAGATACTTCTTAAGAAGAGCAACTCCAAGACACACAATTGTCAGATTCACCAAGGATGAAATGAAGGAAAAAATGTTAAGGGCAGCCAGAGAGAAAGGTCGGGTCACCCACAAAGGGGAGCCCATCAGACTAACAGCGGATCTCTCAGCAGAAACCTTACAAGCCAGAAGAGAGTGGGGGCCAATATTCAACATTTTTAAGAAAAGAATTTTCAAACCAGAATTTCATATCCAGCCAAACTAAGCTTCATAAGTGAAGGAGAAATAAAATCCTTTACAGACAAGCAAATGTTGAGAGATTTTGTCACCACCAGGCCTGCTTTACAAGAGCTCCTGAAGGAAGCACTAACCATGGAAAGGAACAACTGGTATCAGCCACTGCCACTGCAAAAACATGCCAAAGTGTAAAGACCATTGACACTATGAAGAAACTGCATCAATTAATGGGCAAAATAACCAGCTAACATCATAGTGACAGGATCAAATTCACCCATAACAATATTAATCTTAAATGTAAATAGGCTAAATGCCCCAACTGAAAAACAGACTGACAAATTGGATAAAAAGTCAAGACCCATCGTTGTACTGTATTCAGGAGACCCATTTCATGTGCAAAGATACAAATAGGCTCAAAATAAAGGGATGGAGGAAGATCTACCGAGCAAATGGAAAGCAAAAAAAAAATCAGGGGTTGCAATCCTCGTTTCTGACTAAAAAAAAAAAAAAAGATTTCAAACCAACAAAGATCAAAAGAGAGAAAGAAGGGCATTACATAATGGTAAAGGGATCAATTCAATAAGAAGAACTAACTATCCTAAATACATATGCACCCCAAACAGGAGCACCCAGATTCATAAAGCAAGTCCTTGGAGACCTACAAAGAGATTTAGACTCCCACACAGTAATAATGGGAGACTTTAATACCCCACTGTCAATATTAGACAGATCAATGAGACAGAAGGTTAACAAGCATATCCAGGACTTGAACTCAGCTCTGGACCAAGGGGACCGAATAGACATCTACAGAACTCTCCACCCCAAATCAACAGAATATACATTCTTCTCAGCACCACATCACGCTTATTCTAAAATTGACCACATAATTGGAAGTAAAACACTCCTCAGCAAATATAAAAGAACAGAAATCACAACAAACTGTCTGTCAGACCACAGTGCAATCAAATTAGAACTCAGGATTAAGATTCACTCAAAACTGCACAACTACATGGAAATTGAACTACCTGCTCCTGAATGACTACTGGGTAAATAATGAAATGAAGGCAGAAATAAAGATGTTGTTTGAAACCAATGAGAACAAAGACACAACATACCAGAATCTCTGGGACACATTTAAAGCAGTGTGTAGAGGGAAATTTAGAGCACTAAATGCCCACAAGAGAAAGCAGGAAAGATCTAAAATCAACACCCTAACATCACAATTAAAAGAACTAGAGAAGCAAGAGCAAACACATTCAAAAGCTAGCAGAAGGCAAGAAATTACTAAGATCAGAGCAGAACTGATGGAGATAGAGACACAAAAAACCCTTCCAAAAAATCAGTGAATCTAGGAGCTGGTTTTTTGAAAAGATCAACAAAATTGATAGACTGCTAGCAAGACTAATAAAGAAGAAAAGAGAGAAGAATCAAATAGACACAATAAAAAATGATAAAGGGGACATCACCACCAATCCCTCAGAAATACAAACTACCATCAGGAATACTATAAACACCTCTACACGAATAAACTAGAAAATCTAGAAGAAATGAATAAATTCCTGGACACATACACCCTCCCAAGACTAAACCAGGAAGAAGTTGAATCCCTGAATAGACCAATAACAGGCTCTGAAATTGAGGCAATAATTAATAGCCTACCAACCAAAAAAAGTCCAGGACCAGACGGATTCACAGCCAAATTCTACTGGAGGTACAAAGAGGAGTTGGTACCATTCCTTCGGAAACTATTCCAATCAATAGAAAAAGAGAGAATCCTCCCTAACTCATTTCATGAGAACAGCATCATCCTGATACCAAAGCCTGGCAGAGACACAACAAAAAAAGAAAATTTAAGCCAATATCCCTGATGAACATCAATGCAAAAATCCTCAATAAAATACTGGCAAACGAAATCCAGCAGCACATCAAAAAGCTTATCCACCATGATCAAGCCGGCTTCATCCCTGGGATTCAAGGCTGGTTCAACATATGCAAATCAATAAATGTAATCCATCACATAAACAGAACCAACGACAAAAACCACATGATTATCTCAATAGATGTAGAAAAGGCCTTCGACAAAAATTCAACAACCCTTCATGCTAAAAACTCTCAATAAACTATGTATTGATGACATATTTCAAAATAATAAGAGCTATTTATGACAAACCCACAGTCAATATCATACTGAATGGGCAAAAACTGGAAGCATTCCCTTTGAAAATTGGCACAAGACAAGGATGCCCTCTCTCACCACTCCTAGTCAACATAGTGGTGGAAGTTCTGGCCAGGGCAATCAAGCAAGAGAAAGAAATAAAGGGTATTCAATTAGGAAAAGAGGAAGTCAAATTGTCTCTGTTTGCAGATGACATGACTGTATATTTAGAAAACACCATCATCTCAGCCCAAAATCTCCTTAAGCTGATAAGCAACTTCAGCAAAGTCTCAGGACACAAAATCATTGCACAAAAATCACAAGTATTCCTATATACCAATAACAGACAAACAGAGAGCCAAATCATGAATGGACTCCCATTCACAATTACTACAAAGAAAATAAAATACCTAGGAATCCAACTTACAAGGGATGTGAAGGACCTCTTCAAGGAGAACTACAAACCACTGCTCAACAAAATAAAAGAGGACAAACAAACGGAAGAACATTCTATGCTCATGGATAGGAAGAATCAATATCGTGAAAATGGCCATACTGCCCAAGGTAATTTATAGATTCAATGCCATCCCCATCAAGCTACCAATGACTTTCTTCACAGAATTGGAAAAAACTACTTTAAAGTTCATATGGAACAAAAAAAGAGCCCACATTGCCAAGACAATCCTAAGCAAAAAGAACAAAGCTGGAGGCAGCACGCTACCTGACTTCAAACTATAGTACAAGACTACAGTAACCAAAACAGCATGGTAGTGGTACCAAAACAGATATATAGACAAATGGAACAGAACAGAGGCCGCAGAAATAACACCACACATCTACAACCATCTGATCTTTGACAAACCTGACAAAAACAAGCATGGGGAAAGGATTTCCTGTTTAATAAATGGTGCTGGGAAAACTGGCTAGCCATATGTAGAAAGCTGAAACAGGATCCCTTCCTTACACTTTATACAAAAATTAACTCAAGATGTATTAAAGACTTAAACATAAGACCTAAAACCATAAAAACCCTAGAAGAAAACCTAGGCAATACTATTCAGGACATAGGCATGGATAAATGCTTCATGACTAAAACACCAAAAGCAATGGCAACAAAAGCCAAAATAGACAAATGGGATCTAATTAAACTAAAGAGCTTCTGCACAGCAAAAGAAACTATCATCACAGTGAACAGGCAACCTACAGAATGGGGAAAAATTTTGCAATCTACCCATCTGGCAAAGGGCTAATATCCAGAAGCTACAAAGAACTTAAACAAATTTACAACAAAAAAATCAAACAACCCCATCAACAAGTGGGCGAAGGATATGAACAGACACTTCTCAAAAGAAGACATTTATGCAGCCAAAAGACATATGAAAAAATGCTCATCATCACTGGTCACCAGAGAAATGCAAATCAAAACCACAATGAGATGCCATCTCACGCCAGTTAGAATGGTGATCATTAAAAAGTCAGGAAACAACAGATGCTGGAGAGGATGTGGAGAAATAAGAACACTTTTACACTGTTGGTGGGAGTGTAAATCAGTTCAACCATTGTGGAAGACAATGCAGCGATTCCTCAAGGATCTAGAACTAGAAATACCATTTGACCCAGCCATCCCATTACTGGGTATATACCCAAAGGATTATAAATCATGATAAGGACACATGCACATGTATGTTTATTGCGGCACTAGTCACAGTAGCAAAGACTTGGAACCAACCCAGATGTCCATCAATGATAGACTGGATTAAGAAAATGTGGCACATATACACCGTGGAATACTATGCAGCCATAAAAAAGGATGAGTTCATGTCCTTTGCAGGGACATGGATGAAGCTGGAAACCATCATTCTCAGCAAACTATCACAAGGACAGAAAACCAAACACTACATGTTCTCACTCATAAGTGGGAGTTGAACAATGAGAATACACAGACACAGGGCAGGGAACATCACACACCGAGGCCTGTGGGGGGGTTGGGGGTTAGGGAAGGGATAGCATTAGGAGAACTACCTAATGTAAATCACCAGTTGATGGGTGCAGCAAACCACCATGGCACAGGTATACCTATGTAACAAACATGCATGTTGTGCACATGTACCCCAGATCTTAAAGTATAATAAAATAAAAAATAAAAAAAATCTTCCCTACTTTTTAAACTGTATGTTGCTTTGTAGCAATACATTATGCACATTATAAAGTGTTTTAATTAGAAATTTTAGAAGATATGATAAAGAAAAATAATTTAAATAACAATTTTTATTCAAAATACAAATAATAGGGCTGGGCGCGGTGGCTGACGCCTGTAATCCTAGCACTTTGGCAGGCCGAGGCGGGCAGATCACGAGGTCAGGAGTTCAAGACCAGCCTGGCCAACATGGTGAAACCCTGTCTCTACTAAAAATACAAAAAATTAGCTGGGCGTAGTGGCGGGTGCCTGTAATCCCAGCTACTCGGGAGACTAAGGCACAAGAATCGCTTGAACCCGGGAGGCGGAGGTTGCAGTGAGCCGAGATCGCACCACTGCACTCCAGCCTAGGCGACAGAGTGAGACTGTGTCTCAAAAAAGAAAAAAAAAGAAAAGAAAAGAAAAAGAAAAAAGAATATTTTGCCCTTATAACATTATTAATTATATACTTTCAAGTGAGAGCAATATGACTAATTATGCTTAATTATTTTTGAAAATGATGCTTTAACAATTTGTAATGCAGACATTTGATGGTCTGGTTCTATGTTGAGTTCATGTTGATACTTGGTCTTAAGGACAGTTAGAGCTGATAAAAATAACTTGTGCATAGACCAGGCGCGGTGGCTCACGCCTGTAATACCAGCACTTTGGGAGTCTGAGGCGGGCGGATCACGAGATCAGGAGATGGAGACCATCCTGGCTAACACGGTGAAGCCCCGTCTCTATTAAAAATACAAAAAAAATTAGCCAGGTGCGGTGGCAGGCACCTGTAGTCCCAGCTACTTGGAAGGCTGAGGCAGGAGAATGGTGTGAACCTTGCAGTGAGCCGAGATCACGCCACTGCACTACAGCCTGGGCAACAGAGCGAAACCCCGTCTCAAAAAAAAAAAAAAAGAAAGAAAAAAAAAAGAAATAACTTCTGCACACATCATAACATTCATACATAATGAATCATTGATATACTCATTAAAATGTGACTCATCCAGGAAAATCCCATCCCTAAATTATTTAAAGTTTTTGTTTTCCCTCAGCTACTATTTCTGTTCTACCTTATGCAAACTAATGAGAAACCATTGTCCCAAGACTGGTGGCCTCCTGGCATGGTTGTGCAACAGCTGTTGTCAAACTCCAGAGTCTAAAGTGCACCACGAAAGCCAGATGGCAGGCCAGATCCAGCCTCCCTGCTAAATGAAATGTTCACTGGCCAGGGAGAAACAACCACGTGGAAAATTAAATAAACCCATGACATTTGTAGCCAGCAGCTCGGGTGTTTTGTAGGGTTTTCCCTGAGAAGTGGGGACTAATCGCATGAATCACTTTTTTTTTCTTTTTAGAGTCTTATCTATTTGTGAATAAATGTTTCCAATTAAAGCATTGCTACTAAGCCTCAGTTTTCTCACCTCTACCATGGAGTTAAAATGTCTACTTCACACTGTCCATAAAAGAATTAAGATGGCCGGGCGCGGTGGCTCACGCCTGTAATCCCAGCACTTTGGGAGGCCGAGGCGGACGGATCACGAGGTCAGGAGATCGAGACCATCCTGGCTAACACAGTGAAACCCCGTCTCTACTAAAAATATGAAAAACTAGCCTGGCGTGGTGGTGGACGCCTGTAGTCCCAGCTACTCAGGAGGCTAAGGCAGGAGAATGGCGTGAACCCAGGAGGCGGAGCTTGCAGTGAGCCTAGATTGTGCCACTGCACTCCAGCCTGGGCGACAGAGCAAGACTCCGTCTCAAAAAAAAAAAAAAAAAAAAAAAAAAAAAAAAAAAAAGCCAGGCATGGTTGGTGGCTCACACCTGTAATCTCAGAACTTTGGGAAACAGGCAGGATCACTTCAGCCCAGAAGTGTGGGACCAGTCTGGGCAACATAGTGAGATCCTGTCTCTTAAAAAAAAAAAGAAAAGAATCAAAATAAAACAAGAAAACAAAAACACAGAACAAGTGCATCATCATAGTGGTGACAATTTTTAGGAAACTTTTTTTGTTTTTTTCTGTGTGAACCTAACTCATCTAATAAGGGAGTGTGTGAACATTTCCATGTTGGTCCATTTTTTATGTGCCTAAATGGACAAAGTCACCCAGGACCTGGCTGCTGGACTCATCCTTAGGAAGAATAAAGAAAAAGGAAGTTTATCTCTAGCATCTTTCTCTTGCCCTTGTTTTCTTCCTGGCCACAGTCATGCCCTGGATTTCAGTGTCTCTAAACATCTAGCAGCCTCTCACCCAGCATAACCCCTGTTGAGGTCCAGGGCACGATGGTGGGAGTGGGTGCAGAAGAGACAGAGAGACCACTGGTTTGAGTGTCTAGGGTTTGGGTCCTCAGGAAGAACTTGGCCCGGCGCGGTGGCTCACGCCCGTAATCCAAACACTTCGGAGACCGAGGCGGTTGGATCACCTGAGGTCAGGAGTTTGAGACCAGCCTGGCCAACATGGTGAAACAACGTCTCTACTAAAAATACAAAAAATTAGCCAGGCGTGGTGGCAGGCACCTGTAATCCCAGCTACTCAGGAGCTTGAGGCAGGAGAATCACCTGAACTCGGGCCGCGGAGGTTGCAGTGAGCCGAGATTGCGCCAGTGCACTCCACCCTGGGCAACAAGAGTGAAACTCCGTCTCAAAAAAAGAAAAAAAAAGAAGAAGAACTTCTTGACTTGACTCAGCAGGACTTTTTCCATGGGTCTAAAGCTAGGTGTGAAGAGAGTGAGCTCGTGGTGAGAGGAACTTGTTCATCAAAAGGAGTCCATGCCCAGTGGCAGAAGTGGAGAGGTGGGTATGGGACACACAGGGAAGCTGCTCTCTTCTGTTGTCTGTGGCTTCTGTTGGAGGATGTGCTGTGGGAATGCAAGGAGGAGATGGAAGGAAGGTGTCAATATAGCTTTAACAAAGGAAAAAAAAATGAAAACACCGAAACCACCCTTGCAAAAATTGTAACAGTGAGAAAATTATGACATTGAAAGATATCCAATCTAACCCAACTCCTTCTTGCCTTTAACCTCCAAATTGCACTTAGTCATTCCTGAGCAAAGGCCAAGCTAACTTTGGGAGAAATTTCGTTTACAGTTTAAATGATAATAGCCCTTCCCAAAACTAACCTGTCTTTGTAAAAATGATGAAAGGCCACCAGGTTAGGGAGGATGAGAGGGGCCTGAATGCAGGCTTAGATAAACAATTACCCGCCATTGTTTCAGAGGTCACAAGATTTGTAACTTCCCCAATTAGTCCTGTAAAATGATATCACTGTGGCCTTTTGAGATGTCTTTGCAGTTATTTTTTGTTTTGTTTGCTTTGAGACAAGGTCTTGCTCTGTCACCAAGGCTGGAGTGCAGTGATCATAGCTCACTGCAGTCTCTATCTCCTGGGCTCAAGTGAACCTTCCACCTCAGCCTTCCAAGTAGCTGGGACTGCAGGTGCATGCCACCATGCCTGGCCAGTTTTGTTGTTTTTTGGTTCTGGGGTGTTTTTTGCTTGTTTGTTTGTTTTGTTTTTGTATTTTTAGTAGACATGATGTCTGGCTCTGTTGTTCAGGCTGGTCTCAAACTCCTGGACTCAAGCGATCCTCCTGCCTCAGCCTCCCAAACTGCTGGGGTTACAGGCACGAGCCACCTTGCCCAGCTCAGGCTTTTCCATTTTGGAAAACCAGATGACTCCACCCAGATCCAAGACCGGTCCTATGGCCCCACTCAGAAGTGGACTCAGTGCACGAGGACCATTTTCCACATCCCTATGATTGCATCCCAATCAATCAGCAGCACCCATTCCCTAGCCACCTGCCCAGCAAACTATCTTTTTTTTTCTTTTTTTCTTGAGACTCTGTCGCCCAGGCTGTAGTGCAGTGGTGCAATCATGGCTCACAGCAGCTTCAACCTCCCTGGCCCAGCCTCCCAAGTCACTGGGACTACAGGTGTACACCACCACACCTGGCTAATTTTTAAATTTTTTGTAGAGATGGTGTCTTGCTGTGTTGTCCAGGCTGATCTCAAACTCAAGGACTCAAGCAATCCTCCTACCTCAGACTCGAAAAGTGCTGGGATTACAGGTGTAAGCTGCCATGCCCAACCCAAACTATCTTGAAAAAGCCTTCAAATTTGAGAGGAGGCTGATATAAGTAATAATAAGACTTCAGTCTCCTGTTTAACTGGCTCTATGTATATAAAACTCTTTCTCTATTGCAATTCCCCTGTCTTCATAAATTGGCTCTATCTGAGCAGCAGGCAAAATGAACCAATTGGGTGGTTACAACAGTATCAGCATATACAGTAGAATTGTAATATCCATCATATACCAACTGCAAATTAATTTTAAAAGATATATTGTTAAAACCATATAAGTGATATAAGTAATTTACAGAAGAATAAATTCAATTGAACAATAAATATGAAATTATTTTCAACCCCTCCAGTCATATAGTAAAAGTAAATTAAAACTTTTTTTTTTTTTAGACAGAGTCTCACTCTGTCGCCCAGGGTGGAGTGCAGTGGCGCGATCTCAGCCCACCGAAACCTCTGCCTCCTGGGTTCAAGCGATTCTCCTGCCTCAGCCTCCTGAGTAGCTGGGATTACAGGCGCCCGCCACCATGCCCGGCTAATTTTTGTATTTTTAGTAGAGACGAGGTTCCACCATGTTGGCCAGGCTGGTCTCGAACTCCTGATCTCAAGTGATCCATCAACCTTGGCCTCCCAAAATGCTGGGATTACAGGCATGAGCCACTGCACCCAGCTTAAAACAATGTTTTAACCTCTTGTTGATAAGAGTGTAAACTTATCACCTTTGGGGGAAGTAATTTAGTACCTATTAATATTAAACATTTTCATAACCTTTGATTTAGCATTTCCACTTAAATTAGTGCCTTAGTTAGTTTGGGCTGCTATAACAACACCACAGCCTGGATGGCTTATAGACAACAGAGGTTTATTTTTCACAGTTCATGGGGCTGGGAAGTTCAGGTATCAAGGCACTGGCAGTTAAGGTGCTTGGTGAAGGTCCTTTTTCTGTTCCCAGTTCACAGATGTCCCACCTTCATTTTCTTTCTTTTCCTTCTTTTTCTTTCTTTCTTTTTCTCTTTCTCTTTCTTTCTTTCTCTCTGTCTTTCTTCCTTCTTTCTTCTTTCTTTCTTTTTTTTTTTTTTTTTTAACAGATGAGGGTTTTCTCTGTCACCCAGGTGGCTGGAGTGCAATGGTGTAAGCTTGGCTCACTGCAGCCTCAACCTCCTGGGCTCAACTGATCTTCCCACCTCAGCCGCCCGAGTAGCTGGGACTACAGGTGCATGCCACCAGGCCCAGCTAAATTTTTGTAATTTTGTAGAGACGAGGTCTCATTATGTTGCCCAGGCTGGTCTTGAACTCCTGGGCTGAAGCAGTCCTCCCACCTCGGCCTCCCAGATGCTGGGATTACAGACGTGAGCCACCACACCCGGCCCATCCCACCGCCTTGCTGTGGCAGGGAGAGCAATAGCCTCTCTTCATCTCTTTATAAGGGCACCAATCCCATTATGCCCCCATGACTTTATCCAAACCTCATTATAGCCCAGGCCCCACCTCCAAAGACTATCACATTGGGAATTAGAGAGCTTCAACATACAGTTTGAGGGGACTACAAACATTCCATTCATGGCAACTAGGAATTTATAGAAACACTCCCTCTAGTGTGCAAAAAAGTAAGTACAAGAATTTTTGGGGTTTTTTTGTTTTTTGTTTTGTTTTGTTTTGTTTTGTTTTCTGAGACAGGGTCTCGCTGTCACCCAGGCATGGTACAGTAGCATAATCACAGCTCATTGAAGCCTCAACTTCCCAGGCTCAAGCAATCCTCCCCGCTCAGCTTCCCGAATAGCTAGGACTATAGGCATACACCACCACACCCAGCTAATTTTTTTTTTTTTTTTGAGATGGAGTCTCGCTCTGTCACCCAGGCTGGAGTGCAATGGCACGATCTCAGCTCATGGCAACCTCCGCCTCCTGGATTCAAGCAGTTCTCCTGCCTCAGCCTCCTGAGTAGCTGGGACTACAGGCGCATGCCACCACACCCAGCTAATTTTCATACTTTTAGAAGAGACAGGGTTTCACCATGTTGGCCAGGCTGGTCTCGAACTCCTGACCTCGTGATCCACCTGCCTCAGCCTCCCAAAGTGCTGGGATTACAGGTGTGAGCCACCGCGCCCAGCCTAATTTTTGTATTTTTTGTAGAGATAGGGTTTCACCATGTTGCCCAGGCTGGTTTCCAATATCTGGGTTCAAGCAATCTGCCCGCCTTAGCCTCCCAAAGTGCTGGGATTAGAGATGTGAGCCACGGCACCCACCCAAGAATGTTTTTTTGAGGCATTATGTCTACTAGTGAATAATGGGGGGGGGGGCCGTGGGGGGAGTACCAGAATAGTTAAAGTAGGCTGTGTATATACAATGAAATATCACAGTATCATTTTGTAAAGATCTATATGTATTGACATGGGAAAATGAGCACATCATAAATAAATAATAAAAGTTGCAGAACAATATAAACTGGAAGAAACATTTTTTTCAATCTTCCCCTCCATCCATCTTTGCTGATATATAAACAGGAAAAAGTTGGGGGAGAGAATACAGGAACACGGAACAAACAGTAAACAATGGTTATCTCATAGACGTGATTGGCGGCATTTTTGGTTTTGGTTTTCTTTTTGAGACGGAGTTTCGCTCTCTCACCCAGGCTGGAGTGAAGTGGCACGTTTTTGGCTCCCTGCAACCTCCGCCCCCCAGGTTCAAGCGATTCTCCTGCCTCAGCCTCCTGAGTAGCTGGGATTATAGGCACCTGCCACCATGCCCGGCTAATTTTTGTGTGTGTGTGTTTTTTTCAGTAGAGACGGAGTTTCACTATGTTGGCCAGGCTGGTCTTGAACTCCTGACCTCAGGTGATCTGCCCGCCTCGGCCTCCCAAAGTGCTACGATTACGGGCATGAGCCACTGCACCCTGCCATAGAGGGCATTTTTGCTTTCTGAGTTAGTCAGGGTTCTCCAGAGAAATAGAATATACATACATACGTACATACATACATACTTGCAGAGAGAGAAAGAGAGAGTGTGACTTATTTTAAGGAATTAGTTCACAAAATTGTGGAGGCTTGGTGAGTCCAAAGTCTGATAGGAGAGCCCAGCAGGCTGGAGACACAGGAAAGAGTTGCAGTTCAAGTCCAAAGGTGGTGTGCTGGAAACTTCTGACCAGAACAAAAGAGAGAGGACAGCCTTTTGTTCTAACCAGGTCTTCAACTGATTGGATGAAGCCCACCCTCATTACATTTAAAGTTCACCAATTTAAATGTAAATCTCATCCAAAAACACCTTCACAGAAACATCCAGAATAATGTTTGACTAAATATCTGGACACCATGGCCCAGACAAGTTGACACATAAAATTAAACATCGTAATGAGATCTGCTGCTATCTATGAATTTATGTTTCTAGTGTATTTGTAAGGTACATGGATCATTCCTTTATTTCTCTCTCTATATATATAGATATATATATACTTTTTATAATCATAAATATGTGTATGCATGCATATGTATGTATAAGAAAATATATATACATATAGACATAAAATTATGCATTTGTGCTAGGTACTTGTGATGGTTAATTTTATTTGTCAACTTGGCTAAGCCATGGTATTCAGATATTTGGTCAAACATTGTGGATGGTTTTGTGAGGGTATTTTGGATGTTTCAAATTGGTGCATTTTGAATAAAGCAGACTGCCCTCCACAATGTGAGTGGGCCTCATCCAATCATTCAAAGGCCTAAGACAAAAAGACTGAGGTCCCTGAGGAAGAGGGAATTCTGCCTCCACACCGCCTTTGGACCTGAGCTGTAACATCAACTCTTTGCTGCTGGCCTGCCTGCTCTGCAGATTTTGGATTTGCCAACCCCTATGATAGCATGAAACAGTTCTTTCATCTGATTGGTTCTAACTCTCTGGAACACCCTAACTAATACAGTGCTGTTATAGGTACTGAGAATAGAGTGATCAACAGGGAAGAAAACGTGCTGTCTTGGGGCCTTGCTGGCGGGTGGATGGTAGACACTCAATTGTGTGAGGCTCATTGGCCATAGAGGAACTCATGCAGGAGAAACTCACCTTGCCTAGGTTGAAAGGAGGGGAATCAGGCACATATTCCCCTCTGAGGAATATGTCAGCAGAGACTGGATGTGGCAAGACTACAGGTGGCGGGTAGGTGGGACAGAGTATTCCAGACCAGGGAACAAAAAGGGATAAAAGTCTTGGGGTGGAAAGGACATGTTTGAGAAACAGAAATAAGACCAGGTGCTGGGACCAGGAGTCCTACACTCATCACACTCAGTTACTCATGGGGTGACTTCAGAAGCCCTAAAAGATTTTGTTTCCCAATTTTTTTTTTTTTTTGACAAGATCTTGCTCTGTTGCCCAGGCTAGAGTGCAGTGGCACGATCATAGCTCACAGCAGCCTCAATCTCTCGGGCTCAAGTGATCCACCCACCTCAGCCTCCTGAGTAGCTGGGACTACAGATGAATGCATCATGCCCAGCCGATTTCTTTTGTTTGTTTGAGATGGAGTCTCGCTCTGTCACCCCGAGTGGAGTGCAGTGGCATAATCTTGGCTCACTGCAACCTCCACTTCCCAAGTTCAAGCTATTCTCCTGCCTCAGCCTCCCTAGTAGCTGGGATTACAGATGCCCACCACCACACCCAGCTAATTTTTGTATTTTGAGTAGGGACGGGGTTTTGCCATGTTGGCCAGGCTGGTCTCGAACTACTGACCTCAAGTGATAACGCCCGCCTCAGCCTCCCAAAATGCTGGGATTACAGGCATGAGCCACTGTGCCTGGCCCAATGCAATTTTAAGATGATTTTATGTATATTGTAGGAGAGAAAAATAGGTAAATATATTAAGAGTATTAAGAGCCAAGGCTTTCGATTGCCCTGATAAAAGATATACAAATACAAAGTCCAAGAAGAGGGAAAAACCTATAATGTACAATTTGAATTGGAAATACCAATATGAATTCATGATTTTTTTTAAACCCTAAATGTGACTTAAAGCGATGACACCTCTGTAGCAACGAGCTCTCCCAGCACTAAAGACCATTCCTCACTAAAACGAATCAATGTTCCTTAGAAAGATGGCTGATTTTGGCCAGGTGCAGTGGCTCACGCCTGTAATCCCAGCACTTTGGGAGGCCGAGGCGGGCAGATCACAAGGTCAGGAGATCGAGACCATCCTGGCGAACACAGTGAGACCCTGTCTCTACTAAAAATACAAAAAAGTAGACAGGCATGGTGGTGGGCACCTGTAGTCCCAGCTACTTGGGAGGCTGAGGCAGGAGAATGGCATGAACCTGGGGACAGAGCTTGCAGTGCGCTGAGATCACGCCACTGCATTCCAGCCTGGGCGACAGAGCAAGACTCGGCCTCAAAAAAAAAAAAAAAAAAAAAAAAAGATGGCTGATTTTGGCCAAGTGCAGTGGCTCATGCCTGTAATCCCAGCAATTTGGGAGGCTAAAGGCAGGCAGATGCAGATCACTTGAGGCCAAGAGTTTGAGACCAGCCTGGCCAACATAATGAAACCCCATCTCTACTAAAAGTACAAAAATTAGCCAGGCGTAGTGGCAATGCCTATAATCCCAGTTACTCAGGAGGCTGAGGTGG
This sequence comes from Homo sapiens, assembly GCF_000001405.40. Classification (NCBI taxonomy): domain Eukaryota; kingdom Metazoa; phylum Chordata; class Mammalia; order Primates; family Hominidae; genus Homo; species Homo sapiens. The sequence continues at coordinate 30,536,678 of NC_000006.12, forward strand.
GAGGATCACTTGAACTCTGGAGGCAGAGGTTGCAGTGAGCTGAGATCATGCCACTACACTTCAGCCTGGGTGACAGAGTGAGACTCTGTCTCAAGAAAAAAAAAGGAAAGAAAGAAAGAAAAAAGAAAAAGAAAAATGGCTGATTCCACATCTGGAGCTGGGAAAGTAAAAAAAAATTGTGCCTGGGACATCTAGTTGTGTCAAAAGCAAGCAAGTGCTCACAGAACTTTTGGGGTATGTCAGAATGGATGTAGGAGTTAGCTTAAAAGGGCTCCCACTGGGGCCCTCTCCCAATCTAGATCATTCTGGCCAATAAGGTGAAACCCCGTCTGTACTAAAAATACAAAAATTAGCTGGCCATGGTGGCATGCACCTGTAGTCCCAGCTACTCAGGAGGCTGAGGCAGGAGAATTGCTTGAACCCAGGAGGCAGAGGTTGCAGTGAGCCGAGATCGTACCACTGCACTCCAGCCTGGTGACAGAGTGAGACTCCATCTCAAATTAAAAAAAAAAAAAAAGGCTCCCACTGGACACATAAGGTACAGTTCGAGCACAAAAAAATAATGACTGTAACCAATTGTGAAATATTAAATGGATACCTGGCATGGTGTAGTCCCAGCACTTTGAGGCCAAGGCAGGTGGATCACTTAATCTCAGGCAACATGGCAAAACCCCATCTCTACAAAAAATACAAAAATCATCTGGGTGTGGTGGCATGCACCTGTGGTCCCAGCTACTCAGGAGGCTGAGGTAGGAGGATCACTTGAGCCTGGCAGGTTGAGGCTGCAGTGAGTGGTAATTGCGCCACTGCACTCCAGCCTGGGCAACAGACCGTGATGCTGTCTCAAAAAATAAAAGAAATACTGAATGGATAAAAACCCTAAATCTATAGTTTAAAAAAAGAAAAAAAATAAATTTTCTACCTTTGGAGATTAATATCATACCAATACCTTATTCTGAAAACTGGTAAAGGGAAATAAGCATTTACCTTGCCTTTTAGAAGGACCCTACTTTGGCCGGGCGCTGTGGCTCATGTCTGTAATCCCAGCACTTTGGGAGGCTGAGGCAGGTGGATCACTTGAGGTCAGGAGTTTGAGAAGGACCCTACTTTTTCCAGTTGGTGAGAGAAAGCTCCTTCCTAGGTAATTATGCCCTTATAAATGTAGAAGTGGGAGAATTAGAAAAGCACCTTTTGTAATTTCTGATGAAATAACCAATTCAAGCAAGAATCACTGTAGATGGCGATAAGAGAAAGTTTTTCAGCGTATACACACAGTGTCAAAGAACCATGCAGACGACTTGCTAATTGCCAAGAGGGAAACATAACCTTTACAGAAAAGATCTGACCGTGTCCATCCTAACCAAGCAATCATACTTAGCATCACTGCTTGTGGGATGGCTTCATATCATATGCCTTCTGATGTGAGGCAATGTGACATATATAGCAAGTTTGAGGAATTAGTCCCAAGACTGGGTAACCTGAATCTAACCAAGAAATTGGGGGAAAACCCCTCAAAACTCAGGGAGACAGATGAACACATTAAGTGACATCAAAGAAACAGTAAGACAAATCTAGAATGTTGAACAGTCTAAAAGACAACTGCCCTAGTATCCTCAAAGATCCAATTCCAAGAAGAAAAAAACTGGATGATTGTAGATTAAAAAGAAAGGGGTGAGAAAAGGACATAAAAAAATGCAATGTTGAAACTTGATTGGTTCCTGTTCTGGGAGTTTTTTAAAAGCTATATATTAAAACATCATGCTATACACCATAAATCTATACAATTTTTATTTGGTAATTATACTTAGGAAAAATTAAATGCTATAAAAGGCATTCAAATTGGAGAAGTTTAATGCTAGATGACATTAAAAATTATTAACTCATTAAACATGATGATTCTATTATGATTGTGTAAGAGATGTATATGAAGTATTTAGGGGTGAATGGTCATGATGTCTGCAAGTTTCTTTTTTTTTGAGATGGAGTTTTGCTCTGTCACCCAGGCTAGAGTGCAGTGGCACTATCTTGGCTCACTGCAACCTCCACCTCCCAGGTTTGAGCAATTTTCCCACCTCAGCGTCCTGAGTAGCTGGGATCATAGGCATGTACCACCATGCCCGGCTAATTTTTTGTATTTTTAGTAGAGACGGGGTTTCACCATGTTGGCCAGGCTGGTCTCCAACTCCTGGCCTCAGGTGATCCGCCTACCTCGGCCTCCCAAAGTACTGGGATTACAGGTATGAGCCACCATGCCCAGCCGATGTCTCCAACTTTCAAATGGTTCAGGGCTGGGTGCAGTGCAATCCCAGCACTTTGGGAGGCCGAAGGAGGCGGATCACCTGAGGTCAGGAGTTTGAGGCCACCTTGGCCAACGTGGTGTAATCTCGTCTCCACTAAAAATACAAAAATTAGCCAGGCATGGTGGTGCACACCTGTAGTCCCAGCTAATGGGGAGGCTGAGGCAAGAGAATCACTTGAACCCGGGAGGCAGAGGTTGCAGTGAACCAAGATTGCACCACTGCACTCCAACCTGGGTGACAGAGCAAAACTCCATCTCAAAAAGAAAAAAAAAGTTCAAATGGTTGAGAAAAGACAACACTTGTATACTGTTGGTAGGAATGTAAATTAGTACAGCTATTATGGAAAACTGTATGGCGGTTCCTCAAAAAACTAAAAATAGAATTACCATATGGGGCTGGGCACAGTGGCTCACACCTCTAATCCCATCATTTTGGGAGGCCAAGGTGAGCGGATCACCTGAAGTCGGGAGCTCGAGACCAGCCTGGCCAATATGGTGAAACCCCATTTCTACTAAAAATACAAAAATTAGTTGGGCGTGGTGGTGGGCGCCTGTAATCCCAGCTACTTGAGAGGCTGAGGCAGGAGAACCGCTTGAACCCGGGAGGCGGAGGTTGCAGTGAGCTGAGACCGTGCCATCGCACTCCAGCCTGGGCAACAAGAGTGAAACTCCATCTCAAAAAAAAAAAAAAGAATTACCATATGATCCAGCAATCTTGCGTCTGGGTATTTACTAAAGAGATTTGAAATCAGTATGTCGAGGAGATACCTGCACTCTCATGTTCGCTGCAGCACTATTAACCACAGTGAAGTTACATAGTCAAACGAGTGTTCATCAGCAGATGAATGGATAAAGAAAATATGGTATATAGGCCGGGCGCAGTGGCTCAAGCCTGTAATCCCAGCACTTTGGGAGGTCGAGGCAGGCGGATCACGAGGTCAGGATATCGAGAGCATCCTGGCTAACACGGTGAAACCCCATCTCTACTAAAAGTACAAAAGAATTAGCTGGGCGTGGTGGCAGGCGCCTGTAGTCCCAGCTACTCTGGAGGCTGAGGCAGGAGAATCACTTCAACCTGGGAGGCGGAGTTTGCAGTGAGCTGAGATTGCACCAGTGCACTCCAACCTGGGTGACAGAGCAAGACTCCGTCTCAAAAAAAAAAAAAAAAAAGAAAGAAAGAAAGAAAATATGGTATATATACCGTGGAATGCTATTCAGCCTTTAAAAAGAAATTTTGTCATTTGAGACAGCGTTAATGGAATTGGAGAACATTATGCTGAGTGAAGTAAGCCAGGCACAGAAAGACAAATACTGTATGTTCTCACTTATAAGTGGAATCTAAAACAATCGAACTTAAAGGAGGAGAGAGCAGAATAGTAGTTACCAGAGGCTGGGGGTCTGGGGTAAATGGGGATATGATGGTTAAAGGTTACAAAGCTTCATTGGACTGGAAAAATAAGCTTTTCTTTTTCTTTGAGATATACTGCACAGCAAAGTGAATATAGTAAATAATTCTTGGACATTTCATAAGTGTTGAGGGTAAATATCTTTTTTACATTTTTAACATATTCCCTCCTCTGAATGTAGAGAGTAAATTTCAAACATTCTCACCACAAAAAAAGTAAGTATTTAAAAGTGATAGATGTTGGGCCGGGTGCAGTGGCTCACGTCTGTAATCCCAGCACTTTGGGAGGTGGAGGTGGGTGGATCACCTGAGGTCAGGAGTTGGAGACCAGCCTGGCCAACATGGTGAAACCCCGTCTCTACTAAAAATACAAAAAATTAGCCGGGCATGGTGGCGGACGCCTGTAATGCCAGCTACTCGGGAGGCTGAGGCAGAAGAATCACTTGAACCCGGGAGGCGGAAGTTGCAGTGAGCCGAGATTGCACCACTGCACTCCAGCCTGGGCAACAAGAGTGAAACTCCATCTCAAAAAAAAAAAAGTGATAGATGTTAATTTGCTTGATTTAATCATCCCACAGTGTATTCATGAATCATAACATCACTTTGTACGCCATAAATATATACAACTATAATTTGCCAATTTACAATTAAAGGTTAAAATTTTTAAAAATAAAAGGTAATGACAACAAAAAAAATGGATAAGTAGACAGAAAAATCGATTAATACAGAAGCTGGCAAAAACTAGTAAAGCAAATATGGCAAAATGTAGAATTTGTTGAATCTTTCAGTATTTGGGTGTTTATTGTTCTTTTTCTATGTTAGAAATTTTTCAAAATAAAAAGTTGCAAATGATTTCCATATTATTCTGATTTTTACACAGTAACAGAAAACATTCCTGGCTGCAGCTCATTAATATTTCTTCTTTGTTCTCCTGAGGAATCAAAAGATTCTCATTTATGATATGTCAAAAGGCACATAAAGAAACATATCCAAACTTTGTTGTCTCTTCATTCAAGTTTGGCTTTAATATTTTATTAAAAATTTTTGTATTTGTAAATATTAAAACACTGAAACTTGCTACTGACACAAGAACGACAATGCACTAACAATAAAATCAAAGTAGAAGCTAAACTATTCAGAAGCAGTAGCAACTCCATGATTCCAAGGTAATTTAAACAGGCAATTTCAGAGTGCTTCAAGATGAAGGCGCAAAGCAGCCTCTCAGCCTGCAGTGATGCTACGACACCGGCAGATGGCGCTGCAAAGCTTCTCAAATGCAGCGGGAAGTCCATTTACCAACGGCTGTTGCGATCTCTTAATTAGCTTGAACTGAGTTTGTATTAGAATTTATAATTTTTACTGCATATTGCAGTTACTCGTATATTACTGACACTGGAACAGACATGTTTTAACAAACTGGTTGAGCCGTATCAGTGCGAACCAGCTGAATGTCAGCGCTGTTCCCTCCTGTGACAGAAGCCACCGGCGCCTGCCTGAGGGCACTCCCCTCACTGGGACTCTCAGTACCACGCCCACCTGTCCCCAAGGTTTGTTTCATCACTAAGCCCCACCTTCCAGCATTTTCACCTTTCTCCTTCACTTGATCCTTCTTCCTAACATCGTGTTAACACACTCCAAACTAAAAAAGTTCCTCAACTGCATATACTCTGCTCCCTCCATTTTTTTCTTTCATTGCAATCACTGCCAAACATTTTGAAAATTCTCTCCTCACCTCCACTGCCTTTACGCTTTTCCTCCAAATTATTCCTTAACCCTCTGACATCTGGGGCTTCTGATTCCACCTCTCCAAAGAAATGCTCCCACCAAGACCATGGAGGCCCCTCTCGTTGCTGGTGGATACTCGTTCATTTTCCCCGCCACCACCCATCAGCAGCGTTCCACGCCGCCCTTCCTTCCTTCCTTCCTCCCCTAGCTTCATCACACCACGTTACTAGGTTTTTCCTGTCTCACTGGCTCCTTTCCCTGCTCTCCTTTTTATATGTTTCCTGCTTTCTTCCTCAGCCTTCTCTGCTCCCCACACCTATATGTTGATGATGCCCAAATCTCTGTCTCCAGCCACGACCTCTCTTTCCCCAAGCTCCATTTGCATAAACTGTCTCTGATGAGATTTAGGGCGCTTACGGTGGTATGGCTGTAGACAACTGTCTCAGGAAACAGACCCATGACCCACCCAGTTGCCAAGTCAGAAACAGGATGTATACTCTTGACTTGTCTCTCTCCCCTACACAGCAAAACAATCCCAAGACATGTCAATTCTATCTCCTGAGCAACCCATAAAACGATTTCTCTTCTTTCCATCTTCCATTACCCTAATTCTGGTGTTCATTCTCTCTCCCTGGGATGGCTGTAAAAGCCTCTGATTTCTCCCCTTTCCAAACCAGTCTCCACACTGCAACCATAGTGATCTAAGGCACAATTCTCACCTTTTCAGTCTTAGGCTTAAAGTTCAACATCCCTCTGGATACAGTCTAAATCTTTAACACGGCTGAAAAGGCCCAGCAAGAGCTGGACCAAGCCCACCTCTCCAGCTTCACCTTTCCTCATTTCTCCTTTGCACCCTCTGCCTCTGAACAAGTTACAGTCTTCCAAAGTTGTCATGTTTCTTGACCTTTGCTGTCTCCTCTGCCCAGAATGCAATTTCCCTGTCTGGCTAACTCCTGTCCAGCATTTGGCCTCAGCATGGACATCTGTTCCTCTAGGACGCTTCCCCTGATTCACCAAGACCAGCTTAACTGCCCCTACTGGCTGTTCCTATAGCAATTCTTTACCACAGACTACTGATTTTTTGTGTTTGTTTTGTTTTGGCAGTCTGACATAACTTTATACTAATGCAGCTTCTAGCCCTGTCCCCCACTCCTTCCTGATCAGTATCCCAATGTCCCTCCTATATGGAGCCACCACTACCCCACAGGATCCTGTACCACCCTTCTCCCAGAACTTATCACACTTTTTTTTTGTAATTGTGTTTCCATTCTCCAATAAATTGTGAGCGCCACAAAGAACCATTTCTATCTCACTTACCACTTGGAAGTGACTGGCAGGTAGTAATTGCTCAACAAATGTTCTATGAGTGAATGAATCCTTGGGATAATTATAGTACTAACCATCTTATTTAGTTATGACAGTTCAATAGAAACACGTAAAATAATGCTTTTATAGTTTACATACTGCTATAGAGCTATTGTATTATATTATTATTATTCTATTCCTACCCTCTATTGCTTGAGAGTAGGATATTGCCTTATTCAATTTTGGTTATTGTCCCAGAACTCAGGGATATATGTCTGGCATATATTGTTTTTAACCAATTTTTGTTGACTGTATCAATGATTGTAAGAAGTGAACAAAGGGCCAGATAATTGAACTATCCTGGACCACACACAGCTACCCTGTTCCAGAAGCAGGACTATAATCCCATCTGGAAAAAGGGAAACTTGGAAGTTGACATCTAAATGAAATTCCAGCATGGATGAGAGAAGCCCTGATTTCTCTCCATCAAGAGACTAGCCAGCTATGGAAGCCACCAGAGCCCCAGACCTCCATGGTCAAGTATTCACATAGTAGACATGACCCAGACAAGAGGGTGCGTATTTCAGCGTGGAGGGGAGACTGGGCCCTTGGTTTCCTGTGTCTTTGTAGTCAGTTCTAACCTCAGCCTCAGGCACTGGTGTTGGGGCCCTATTCATCCTCATCTGCACGTCCCTCAGTTCTTTTCCTGTTGCTATTATCCTATAGAGTCAGCAAGTCATGGAAGAGGTTTTACAGTCTAACCCTGTGGGGGTGTCAGGAGTTGCCTCCTGCCAGGTCTTCAGCATAAAAATCCCCCCTCCTCAGCTCCCAGTCAATTCTTCATCCCCACCCCTAGACTCTCCCAAATACCCCTGATGAAACCCCTGAGGTGGAAAAAGATAAAGACAAGCAAAGATAAACAGCACAGGAAGCAGAGGTACAAATAGAATTCTGATTTTTCTCCTTTCTCTCCATATTTTGAGGAAATGAATCCAATGTCCTCACCCCACCTCCTGCAGCGGAGAAGTCCCCTGAGCATCTCTGAACATCATGAACCCTCAAAGTAAGCTTAGCTTGGGCCCCTTTTCCTTTTCTATCAGTGAGGCCAAAGAGCCCCAGATGGGAGACAGGTGGATTTTTCTCTCAGCTGGGACCTTTTCTCTTTCTTGTCTAGCACATTTTGGGAAACCTTCAAGTACATTCTCATGCTGGTATTATTTAAACTTTGCACTGGAGTGAATTCCAGGAGTTATGTCCACACTGAGACCAATGGAGATGAACCTAAAGCAATATGTGGCCAAACACCTTAGCCTCTTTAAATATACTTTCCTTTGCTCCTTGGTTAACAGGGTCTGTCTGCTCGCATTAGAGAAACTGCCCAGTGACTCAGATCCTGAAAGGATCTGCTTTAGAGAAAAAAGGAGTCTGGTACTTCTCACTCCATCTAGTGGGCAACCTGTCCAACTACACTTTTTGCTATCATCCAATACAGACAACACTGGCAGTCAATAAAAAAGCTCATTCTCCCATTTCTAAAAGAATTCAATCTAGGAGTCTAGCTGCTGGCTTAACAAAGGGATATACAGCAAAGCCTAAGGTGCCCTGACTCACGAGAGAGCTGATTTCTGCCGAAATGCTGAGGTGAAACCCTAAAATGGTTCTGGCCACCTGCTAGGTTCTAGCTCAGACCCTGCACTGGATCATCTTTGTTCCACCCCCAAACCAGAGTAAATGGAATTCAGGAGGCTGGTTCTGTGCCCGCCCCTATGTACCTCAAATACTCGTAGCTGCCAAGCTTTTAAACAATGAAACTTAACACTGTACTTAAAGGGCTGTTCTGCTCAAATCATAAATGTGCACGCTAGTTGTTCACCAGTAATTAAAACTACTCGTACACATTTAATCAACATTTTCACAAGCGTTTTGCCTTAACTAAAAATTTGTATCAACATGAAGTCCTAGAATTATACTGCATGAGCCCCCAGGATTTGGAGAACATCATTCACCCTTCTTAATCCAAAAACTTGGGTGCCTGAAGGTGGGGTTTTGATCATGGCCAGGCTTCAAATTTAGGTCAGGCTCTGGTGGTACATCCTTATATGCTTGGTGCTCAGCACAGGTCAAGACACACAATAGACCCTCAATAAATATTTGCTGAATTTGAACAATTCCTGTAAAAATCTCATTAAGAGACATCAGCTTGGGACACAGTTCCTCTCTTACTGTTCCTTCTCCCAGAAGCTCCTGGAATGAGCAGGTCTGGCGGCAGGGGGCACACAGGGCTGCTGCTCAAATCGGAGAATGGCACAAACTCCAAAAGGGAGCTGGATTTAGACCTCCCCTCCCCATGTAGATAACGGGATTCCTAAGGTGCAGAGTGGGAGAATGGGTAGAGGAAGCAGGTTTCAGAGACTGAGAACCTACTAAACTCCTAAGAGAACTTTCCCTTGCAAAGAGAATGCATGAAAAAAGAAGGGAGAAGAGGAGAGAAGCCTCCCACAGCTGTTAGCCTGGAACAGCCGCTCTCACCTCAGTTCATCTGGGGAAGGGGCTACAAAGCAAACAATCTTTATTCACAATTGGGGTGGCAGAGGGGAGATACCCCCAGGTCAGTCCAAAAGCAAAGATACTGGGAGGGAAGATGGCGCTGGGCGAGGAACTCAGCACTCATCCTCACCCAGCAGGGCATAAGGGTTTCGGCCAGCCAGGCTGGACCCTGGAGCCGAGGTTGGGGTCTCCTCATCCCCTTCTCCCTCCTCATCCGCATCCCGGTCCTCCTCTCCCTCCTCCTCACAGGAGCTGCTCAGCTCTTCCTCTTCCTCCTCCTCCTCGTCACCTGCTGGCCCCACCCTGCCCTGCAAAACCACCAGCTCCGTGGTCTCTGGATGGGACTCCCAGGTGCCTGGGGAACCAAAACAAGAAAAAAATGGAGGAGAGTTTTGAGCAAGAACTAAAGCCAAGGAAAGATGGGGAAGAGGCAAAGACTAGGAATAACAATAATCTTTAGAGCTGCTGGCATTCATTCATTCATCCATTCATTCAACTTCCTATGTGCAGATTGCTGAACAGAACCTTTGTGCACATCAACTTCAATCTTTACAATCACTATGCTAAGGGTCAATTATTACCCTCAGTTTGCAGATCAGGAAAATATCACAGATGTTAAGTAACAGAGCTAGCCAACAGGTACAGAATCCAGGTTTGACCCTCTCTCTGGCCACAAAGCCCACACCCTTTTACCTACGCTATAGCAGGGGGCTGGGGAAGAATATCTGGGCTCTGACCTTTCTGTTCACTGTAGCCTGGGGGATGAAAACACAGGCTGAGGCGGCCGTCCACTGCCAGCCGCAAGAGACTGTTGGCTGCTCTGTACACATCATTCCGAGCCGCCTTGGCTGTCTTGTAACCACGTTTCTCTGCCCAGGCTGGAGGAAGAAAAGAATAATGGAAAGGGAAAGCATTAACCAGGTACCAGTTATACTCCCACTCCCATAACACAGTCCTTCCAGTTTTCCCCAAAACATTCCAGGCCAGAGATCTTACTGGCTATGCAACAAAAATCTAGGGGTGAGTGGACAGCAGCTTCATCAATGGCAGAATCTCTGAGGAGAGGAAAGGAGACAGGGAAGGGTAAAAGGCGAGGCAGGTAAGGAAGAGCAGCTGAAACCAGGTGGGGCGAAGCCAGGCACATGGAACTCACCTTCACAGATGTCCCAGGCACACCAGGGGTGTTCCGCTGAGGGGTCCTCAGCCTCTGGGTGGCGCAGGTGGAGCAGGGCCTGCACGGGAATTCGGGAGGCCAGGTAGCCCACAGCAGTGTAGGGCTCCTGGATCTGGGCGATAGGGTAGATCCCTGCCAGAACCTGAGGGAAATGAGCACTCAGTACTTTCCTCAATGTCCCACCTTCTCTCTTTCCCTTACCCACCCTCCCCGTCATACCTGCAACTGCCTAGGCAGAAGAGATGGGAAGATGAGGCCTGGGCAGTCACAGAGCTTCACAGAGGGGGTAAGAAAGTAGGTCTGAAAGTATCGGGTATGGCCCGGGGTTCTGGAGACACTCACGACTTTCCGCCCCACCAGCCCATTGATCAGCGAGGACTTTCCCACATTAGGGAAACCTGAGGAAGGCAAGGAAAATTAACGTTTAACAGGTTTCTACTCTGTGATGGGACTTGGTGCTATACCTATAGGTAAAAGGGGAACTAAGGCTCAGAAATTAAGGAAATGGTATTGCAGAATACAAATCACGCTCTGGGCTGCCAGGGTTAAATCCTGGCCCTTCCACTTACCAGCTTTGTGATGTCAGGGCAACTAACTTTCTGAGCCTCTGTTTCTTCATTTTACAGTGTGGACACCTCCCTACCTCAGGGTGGTCAGGATTAAATGAGATAACCAATACAACTTGTGTGGGTCAGTGCCTGCAGTACAGTAAGTACCCAGTACCAGTGATCCACATCTCATAATTACTATGACTTGGCCTGGCACAGTGGCTCACGCTTGTAATCCCAGCGTGATTACTTTGGGAGGCCAAGGCGGGTGGATCACCTGAGGTCAGGACTTCAAGACCAGCCTGGCCAACATGGTGAAACCCCATCTCTACTAAAAATACAAAAATTAGCTGGGCGTGGTGGTGGGCGCCTGTAATTGCAGCTACTTGGGAGGCTGAGGCAGGAGAACCACTTGAACCCAGGAGGCGGAGGTTGCAGTGAGCTGAGATTGCACCATTGCACTCCAGCCTGGGCAATAAGAGGGAAACTCCATCTCAAAAAATAATAATAATAATTACGATGACTTGTCCAAGGAGAAAACTGGAAGCCTTGGGGCTCACTGCCACTCTGCTCACTCACCACCACCAGTTTTTGTGTTTCTGGCTGACTTCAGTGCCTTCATCTCCCTTCCACAGAGCATCTCCTTTACCCCACCTCAGCTGCCCACTCCCATGGTAATACCTGCATCTTGTCACTTCACAGCTCCAAAGCCTCAATTCCAAGCACCCCTCTCTGCCCTGACAACTCATCTTTCCAGCTCACTTACTCTGGTTACTCCATGCCAGTAAGTCTTTGACCCCTGACCTTAACACAGTAACACTATGCAATACCCAACTCGTGTCCTCAATTTCCTTCTTACTTGACTCAGATTTCATGATCCAGCTCCTCAGCCAGGCCCGTTCACAGACCTGGAACTCCCTGGTCCCACTTCTCCCCTCTATCTTACTCACCTGGCAAAATCCCAACCCTGTAAAATCCAGCTCTGCCCATTCAGCACTGCTCCTGGGCAGCTGACTGTGGCTAAGAAAAGATGTACCACTGTGCTCACTCTTTACAACACATGCAAGTATCTAGGAGGAAGGGAGGGAAGGAGGGAGAAAAAAGTTCTCCTTTGACGACCACCACCAGACCTAGTTCTCTGTCCGCTTTGCAGGAAAACTCCTTAAAAGACTTACCTACTTTTTTCACCATTTCTTCCTGCTATCTTCTTTGTAACTGTAAACTACAACATACAAAAAAATGCACAGAACATACATGTGCAGCCTGATGAACCCCATACCACCCAATGTGTGACAACATGTTCCATCTGTCCTTGTTTTTTTTGTTTTTGTTTTTGAGACAGAGTCTCACTCCCTCACCCGGGCTGGAGTGCAGTGGTGCGATGTTGGCTCACTACAACCTCATCCTCCCAGGTTCAAGCGATTCTCGTGCCTCAACCTCCTGAGTAGCTGAGACCACAGGCGTGCGGCTCCACACCTGGCTAACTTTTTGTATTTTTAGTAGAGATAGGGTTTTGCCATGTTGGCCAGGCTGGTCTCAAACTCCTGACCTCAAGTAATGCGCCTGCCTCAGCCTCCCAAAGTGCTAGGATTACAGGGATGAGCCACCATACCGGCCGCCACTCATCCTTCTTGATCATAATCCTCTCCCTCTATACATGCAAGCTTTATCCTTTTAAGGAAATCAACTCCTTACATTTCTCTTTAGTTTATGACCTGTGTATCTCTCAACAATGCAGCTTAATTTTGCAGCTTTCAAACTTGATAGAACTGAAATTGTGCAGTATGGATGCTATTGGGTCAGACTCTTTTCACACAATGTTATGTGAAGTTGTTGCACCTTCTCTCATGGGCCTACTCCAGTTTGGCTTTCTCCACCCCACTGAAACCACGGATCTTCACATTGCCAAGCCTGCTGAGCAGCTCTCTGTTCTCTCATTTGGCCTGTCAGCAACAGTTGACACAGCTGATTCCTCCTTTCCTCTTCAAACACCTTCTTCATTTGACTTCTGGGACGCTCCCTTGGTTTTCCTCCTTCTCACTGTCCTTTGCCCAACTAAATGCTGGCTTGTCCTAAGGCTCAGTCCTTGACCTCCTCTTCTCCAACTATTTCCTTTCTCTCCTACATCTCATCCAATTCCATGGCTTTTTTTTTTTTTTTTTTGACGAAGTCTTGCTCTGTCACCCAGGCTGGAGTGCAGTGGTATGATCTTGGCTCACCGTAACCTCTGCCTCCAGGATTCAAGCAATTCTCCTGCCTCACCCTCCTGAGTATCTGGGACTACAGGCACGCACCACCACACACGGCTAATTTTCTGTATTTTTTGGTAGAGACAGGGTTTCACCATGTTGGCCAGGCTGGTCTCAAACTCCTGGCCTCAAGTGATCCACCTGCCTCAGCCTCCCAAAGGGCTGGGATTATAGGCATGAGCCACTGTGCCCAGCCTAATCCTGTGGCTTTAAATACCACTTATATCCATCAATGGTTCCCCAAATTTAAATCTTTCCCAAATTCAAATTTCCGTCCTCTTCTCTCCCCTAAGCTGCTGACTACTTACCCACTGCCTATTCAACATCTCCACTAGGGATATTTAAAAAGAATCTGAAATTTCATTTCTGATTCCCCTCTCCTCCCCAAAGCCTTCAAATCTGCTTCTCCCCCAGTCTTCCCATCTCAGTATTTCCAGTTGCTCAAGACAAAAACCTGGAAGTCCTTCTTTATCCTCACTTTCCTTCACGTGCCAACTGCAAGCCATCAGCGATCTCATTTTCTCTACCTTCAAAATATATCATGCTTCCGGCCCTGTCTCACCACCTCCAGCTCCAGCATCCTACTCTAAGCAACTCTTATTTCTCTCCTAGATTACTGAAATAGCCTCAACTGCTCTCTCTGCTCCCTTTCTTGCCCACCCCCCATCATTTATTCTCTACTCAGGAGGTAAACTTATAAGAAACAAAATCAGATCCTATCATTCCCCTGTTCAAAACCTACCCTTGGCTTCTCATGAGACTTGGAATAAAATCCAAAATGGCTGTCACAGCCTCAGGGCTCTACATGATGTGGGCCCTGGTGATCTTGCTGACCTCATCCCCAGTACTTTATCCTGGCTCCCATACTCCAATCCCCTGGGCACTCTTGCTGGTCCTAGAATCTCCAAGCCCGTTCCCTCCTCAAGACCCTTTCCCCACAGTTCTGAATGGCTCACTTCATCTCATCATCCAGTTCTCTCCTCAGGGAGGTTTTCCCTGAGCACCTCTCCTCTCAGTCACTCTCTATCCCCTTTCATTGCTTTATTGCCTTCACTGCCCCTACATGATTTCGGATCACAAAATCTATTTACTCACAAGAAAATAAGCTCCATGAATCTACAGACCTTTTTGCCATTTCCACAGCAGTATGTCCCATCCCTAGAATATCTGGCACCTGGTTAAGTGTTCAGTACATATTTGTTGAATGGGTAAATGAATGAGAGCTGGAGGGAAATCCAAACTCAGGGGTGCCTGTGCCACAGCAAACACTCTCCCTCTCACACCACCTGGAATAGAGATCAGCTAGAGCAGAGGCTGCTAAGAGAGGGAACAGAGGCTCCTTGTGACAGGGAGACTAGGATCAGAAGTCAGGGAAGGGACAGCCGGGTGAAATGACTGGAAAGAGGAGCAATCACTCAGCAGTAAGGCAGGTTCTTCCAAAGACAAAAAGGACACAGAGATAAGTCAGGGCACTTCCAAGGAACCCAACTACCTACTCCACACTCCCAAATTTATTCTGGGTTGGGCCCTTTTTGGTTCCAATATCACCTCAGATACCATAACTTGTCCAAGGTCTCTTCTTACCTCTCCCACCCTAAATGAAGACGGGCCCTGGGTCCTAATCATACATTCCTTTTTCCTCCACTGTGAGCTGAGACAAAGCCCTTAAGAGGAGATTCTCCTTGGCAACAAACTTAAAGGGTTAAAACCTAGAAGAATACTAATTCTTGCTGAGCTCCTACTATGATTTGATAATCACTGTACTACAGACTAATTACTACAATTCAAATGGTTTATATAAACCACTTAAAACAGTGCCTGTTACATAGTAAGCACCATATAAATACTGAGTTTTAACAATAATAATTGTTATTATTGTTATCACTATTTGTCAGGCATTCTTACACTCTCTTAACACTATTCCCATCATTCCTCACATCCATTCTTTTTTTTTAAAGACAGGGTCTCTATCAGCCAGGCTGGAGTGCAGTGGCACAATCATAGCTCACTGCAGCCTTGAACTCTTGGGCTCAAGTGATCCTCCTGCCTCAGCCTCTGAAGTAGCAGAGACTACAGGCACATACCACCACACTTGGCTAGTTTTCTTTATCTTTTGTAAAGATGGGGTTTCACTATGTTGCCCAGACTAGTCTTGAGCTCCTGGTCTCAAGCAATCCTCCCACCTCAGCCTCCCAAAGCGCTGGGACTATATAGGCATGAGCCCTCACACATGGCCGTCATCCATTCTTTTACTCAGGTATCAATGTCCTTATTTTTAAAATCAAAGTAACTAAGACTCAGAGTAGCAAAATCA
Organism: Homo sapiens; assembly: GCF_000001405.40. Classification (NCBI taxonomy): domain Eukaryota; kingdom Metazoa; phylum Chordata; class Mammalia; order Primates; family Hominidae; genus Homo; species Homo sapiens. The sequence continues at coordinate 30,552,244 of NC_000006.12, forward strand.
CTTACTCAAGACCTCACAGCTGAGAAGAGGTGGAATTTAACTCAGGCTGTCATGATCCTTCCACTGCAGCAGACGCCTCTTCTGCCTTGCCCACCGCCACTGGCAGAGATCACCCCTCAGACACCCTGGGGCCTAATGAGACCTGATCGCCCTCTCTCTTCTCCGAATATGAAAACTCTGTACCTCCTTGGAGGCCACCACGCACAAGCTGCCACTTCCTTACCCACACAGCCGATGGTCACCACCCCATCCTTGTAGCGCTCTTGGGTTGGGCCAGTTGGCTCCATTGCTGAATCAGTCTGCTGCTCCACCAGGACTGCTGGGCCATCCTCCTCTTCCTCCTCCTCCCCAGAGCCATTACCCCAGGTGGCCCCAGCCACATCCCGAGCAATCTTCTCCCGCCAGCTGCTCAAGTCCACTGCTCAAAGAAGGAGAAGATTAAAGAGGTTCTCCCCAGGGCTGCTGTGCATGATGGCACATACTGTGCCCTGCACAGATTATGTAACTGGCACCCTCTGGAGTTGTACAGTGCCAACCTAAATAAGAGCAGGTCAGAGAATCTCCCAAAAGTCATTTGACCCTACCCTCCCTGGAATCACGCACGTTTCTCTGAGCTTCTGAAAAGTACTGGGAAGGCTAAAGGCAGCAAGCCACTGAGGCTCCTGACTACCTGCTGCCTCTCGTCCCACCAAGTCAGTCTGCTCCTTATTCTGTCCCTTCCCCTGGCCTCTTGCACATATCCACCATAGAGGGGTTGGCTTCAGGAAAGGTGAGCAAAATGATTCTGCATCTTTGGTCTCCCCCATGTCCTCCTACAGCCCTCCTCTAAGGGCCACATACCTTTCCCCACAGTGATGGCTTCACAGGCTCTCAGCAACTGCTCTGGCCCCAGGGCCCGAGTCCATCCTCTCCCCCGCCTCCGACTCTTCTTCAAGACTGAGATCAGAGGGCACAAAAGGATGGGCACACGGGCTTAGGCCTCTCATCTCTCCCACCACCCTTAGGCCCAAGACCAGGTGCCCCCTTGTCAATAAGCCTCTCTGTTCTCCCCTTTGTCCCCTGCCAACTCACCTCTCCCAAGTTGCCCTCTCTCATTGCCCACTCACCACTACTAGGGTCCTGTGGGGTGCGGGGGTCCCGAGGAAAAGAGGTGAAAAGGACGACGTGGAGCTGGGGATAGTGTTGATGGAAATAATGCTTCCAGGCAACCACAAGAGCTGGCGGGGCCAGATCCACCTTGTTCAAAACCAGCACCAGGGCCAGTCCAAGTTCTCCAGTCACATACTCATAAAGTGCTGGCGGGAAATTCACAACCTAGGACAGAGTTGATAAGAGGATGGAGCAGTGAAAGTCAACCCAGAGTTCTCTGCCTCCAGCTCCCCACTCAGCAGGTGTAGCTCAGAGACAAGGCCCTGGTGGTAGCAGACTCTGGGCTAAAAACTATAAACCAGACAAACTGAAAAACAAAGACAAAACAGGGGTTAGTAATACTTCTGAGTCTCAGAGGGCTTCCTATAGGTCATGATTAGAGATGGAAATGAACCCAAAACAAGACAAGGAAACAGCATCACTTAGCACACTGAGGTAAAGGCTGGGATCGGAAACAGGGATGGGGGTTAGGGTAGAAATTAGTCTGCTTTTTTGTGTGTGCACAACTATGTAAGTGTGTACACGTGCATATATGCATGCATGCAAGTACGTGCACATGTGTGCATGTTTGTGTGTTAATGTGACTGTGAACATGTGTGCAAACATGCCTGTGTATATTGATGTGCACATGATGTACGTGTGAGTATGTGTGTGTACATATTATTAAGGACCTCCAACCTAAATGGTCCTCACAGACCTCCCTTTCTCCCACTGGAGGACAAGAGTGAAGTTGCAGAGCTAGGATTCACACAGGGCAGTCCAGCAGCAGTCTACAGCCTTAACTACTACTCTAGCATTCCAGGTGGGTTCTGTAGCAACTGATGTGGCAGTGCTAGAGAAATGAGATAAGGAAGAAAGGGCATCTTTGGGCTGGGCAGGAGGAAGTCCCCAGCTGCATTCATAGAATCCCTGGAGCTCCAACACTTGGATTTTCTATTGGTCTGTGATGAGCTAAAGGACAGGACATGGCTGTTTTGAAGAGAAGAGTGAGCTGGCCAAGGGAGGAATGACAGGCTATAAGAGAATAAAAAACTGAGTTCCTAACTGCGGACATCAGCACTAGGTAGAGATTAGAAAGACAGGAAGATAGATACCTCTCTGTCTCCCAACTCTTGCCTCTGACCTTTGCCCCTGAAAAACCTTTCTCCCTCCTCCTTGCCCACCCTTATCCCTAGTACTCACTGGATGTCGGATATCAGTGATAAGCAGGACGATGTCAGACATCTCTAACACCCGCCACAGCTGCCTCCATGTCTAAAAAGACAGGATCAGGAAGAGAAACTGAAAACAGAGTCCCTCTCCAGCCTGATCCCAAACCAATTTGACCATAGGTCACTATGCCCCACTCCTGTCCCTAGAGTACACTGTCACCTCCAGATTGTGCTCAAAGTAGCTGAGTTTCTCAGAGGAGTAAGCCCCATGAATCTTCCCAAGATAGTCTTGGAAGCTCCGTTCCTCTTGGCTCATTAGTTGCTCCTTGGACATCTCATAGCTCCAAGGAGGACGTCGAGGAAAGTCCAGAACTGGGAATTCAGGAAAAAGTCCAAGTGTGAGGAAATCTTCAGGATTCAAGAGTACATCCCAGACCCCTCCTTCCTCACAGTCGGCTTTTACCTTTCCAAACTCCTTCCCCAGCCCAATGCCTGTCTTGCTCTCACTCACCTGAGCCAGGCTGATACACCTCCCGGATGTCCAGCTCCAACAACTCAGCACTGACCGGCTGTAGAACTTGCTCCCGGGCTGCTCTCTTTCTCCTCTCTACCTCCTCCCTGCTGTCTCTCTCAAAATGCAGTCGGTATCTAAGGGAACAGGGACCGAGACATCCAGAGCAATCCTGTGGCCACAAACTCCTATTTTCTCCCCTCTTGTACAATCAACTTCGCAAACCATTCTCTCCAGAGTCGTTCAAGTCTCCTCTCTCAAGTCAGACTTCCCCCAAGTCCTTCTTTCAGGCAATACTCAGCCTTCTCCTTCTAAAAGCCCAACTCTCTCCAGCCCCTCTGGAAAGGAAGACTGTGGCCCGCTGTGGGGAGCCGAGTGGCTAGCGGAGAACTGTGGCATCCCAGGCCCACCGTCTTCACCAGTAGCAGCCCGCTTTCCCCCAAAGCTCTGACTTCCGGGTAGGCGGGAAAGCCGGGACCAGCGCCCCCTCCCACCCTCACCGATTTGGGTCGTAGCCTCGTGGACCCAGCCCCTGAGAAGGCTGCTGGTTAAGCCTGCGGATATGATGGGTCACAGACTCCCCGTCCGAGGTGTCGGTCTGTTCCTCTCGCCGCTCCCGGCTCCCGCTGCGGCTGTTGGAACTGGAGCGCAGCCCATCTTGAAGCCCTGCGGGGAGGGGCCGGTGACGCCAGTGCTGGCCAGCTCTCAGGGGCCATAAGACCCTCTCCCCCATCGGCCTGACTCCCTTTCATCCCACTCAACTTCTTCCGATGTTCAGTCCTCCCAGACACCCTATTTGGGACCCTCCCGGATGTGCGTGGGGGGAGTCACTCCTTCAGGGAGCAGTGGGGACGGCGCCCCGTGCTAGCTGGAGGGATTCCCCTCCCCCAACTCTCCATCCTTCCCCACCCCTTCCAGATGTAGGGGGGGTGGGGGATCCCCTCCGCGATAGGCCGCGAGGGTTGACGCGGTCCCACGACCCCCTCCCACGATCCCCAGAGGTGCAGCGGGCACACCCCTCCTTCCAGATGTGCGGAAGCCCGAGCCCCGCCCCCTCCTCCCGCTCCCGCACTGACCTCTCTTCCGCTCCCGTTTGTCCTGCAACTGCTTCTTCTTCTGCTTCACGCTGAATGGCTTCTTCCTCGGCATGGCCCGGACCAGTCACCTGGCCCGCCCTCCGCCGAGCTCCCGCCGCCTCAACTGACTGCCCCCCGGGGCAGCCCCCGCCGCAGGGGCCCGGGACCCTAGAGGAGGCGGGGCTAGCAGGTGACGTCAGCGGGCGGGCCCGACAGAATTACCGCCGCGGCGGCGATGGAAGGCGGACGGGGGAGATATAGTCACTTCCCTCCAGGAGCGAGGCGAGAGGATGATGCGGGGTGGGCTACTGGCACGTGAGAGCCAGTGGCACCGAGAGGGCGCCCCGGCGGCGAGGAAGGAGGCGCGCGTGGGAGGACCAGGCTAACTCCGTCACGGACGCTACCAACTCGCGTTCGGAGGAGGGGGGGCGCGTGTCATCACTACCTTGCGCTCCCGGGAGAACCTACCACTCACCTGGAGGGGGCGGCGGAGCGGAGGGCGGGGCCTACTACCTAGGGGAGAGGGGGCGTGGACACGCTGAGGCTATACTACAAAGCCCCGGGCTTGACCTTAGTGGAAAGCCGAGACTGCGTCCAGGTTGCTGGACTACACCGGGGGCACGGTCAGAGGTCTTTAGGGGAGGGCGGCGGTCTGAGAGTCCTGGGTGCCGACCTGTTGGGACCCAAATTCCTTGTGGGAACGATGATAAGGAGCAGGTTTACAGATCATAAGTGCAAAAGCGGGCGAGAAGGGAAACCCAAGCGGGACAAGGACTTTTGGGGGGAGGTCAAAGGGCACGAAGTTGTGCCTGCAGCTGTTACCATAGTAACCGAGGACCGGATGTGGCGATCTTACGGTGCGACAGTCCTCTTCTCAGGCCCTCTGGCCCGAGAGCCTGTTGACTCTGTGACACACTCTGAGGAGCTGGTTGTGGTGTTTTCCAGCGAGGGAAGAAAAGAGTAATTTTTTCAAAGCATTTATAGAAACGCAGCAAAGGGAAGGTGTGAGGTTGCCGCCATGCCTGGCAGAGACGGAGGGAGGCAGTTGGCTCCGGAATGCGGCCGCCGCAGATGTTCTCCGCAACCTTCCGGAAGTGGAATGGCGGGAGCCTCAGCATTGCTGCCCACCGACCCCCCGGAAGCGGAAACAGAATCCCCGCGTGCCCCTTCCTCACTACCCTCCAAATCCCGCTGCAGCCATTGCCGCAGACACGATGCCGAAACGAAAGAAGCAGAATCATCACCAGCCACCGACACAGCAGCAGCCCCCGCTGCCCGAGCGGGAAGAGACTGGAGATGAGGAGGATGGGAGTCCCATCGGTGAGGGGTCTGGGAGGGATGTGCACATGCCTGTCAAGCCCGTCCGGGCAAGGGGCTAGGGGCTAATAAGGTGCGAAGGAGGGGGCTGTAACGGAAGGAGGAAGGGCGCACGCGCTGGGGAGGGATGGAAGTGGGGCTCTCCCAAATGGAGCCTTGAACCAGGAGTTCTCTTACTGGAACCATCAACCTCAATACGGCCCCAGACCTTTCTGGAGAAGGCGGGGGTGGAGAGAATAAAGAGCTCTTTTGCGCAGCCGCAGAACAGTAGGGGAAAGGGGTAGTAGAGATGTTGCAGATTGCGATGACTGGGATGACAGTTTGTATCCAGACTTTGACTGAAAAGGTACAGGTGCAGCTTTCTCTAAACTAGTCCTCTGGCCAGCAGTTAAGGTGAGGGATTGGTTCATGTCTGGAGACACTTAGGTTGTTTTGGATAGCGACGGTACGGTGAAGAAAAAAAGTTGTCAGTATCTTTTCCTGCATTATCCCCTTTGATTGAATATCTACTTTTTGCAAACCCTGAAACAGCTTTGCAGAAAAAAGGGCAGATAGATGGGGTGAGAACTCCCAAGACTGCTGAAAATATACCTGACTTTACTGGTTGAATTAAGAAATAAGTAATACAAGAAAAACACCTAAGAACAGAATCATCAGTCCTTTAATCCATTCTGATGACCATATTTTCATGTCTGCTCTTAGGACCACCCAGCCTTCTGGGCCCTCCCCCCATGGCCAATGGAAAACCTGGCGACCCTAAGTCAGGTGAGGAGGAAGGGGCCCTGATCCTTGTATTAGGTCGTAGAGAAGACAGCAAGGGAGGGGATAAAACCCAGGAAGGACTTAAAAATAAAAGATCAGGGATTCCATCCCTAAATGAATGGAGAGAAGTTGTATATTTGCTGATTTAAAAACTCAATGTTGTAAAAATGTCACTTCTTCCCAAATTGATAAACAGATTTCATGCATTCCAAGTCAGAACACCCATAATGTTTTTGTGGAAATACACATTATTATAGGGAAATGCAAAATATCAAGGCGACTATCAAGACAATCTTGAAGTGGGAGGGCTTACTATGAATATCAAGATTTGTAAGCTGGGCATGGTGGCACACGCCTGTAGTCCCAGTTACTCAGGAGGCTGAGGTGCGAGGATCCTTTGAGCCCAGGAGTTTTTGAGGCCACTCTGGGCAACATAGTGAGATCCTGTCTCTAAATACAAGAAGAAAAAAAGACTTACTATAAAGCTACAATAGTTACAACGATGCAGTTTGGAAACAATGATAGACATAAGTCAATAGGACTTATGTCCCGAAGAGTCCAATAACAGGCCCATACATGTGTGGACACTTCATTTATGATGAAGATGGAACTGAAAAGTTGGTCTTTTCAATAAATGATATTGGATCAATTGGATATTCATGTGAAAAAAATGGAATTTCACCTTGCACTCATAATCATATACAAAGATCTATTTCAAATGGACTGTAGATCTAAGTATAAAAGGTAAGAGAATAATTATTCTAGAAAGTAAATGTATTTTCTAAGAGTAGCTAAGAGTTCTTAAACAGACAAGAAATGCACGTATACACACTAACCATAAAGGAAAGATTGATAAATTGAACTCCGTTAGAAAATATAAATTTGCGGCTGGGTACAGTGGCTCACGCCTGTAATCCCAGCACTTTGGGAGGCCGAGGCGGGCGAATCACGAGGTCAGCAGTTCAAGACCAGCCTGACCAACATGGTGAAACCCCTGTCTCTACTAAAAATACAAAAATTAGCCGGGCATGGTGGTGTGTGCCTGTAATCCCAGCTACTGAGGAGGCTGAGACAGGAGAATCGCTTGAACCTGGAAGGCGGAGGTTGCAGTGAGCTGAGATTGCACCACTGCACTCCAGCCTGGGGGACAGAGTGAGACTGTCTCAAAAAAAAGAAAAAACAAAATACAAACTTGCCAAATAATACCATTAAGAAATTAACAGGAAGCCATACAATAGAAGATATTTGCAATAAATATAACAAATAAAGATCCTGTATCTATAATATATAAAGAACTCTTCCAGACAAGCCATTTGAAAAATTGACAAAAACACAGGACACCTTATTAAAATGGAGATCTAAATGAACTAAAGGTCTAAATGAACAAGTACTCAATATCATTAATTGTCAAGTAAATGCAAGATAAAAATATACCACTTTGAAATTAGAACTCTTGTGTACTGCTGCTGGGATTATAAAATGGTGAAACTACTATAGAAAACAATATGAAGAGGTTCCTCTTAATTAAAAATAGAACTACCAGATGACAAAAAAATTAAAAATAGAATTACCCCAGAACTCCTGCTTCCAGGTATATATCAAAAAAAAAAAAATGGAAAGCAGGGTCTTGAGATATTTGCAGACTCATGTTCATAGCAGCAGTATTCACAATAACAAAGAGGTGGAAGCAACCCACATGTCCACTGATGGAAGGATAAATGTGGCGTGTACATACAATGGAATATTATTCAGCCTTATGAAGGAAGAAAGTGCTGTCACATACTACAACATGGATGAACTTTGAGGACTTTATGTTAAGTAAAGACATAGTGTATTATTCCACTTATCTGAGGTGTCTAAAGTCAAATTCAGGGGCTGGGCATGGTGCTTCACGCCTGTAATCCCAGCACTTTGGGAGGCCAAGGCAGGCAGATCACTTGAGGTCAGGAGTTCGAGAACAGCCTGGCCAATATGGCAAAACCCTGTCTCTACTAAAAATAGAAAAATTAGCTGGGCATGGTGGTGCACACCTGTAATCCCAGCTACTCGGGTAGCTGAGGCATGAGAATTGCTTGAACCTGGGAGGCAGAGGTTGCAGTGAGTCGAGATCACGCCACTGCACTCCAGCCTGGATGACAGAGCAAGATTGTCAAAACAAAAAATAAAAATAAAGTCAACTTCAAAGAAACAGTAGAATGATGGTTACCAGAGGCTGGGGGAAGGAAGCTGGAGGAAGGGGAGTTTTGTTTAATGGGTACAGAGTTTCAGTTTTGCAAGATAAAAAACTTTTGGAGGTCGGGCATGGTGGCTCGTGCCTGTAATCCCAGCACTTTGGGAGGCCAAGTCGGGCGGATCATGAGATCAGGAATTCAAGACCAGCCTGGCCAATATGGTAAAACTCCATCTCTACTAAAAATACAAAAATTAGCCAGGCGTGGTGGTGGGCGCCTGTAATCCCAGCTACTTGGGAGGCTGAGGCAGGAGAATCACTTGAACCCAGGAGGCAGAGGTTGCAGTGAGCCAAGATCGCGCCACTGCACTCCAGCCTGGGCGACAGAGCGAGACTCCATCTCAAAAAACAAACAAAAACTTGGAGATCTGTTTCACATCAATATGAATATATGTAACACTACTGAACTGTACACTTAAAAATAGTTAAGATGGTAATTTTTATGTGTTTTTTACCACAATAAAAACCGAACAAAACAAGGCATGATGATTCATGCCTGTAATCCCAGCACTTTAGGAGACCAAGGTGGGAGGATCACTTGAGCCCAAGAGTTCAAGACCAGCCTGGGCAGTGTGGCAAGACCCAATCTCTCATTAAATAAATAATAATAACCAAACAAAAAAATAACCACCACTTTTCACACTCACCATGGCAAAATTTAAAAACCTAACAATTCCAAGTGTTGTCAAGGCTATAGGACAACTGCTGGTGAGAGTGCAAATTGGTATAACCACTGTGAAAAAAAAGTTTGGCATTATGTATGAAACTTGAGCATAACATATACTTTATAAGCCAGTAATACCTCTACTACGTATATATTCAACAGAAATGCATACGTATGTGTAACAACATGTATAAAAATGTTTATAGTGGCATTTCTCGTTATAGCCCCAAACTGGATACCACCCACATGTCCATCATCAGTAGAATGGATAAATAAATTGTTGTGTATGCATGCAATGGGACTACACTGCAACGAAAATGAATGAACTGCTGCTACAGGCAACCTGGATGAATCTCACAAACATGATGTTGAGCGAAAGGAGCCAGACATAAAAGAATGCAGACTGTATGATTCCATTTTTGTGAAGTTCAAAAACAGGCAAAAACTAACCTATGGTGTCAGGATAGTGGTTACCTTTGGGGAGGAGGGTGGGTAATGGGAAAAGGGGCACAAGGGGAGGATCTTTTGAGGTGCTAATAAGGCTTTATCTCTTCACCTGGTGGTGGAAACTCAAGTGTGTCTACTTTGTGAGAACTGGGTTGTGCACTTAAAACTGGTGTGTCTTTATGTATGCTGTTCTTCAATAAAAAAAATTTTTTTAATCACGGTTTATCAGGATTCAGCTGCCCATTAGACACCTTTCTGTGTCTCTCTCTCTCTCTCTCTCCAGCTCTTCACAGAGGTCCTCCAGGATCAAGGGGACCACTGATTCCACCACTGCTGAGTCTCCCACCTCCTCCTTGGGGTAGAGGCCCAATTCGGAGAGGGCTTGGCCCCAGGTCTAGCCCATATGGTCGTGGTTGGTGGGGAGTCAATGCAGAACCTCCTTTTCCGGGGCCAGGCCATGGGGGTCCCACCAGGGGAAGCTTTCACAAGGAACAGAGAAACCCTCGAAGGCTCAAAAGCTGGTCTCTTATCAAGAATACCTGCCCGCCCAAGGATGACCCCCAGGTTATGGAAGGTGAGGTCCATTTTGTTATGCCCATTACTCCCAGAGTGACCTAATTTTCAGAAGATCATTCACAATCTTCTCTGGGCTTTCCTTTTTGCTTTTGAAGCAGAAGTAGACCTCAATGTTATTTCTCCCAGGAGAAAGACTACCATTCCAAAATACCTGGAAATGGTAGGGGGTAGAAAATCAGTTCTCCTTCTGTCTCTGCGTTTCATTGTATTTGTTTTCTTTGTTGCTCAAATTTTTAACTGTTCCATTTTCACTTGTTCACAGACAAATCCGACCGCCCTGTCTGCCGACATTTTGCCAAAAAGGGCCACTGTCGATATGAGGACCTCTGTGCCTTCTACCATCCAGGCGTCAATGGACCTCCTCTGTGAGACTGTGCCTTCCCATCCAGGCTGGAAGGAGCTCTCTGTGACCTAGCGGCCATTTATTTCTCTGTAGCCCTATGATGGCTACTGTGAGGCTCTTCTAACACCCTCAGTCAGTGACACACCCATCCCATCCACCACTTCCCCCGTGTGGGGTCCAGAGTGGTGTTGCATCACTGGTGCGCGGCATACGCGCTTTCTTCTGATCCAGCCTGTAGAGACTCGCCTTTGGGACCCATCTTTGCTTCCTTTCAGTTGCCTCCTGGATCTTCTTTCCCGTCATCAAATGACTGCTGAACAGGAAACCTCTTTGGTGCTGTTTCTTGTGCATCTGTCCACCTGTTCCCCAGTATTGCCCTCAATTCCTGAGAGCCCTGGAGCGGTTTCCTACCATTCCCTTCTTTTAGCTGCTTGTTTTAAGTCCTTTTTATGTGACATTCCCTACCCCCAATGTTGTCAGCTGCTTGTGAAACTCAGCCAGGTTGTCTAACCTGGGGTCAAGTTTGGGTGACTGGTGCAGAGTTACTTCCTAAAAGGCCACTCTCCCTGCCTTTGGATTTCATAGTTTCTCTGTCAGTAGCATGATCCCCACCGCTATGGTCTATCTATGATCACCGTGCTTTGTGAAACTGTGCATCCCCTTGTAGCCTTTCTCAGTGTCCGTGGCATTTTTGTGACTTCCCAGCACTAGAATAAGTTTTCCTGCCAAAATGAGTGAGGCGCTTGGTGCCCTCTGGACTTTCCCACTTCCCAACATGGGAGAATTGTGAACTTTCCATCAGACTGCCTCCCTGGCCCTCCCCATTCTTCTCCTGTTGGTTATTCTGAGTCTGACACAGACCCATGACATGTCTTATAAAGCCTCCAATGGCTTTATCCTACCTAGATCCCTTCCAGCCCATTTTAATTAGACTATGTCATTGTGAGGCCACCAGTCCATTCATTTGAATTCTGTGAATCTCCACCTTGCCTATCTTTGGGTAGAAGCTGGACAGTACTGTTGCCCTCTTCCAATCCTCTTCCCCTACATCCCTGGCACTGGTTGTTTTCTGTGAAAACAGCAGTGAACAGGTTCAGTTTTGAACTGGCCCTGAGGAAATGGGTCAGGAGTTGTATTGGCAAGAGGGAGGGGTGAGAGCTGTTGGAGAACTGAGAATGAGGTTTTTTTTTTTTTTTTCTTTTTAACTTTTTTTATATTAGTAATAAATGCAGTGGAAACCAGCATTTTATTTAATCCCTGTGTTCTAGTCATCTCTGGAGTTGCAGATGAAGCTGTTCTCACCTGGTGGAGTCAGCTTATTCTTTAGTTCATACACACTAGTGATGGGGAATGACAAAGCTTAAGGTTCTTCCAGGCTGAAAAAAACCAATGGAGGTTCCATTAGCCTGTAGGCATCAACCAGAACAAGCTGCCTTATGTTCAAGGGCAAAGTTTTGTAAGAAAAAGGAAAGGCCAGGTGTCCGTGGAGTTATTTTTAAATATTTTACTTTGCAGAGTTTGTGTTTATGGAGTGGTAATGATGAAGGAGTCTTTCAGCAGCAATTTGCAGAATGCCTGTGGGCCAGGCAATATACCAAGCACTAGAGATAACTGACAGCCAAAGCCAATGGATTTAAAATGTACAGGGAAGACAGGTTTCTCATAATCACAAATAGCATGTAAAGTTAAACCTGTCAAAAGTGCTGGGAAGAAGACAGGGAAGAAAAGAGGGTGAAAGAGAGTTGTGTAATAAAGGGAGTCAGGGTAGGAGATGCAACTGAGACAAGCTCCAAAGGATAAACAGGAGGTGGGGTGGGAGAGGGAAGTCAAGGCAAAGGTCTTCGCTAAAAGACCTAGGGGAAGAGGAGCTAAGAAACCTAGGGACAGTGGGAGATGATGCAGAAGAAAGAGGAGTTAGACCACTCAGGGCCTTGGAAAACATGAAGATTTGGCTCTTTTCTTAGAACAGAAGCCTTTGAAGAATTTTAGACAGGAGTATCATGGCTTAGGCTGGCTTTTCAAAAAAAATCAGCTTGTATGGAGAGGGCCCACCTTGGACCTGGAAGTTAATTAGAAGGCTACTGGCTACTTCAGTAGTACAAGTGAGCCATGATGGTGACATAGACTTGGGTAGTAGAGTTGGAGAAAAGTAGACATTTGAAAATTACAGGTCAAAATAAAAGTATCAGATTTCTCCAGGTAGTTCTGGCTTATGTAACTGCCATTTAAAAAGAAGTCTTAAGATAGAAGTTTATGGCTGGGCGCGGTGGCTCACGCCTGTAATCCCAGCACTTTGGGAGGCCAAGGTGGGTGGATCACGAGGTCAGGAGATCAAGACCATCCTGGCTAACATGGTGAAACCCCATCTCTACTAAAAATAGAAAAAAAATTAGCCAGGCGTGGTGGCCGGCGTCTGTAGTCCCAGCTACTCGGGAGGCTGACGCAGGAGAATGGCGTGAACCCAGGAGGCGGAGCTTGCAGTGAGCCGAGATCGCACCACTGCACTCCAGCATGGGCGACAGCGCAAGACTCCATCTCAAAAATAAATAAATAAAAAATAAAAATAAAAATAAATAATTTTTAAAAAGATAGAAGTTTATTTCTCTCACAGGTCAAGAGGTGGACAATCAACAATCCAAGATGTGTGACAATGCCACCACTACAAGGTCCCTGAGTATTCAGAACCTCAACCCCCAACTTTCAGATTCACAACCACAAGCTTCTATTCACTGTCCAAAGTGAAGCTCTGGCTTCCTCATCCATGTTCAAAGCCTCAGGATGGAGGAAGGGCTGAGAACACCAGTTGTCTGGGAAGAAACTTCTTTTTTTTTTTTTTTTTTTTTTTGAGACGGAGTCTCAGCTCTGTCGCCCAGGCTGGAGTGCAGTGGCATGATCTTGGCTCACTGCAAGCTCCGCCTCCCAGGTTCACGCCATTCTCCTGCCTCAGCCTCCCGAGTAGCTGGGACTACAGGCGCCCACCACCATGCCCAGCTAATTTTTTGTGTTTTTAGTAGAGATGGGGTTTCACCGTGTTAGCCAGGATGGTCTCGATCTCCTGACCTGGTGATCTGCTTGCCTCGGCCTCCCAAAGTGCTGGGATTACAGGTGTGAGCCACCACGCCCAGCCGGAAGAAACTTCTTAAAAGTTAACTTATAACTCCTCAACTTATGGGCAAGCATTTAAGTTGAGTTTATTAATTCTACAGAGGTTATCTCCCTAAAAGGGGGCTAGGAATGACAGGATTAGGGTTTGTGTTTGGTGATTTCAAAAGAAACAGGAAATTGTTCTGGCTTAGATGCTGTCAGAAAGATGACTACTTCTTAATCTTATCTAGAAGGAGGGAGAAATGAAATATGGCTAAAGCTGTAAGGTAAAAAAGCCAACACATTTTAGCTGACAGGGAACTGTGTGGTGTTTTTGTGCTTAGACAAGATTTTGAAGTTTGTCTAATTTCATCACAAACACAGGATGACCTTGTTTGACACTGATTTTCTGTGAGATAGTTTATGTTCAACAAGAGTACCATGGCCTAACTATGGGCAACAGGCCAGCTCCCAGCAACACCAAAGCCTGCCAGTTATTGTCAGGCCAGTTCCCAATTCTCAGGGACTGTTTTTCTTAAAAGTATGCAAACATATAATTACAGGTTGAGATGAATCATATGAAGGAAATAAATGGGGTACTGAATAGAAACAGTAGTTGGGGAGCTACTCAAGACATGGTGGCCGGGCGCGGTAGGTCACGCCTGTAATCCCAGTACTCTGGGAGGCTGAGGCGGGTGGATCGCCTGAGGTCAGGAATTCGAGACCAGCCTGGCCAACATGGTGAAACCCTGTCTCTACTAAAATAACAACAACTAGCGAGGCGTGGTGGTGGGCATTTATAAATAATCCCAGCTACTTGGGAGGCTGAGGCAGGAGAATGGCTTGAACCCAGGAAGCAGAGGTTGCAGTTAGCCGAGATTGCACCATTGTACTCCACCCTGGGCAACAGAGCGAGACTCCATATCCAAAAAAAAAAAAGACATGGTGGCTAGGATAGACCTCTCTGAGGAATCTGTAGATGAAGGGCCCAGAACTTAGCCTTGAGGAACTCTGACATTGAATTGCTAAGTGAAGAAGGACAAGGATAAGCCAGACAAGGAGACTAAGGAGGGATGACGGAGAGGCAGGGAGAGATCTCAGAGTGTGGCGTCACCTGGCTGCTTGCTCAGTGCCAGGTACCCTGCTAAGCTCTTTATAGACATTGTCTTTGTCTTATTTAAGCTTCACATACTTTTTTGGGGGGGGAGAGGGGGTGGTTCAAGCGATTCTCCTGCCTCAGCCTCCCGAGTAGCTGGAATTACAGGTGCCCACCACCACACCCGGCTAATTTTTTGTATTTTAGTAGAGATGGGGTTTCACCATGTTGGCCAGGCCGGTCTCGAACTCCTGACCTCAGGTGATCTACCTGCCTCGGCCTCCCAAAGTGCTGGGATTATAGGCATGAGCCACCGCACCTGGCCAAGCTTTGCATACTTTCAGTGAACACTTTAGTGCCTACTGTAGGGCAAGCACTGTTTTAGGAGCTGGAGCTACATCAATAAAAAGGACAAAATCCCTGCCCATATGGAGCTTACATTGCTTTGAGGATGATAGACAATATACATAGGTAATATAATTTTAAGTAATAGTAAATGCTTCAAATGAAAATAAAGTGAAAAAAGAGGTTAGAGAGTGACAGGTGGAAGAGAACAGGTTGATACAAAGAGAGAGCTGCTTTGAGGAGGTAACACATAGAGAGAAAATTAAACGAGGGAACAAACCATATGAACACACAGAGAAAGTGCGTTCCAGGCACAGGGAACAGCAAAGGCAAAGGCCTTGATGCAGGAATGACTCTGGGGTGTTTGAAGTAAAAATAGAAGGCCAGGCCAGGCGTGGTGGTTCATGCCTGCAGTCCCAGCACTCTCAGAGGCTGAGGCAGGAGCACTGCTTGAGCTCAGAAGTTTGAGACCAGCCTGGGCAACATGGTGAGACCCTGTGTCTGCAAAAATGTTTAAAAAGTACCCAGGCCTGGTGGCGTGTGCCTGTAGTCCTAGCTAGTTGGAGGCTGAGGTGGGAGGATCCTTTGAGGTTGCAGTGAGCTATGATTATACCACTACACTCCAGCTTGAATGACAGACCAAGATCCTGGTTCAAAAAAAAAAAAAAAAGCCCAGTGTGGCTAGACTGTGGGAGATGGGATCAAGATGTTTAACAGAGGGCATATTGTACAGAGCCCTATAAACTATGGTAAAGCATTTGGATTTTATTCTGGATTTTATACTTTTTTAAATATTTTTATACTTTGAACAAATGGATTTACTTTTTTTTTTTTTCTTTTTGAGACGGAGTCTTGCTCCATCACCCAGGTTGGAGTGCAGTGGCATGATCTCAGCTCACTGCAACCTCCACCTCCCGGGTTCAAGTGATTCTCCTGCCTCAGCCTCCCAAGTAGCTGGGACTACAGGCGCCCACCACCACGCCTGGCTAATTTTTGTATTTTTAGTAGACACAGGGTTTCGCCATGTTGGCCAGCCTGGTCTTGAACTCCTGACCTTTTGATCCGCCCGCCTCAGCCTCCCAAAGTGCTGGGATTACAGGCGTGAGCCACCGCGATTGGCCCATGGATTTACATTTTAAAACCACCTCTGACTGTAGGTGTGAAGGATAGACTAGAGAATGAGAATGACAGCAGGCAGACCAGTTAGGAGGCCAGCGCAGTGCAGTGGTCCAGGGAGAAGAGACGATGGCTTGGTCAGGGTAGAGGTGGAGAGAAGTGGTTAAATTTGGGTTATGTTTTCGTCTCAGTTGATGGCAATTACATCTTTCTAGTTAACTCAGGCCAGAAATATTGGAGTCATCCTTAATTCTATTTGTCAAACATGACCTCCAATCCATTAACAAAACTTGTTGGCTCTTTTCCAAAATACATTCAGAAACCAGCCCTTTTCACACCTCCACTGCTGTCACCCTAGTCTGAGTCACCATCACCTCCTAATAGATCTCCCTGCTTCTGTCATTTCTGCCCATTCTTTGCTGCCTGCCCCCTCCCACCTCCCGCCCAGGTTGTTCTCAGCACAGCCTCCAGAGTCATCCTTTTTATTTAACAATTTAAAAAATGTTATAGGCCAGGCATGGTGGCTCACGCCTCTAATCCCAGCACTTTGGGAGGCCGAGGCAGGCGGATCACGAGGTCAGGAGTCCGAGACCAGCCTGACCAACATGGTGAAACCCCGTCTCTACTAAAAATACAAAAATGAGCCAGGCATGGTGACGCACGCTTGTAATCCCAGCTACTCAGGAGACTGAGGCAGGAGAATTGCTTGAACCCAGGAGGCAGAGGTTGCAGGGAGCCGAGATCACGCTACTGCACTCCAGCCTGGGCAACAGAGCAAGACTCTGTCTCAAAAAAATAAAATAAAATAAAAATTAAAAAATTGTATTATATACGGAGACAAGGGGTCTCGCTATGTTGCCTGGGTTGGTCACAAACCCCTGGGCTCAGGCAATTCTCCTGCCTCAGCCTCCCAAAGTACTGGCATTACAGGTGTGAGCCACTGCACCTGGCCAGGTCATCCTTTTATTTATTTTATTTTATTTTTTTTTTTTTGAGACGGAGTCTCGCTCTGTCGCCCAACCTGGAGTGCAGTGGCGGGATCTCGGCTCACTGCAAGCTCTGCCTCCTGGGTTCATGCCATTCTCCTACCTCAGCCTCCCCAGTAGCTGGGACTACAGGCGCCCGCCACCTCGCCCAGCTAACTTTTTTGTATTTTTAGTAGAGATGGGGTTTCACCATGTTAGCCAGGATGGTCTCAATCTCCTGACCTCGTGATCCACCCATCTAGGACTTCCAAAGTGCTGGCATTACAGGCATGAGCCACCGCGCCCCAGCCCAGGTCATCCTTTTAAAATGTAGGTTGGATCACATCACTCTGCTCAGAACTCTGCAGTGACTTCCATTTAAATCAACAGAAGAAGCCAAAATCCTTAAGATAATTTAAAAGACCTTTCCCAATCCAGACCCTGCTTTACTTCTCTTTTCACCTTTCCCACAACTCTGGCTCACTCGTGCCACTCCAGCCCCTCTTGCCTCCTTCCTGTTTGTTCCCCATGTATGTCCGAACACTCCTGTCACAGGGCTTTACTCCAGCTGTTTCTTATGCTAGAAAGGCCCTTCTCCTGGAAATCCATGTGGCCAAAACTAATCTTCTTTAATGATTTGCTTGAATTTCACTTTACTGAGGCCTCATTTAAGACTAAAATCTGTCCTCTTGATACTTTTAAACTTGATCCATATTTTCTTTTATCTATAGGATCATCTCCCCTGCTGGAAACCTAATCAGAGATCTTTATTTTATTCAGTAGTATCCCAAGAGCGTAGAAGAGTGCCTGGCACATACTATACACTCAATAAATATATTTGTTGAACAGATGAATGAAAAAATGAGGCAGACTTAGCTGGCTGATGGATTGATTAGGGGAGGAGGAATGGAGAAAGAGGATGATGACCTTTCAGTTTTGGCCCAAATAACTGAATGACCTGTGGTGCAATTTCTTGATGGGGAAGCCTGGAAGAGACAGGCTTTAGGAGTAAGAACAAGAGCTCCATTTTGTACGTATGAGAGAGATTTATTAAAGATCTCAGAGAAGATGTCCCATAAGCAGTTGAATTCATGAGCCTGGAGCTCGGGGCAGAAGTTGGGGGCCAGCAAGAGAAGTTTGGGAATCTTCATTGGTTATAGATGGTATTTAAAGTCAGGAGGTGATAGGTGATAAGTCTAGATTAAGGAGAGTGTCAAAGATTTAGCCCTGAGGCACTTCAACATTTAGACTTCAGGAGAAGCCCATTAGATGCAAAGGAAACCTATAGAGAGTAGTGTCCCTGAAGAAAACAAAGGAGGGAGGGAGCGACCAAGTCTATCAAACATTGATGGGAGAGTGAGTAGGATGGCCCCAGATCTGTTGACTTTGGCAAGTGTGAATTCAGACAATGGTGGCAACAAAAGCATGATTGTAGTGGTTTGAGAGCTGACAGAACTACAGGAGCACCTTGCTCAAGCTCCCATATTAAGTGGTAGAGTTAGAAGTGAACCAAAGTCTTGATTGTGGTGATAGTTTACTGGGTTTATGCAGGTCAAAACTTATTTAAGTGATACTTTGCAGTTTATTTTGGGTGCCATTTTATTTTGTGTACAGTTTATTGTATGTCAATTATATCTCAGTAAAGCTGTTACCAAAAAAAATAAATGAACCGAAGCTCCACTGCACCGTGACTTCTGCATGTTGGGCTCCAGTTCCCTGTTTACAATTGTACACTTCGGGATTTTGTGACACATTTCAACACTGGACCGATCAGACCTCTCCCTTAGCCATTGGTCTGCACTGTCTTTTCTGCCCATGACCCAGTCAGTCTCGCGCCCCATGACCCTCTCCTAAAACACGCGCAGTCTCCTCTCTCTTCCCCTTCCTCTCGTGTCTTCCTTGCCTACCAGCCTCACCTGATGGGCTCGTGTTCTCTCCGTCCCCGATCCACTCGGGCTCCGGCAGCTGCTGCTTGGGCGCCTTCGGCATCGCGGTGGCAGAACTAGAAACGAGTTACAGATAGAAACTAGAATATGCTTTTTAAAAAAACAAAAAACAAAACAAACAAAAAAACAGTATGCCTCAACTCCTTCATACTAGTAGGAAATTATTATGTTCATTCCTTGAGTCTCGCGGCGTCGGGAGGTCACGGCGTCAGGCTTCCCAGACAGTCGTAAACGCCATGTGTTTACGCGACTGGAGCAAGCGGACGCCGGCCCCGCTCCGTCATTGCAGGCCACGCCTCCACTGAACCAGGGCCACGCCCCCGAGATGACGGCGAAGCTCGCACGTGCGCAGCCCGGGGGCGGGGTTGGCCGCGCCAGCTTGGAGAGCCAGCCCCATCGGGGTTCCCCGCCGCCGGAAGCGGAAATAGCACCGGGCGCCGCCACAGTAGCTGTAACTGCCACCGCGATGCCGAAGGCGCCCAAGCAGCAGCCGCCGGAGCCCGAGTGGATCGGGGACGGAGAGAGCACGAGCCCATCAGGTGAGGCTGGTAGGCAAGGAAGAAACGAGCAGAGGGGGAAGAGAGAGGAGACTGCGCGTGTTTTAAGAGAGGGTCATGGGGCACGAGACTGACCGGGCCCCTGCGGGAGTTACTGCGCATGCGTGCCGTGGGCCCGGGAGGAGTTTGCCGGGGAGGAGTGGGTTTGGAATCGGGGTTAAAGGAAAGAGATCCAGATGTCGCACGTGACCTAAGTGAGACTGGGCGAGATAAAAGAAAGAGCATATGGCACCGAGGGAGAGATGGGGAGAAATGGGAAAACCTTGCTTAAAAAATTTGGACATCCGCCCCACCATACACTGTATTCCACCAGGAATATATGAGCCCTGCCTCGACCTCCCCTTCCCCCTGCGCGCGCATACACACACCTTGGGAGCCTGTGATCCCCCTTGTTTCTCAAGAGAGGGTGACTCCTTCATGGTTTCTTTCTTAAGACACCCCTCTCACTCAACTGGAGCAAGAGTGTAGATTTTTGATGTTGGAATGAGGGTTAAGGTTTACTTAAAAAGCAGCGAAAGTTTGTTAAGCGCTTGTTTTTAATTAAGCACTCTATATACTGTGCTTTGAGAGGGGAAGGAAAAAAACATGAAGATATCCTCCCAGGGTTGAAGTCAGTTTTAAGGGGGACATAAATGGACACAACTAACCCCAGTAGGTACACAGTAACTAATTTTAAAAGCACTTATTGGATGCCTACTGTATACCAGGTACTGTGTGGAGGAAGTGGGAATGTAGAGATAAAAGATAAGACTTTCCCTCAAGGGACAACCCAGTATGGTGAAGGGTCAGAGCATTAACCAGACAGACAGTGGTTGTCAGAGTATGATGAAGGTGCTTAAGAATGTTATGGGACTGTAGAAGAGAGGAGGAGCATCTACTCAGACAGGTAAGGGAGTGTCAGCAAAGCCTCCCAAGAATATGTAATAGCTGAGTATTTTTTTTTGAGGCACATTGTAGCTCCATCACCCAGGCTGGAGTGCAGTGGCATGAACATGGCTCACTGCAGCCTCCACCTCCTGGGTTTAAAGGATCTTCCTGCCTCAGTCTCCCAAGTAGTTGAGACTACTGGCATGCACCACCACACCTTATTTTTAAAATTTTTTGTAGACACAAGATCTGGCTATGTTGCCTAGGCTGGTCTCAAACTCCTGGGCTCAAGTAATTCTCCTGCCTCAGCCTCCAAAAGTGCTGGGATTACAGGCGTGAGCCACTACATCTGCTCCCCAGAGTTTATTCTTGAAAGATCATCGTGAATTAGCAAGGGGAAGCGCATTCCAAGCCAAGGAAGTTTGTGGAAGGTAGAGATGTAGGCAAGCCTGACTGGTCCCACTAGAGCCTGGTGACTAGTGTGATGAAGTCAGAAAGATGCTCAGGAGACAGATAATGAAAGGCTTTAGATGCCATTCCGAGGAGTTTAATCCTAAAGACATTAAGAAGGAAGGCCCATTGAAGTGCATAAGGAATGATTATGAACAGTTCACCTGTAGCACTGAGCAATGGAGAATGAATGGCCTTGAACTGGTCAAGATGGAGGCGGGGAGACCATTTAGGGGGCTCTGGCCATGATCTAGGTGAGAAGTGGTAAGGGGATAAGCCAAGGCCTGAAGAATAAAGAGTTACTAAGGAGGCGGCATTGATCGGAACTGAGAACTGATTAAATGAAGGGAGAAGTAAGGTTGACACTTAAGTAACCCAGTGACTAGTAGACTATTAACTGAAAGCAGTAATGGACAGGAGAGTAAGAAGTGGAAAGAGATAAGGTGAACTTCTGAATGCTGAGTTAGGCGTTTCTGAGGATTTCTAAAAGGAAATGGCAAGAAGAGAGTTTGTTTAGTCACTGTGGAGAGACAACTATACTAGGAGTAAAGACACAGGCAAGTAGAGTTGAAGTGCTGGATATGGAAGAGTCCCCTAGAGAGTGTTTGCAGATTGAACCAAAAAGAAGGTTAAAGGTGGGAACCCTAAAGAACTTCAGCAATTGCAGGAAGCAGGTGGGGAAGGAGGCTGAAGAGATGAGACTGAGAAAGGCAAACAGCCAGAGAAACTGGAGGCAAACCAGGAGTGAGCAAGATCCCAGAAATTAAATAATGATAGAAGAGAATAAAAAAGGTGTGGAGGTAGGCAGCATGGAATGCTGCAGAGAAGTCAGGCAAAATAAGGACCAAAAAATACTTTGTGGTTTGAGGAGCTAAGGGTTCAGTGGCAACTTTGGCAGAAGTAGTGTTCATTCGGAGATGATACCAGATTGCAGTATGTTTCAAAGGTATGGGAGAAGAGAAAGTGAAGCTTGTGAATTACGATTTTGAGACCCAATGAGGACAAGAATACGAAACAGTAATGGGGGAGAGGGGTATAAGGGTAAAGAAGGCTTGCTTTCTTGCCTTGAAGGAGCAGCTTAAGCGATATACGAAAGGAGAGAAGACACAGTATATCTCTAGCCACACTTAATCTTTTTCAGTTCCTTGGGGATTATACTTTCTCACAATGAAACTCTTCGGAGGCTTTTCCTGTCCCTATAATGAAGTGGATAAGAGTGATTAAAGTACAAAAGATTTTTTTGGTTTTGGTGGGTTTTTTTTTTTTGTGACGGAGCCTCACTCCAGGCTGGAGTGCAGTGGCGCGATCTCAGCTCACTGCAGCCTCAATCGCAGGCTCAAGCCATCTTCCCTTGTAGCTGGGACTACAGGCACACACCGCCATGCCTGGCTTATTTTTTGTTTGTTTTTGTTTTTTGTTTTCTGTAGAGATGAGGTCTTGCTATGTTGCCCAGGCTAATCTTGAACCTCTGGCCTCAACCAGTCCTCCCACCTTGGTCCCCAAAATGTTGGGATTACAGGCGTGAGCCAGTGTGCCTGGCCACAAAAGAGATTTAAAGGAAGGAGAGATGGTATGGCTGTGTTAGTCCTTGGGGAGAAATTAGTGTCTGGGATGAGTCAGTCATCTGTGTTGATAAGGTGAGCTGATCAGGTTTTTCCTTCTTAGGTACTTCAGTAGATCCTTCCTCCTAATGCCTTTAGGATTAAACTCCTTGGAATAGCATATAAAGCCTTTTATTATTAATCCTGCACAATTTTTCAACTCTCACACTAGTCACCCAATACTGGGCTCAGATTTTTTTTCTTTAACTTTTTTGTTTGTTTTTTGTGGTTTGTTTTTTGGGGAGGAGGAGGGCCCCAAACTTTGAAATGTGTTCTGGATGGAGGATGCAGATTAAGCAAAGACAGACATAAGCGTGCCTGGGACTTCATAAAGGAACAGAAAGAAGCCAGTATCGAGACCAGAGGTGTGGGTAGGGAAACAGAAAAGATAGGGTAGGGCCATTTTAGTCTGTGAAGCCTTTAATTATTGGAATTGTCTCTCGTTAACTCTAGTTTTTTGGAGAAGTAGATGCACCATAAAACTTTCCTGAATAAATGATTACTTTGAAATACATGGAATTCTAGTCTGAGAATATTTTAATGTAGTAGATGGCGGATACCATTGACTTTTTTTCTTTTTTTTTTTTTTTTTTGAGACAGTCTCGCTGTGTCACCCAGGCTGGAGTGCAGTGGCGCGATCTTGGCTCACTGCAACCTCCACCTCCCAGGTACAAGCGATTCTCCTGCCTCAGCTTCCCAAGTAGCTGGGACTACATGCGTGCTCTGCCACGCCCAGCTAATTTTTGTATTTTTAGTAGAGATGGGGTTTCACCATGTTGGCCAAGCTGGTCTCAATCTCCTGACCTTGTGATCCACCCACCTTGGCCTCCCAATGTGCTGAGATTACAGGCCTGAGCCGCCGCACCCGACCAATTTTTTTTTTTTTAATATTAAATACTGAAATGCTTAAGGGTAGAATTAGATAGCAGTGAATGGAAGGGATGTTTTGGAAGAGAAGATAATAAATAGGCCTAAGCCTGAAGGGAAATCATGAGGCTGCCTCCAGTAGGGGAGGGAGTTGGACATGGTCCTCTACCTTCAGGGAAACAAGGATGGAGAGGGGGAGAGCTAGAATCTGTTGAATCTGTTTTGGCTTTACTGGGAACACAGGCTAAACAGTCTCTCAGGTTACTCTCTAGAATGAAAGCACACAGACAGGTAAATATGACACAATGTGATTTGTGCTATAATATTCAAGCAGAACAAGTAAGGCATAGACTGAGGTGTTCATTTGCTTACCAGATAACTCTATTTACATGGCCTATAGGTTTTACAAACAACGTGTCCCCCTGGCCAGGCACAGTGGCTCAGGCCTATAATTCCAACAGTTTGGGAAGCTGAGGCAGGAGAATTGCTTGAGGCCAGAGGTTCAGGATTAGCCTGAGCAACATAGTGAGACCTCCTCTCTAAAAATTATTATTTTTTTAATTAGGCAGGCATGGTGGCGCTTGCCTGTAGTCCTAGCTACTCAGGAGGCTAAAGTGGGAGGATCACCTAAGCCTAGGAATTTAAGGTTACAGTGAGTTATGATCATGCCACTGCATTCCAGCCTGGGTGACAGAGCAAGACCCTGTCTCTTAAAAAAAAAAAAAAAAAAAGGAGGGTGTGTGTGTGTTGTATACATGTGTGTGTATCTACACATATCTCCCAAATTGAATTTATAATATCTTCTTCCTTCCTATAAGACCTTCTCTTCCACTGCCTCCTTAATTAATAAATGGTACCACTTAGCCCAGCTAATTTTGCCAGCTAAAAACACAGGAGTCATCTCTGAGTGCTCTTTTTTTTTTTTTTTTTTTTTTTTTTTTTGAGATAGAGTCTTGCTCTGTCACCCAGGCTGCAGTACAATAGCGTGATCTCAGCTCACTGCAACCTCCGCCTCCTGGGTTCAAGCAATTCTCCTGTCTTAGCCTCCTGAGTAGCTGGGATTACAGGCGCCCGCCACTATGCCTGGCTAATTTTTTGTATTTTTAGTAGAGACTGGGTTTCACCATGTTCACCAGACTAGTCTTGAACTCCTGACCTCAAGTGATCCGCCTGCCTCTGCCTCACAAAGTGCCGGGATTACAGGCATGAGCCACCGCGCCCGGCCGGGTGCTCTTTATTCCCCACCTCTAGCCCCATCCTATGAATTCTTCTTTATGTCCGCTTGTCACCACCACCCAGACTACTCTGACAGCCTCCCCAGTGGATTTCCCACTATGCTTATTCCCTCCGATTCTTGCTGTACTCTGAAGCCAGAGTGAAACTTTAAAGTGTGAAAGTGATCATACCAATAAAGTCCCCATTCCTTAACCTTGCTACAAGGCCCTCACTCCAGCCTTACCTTGCACCATTCTCCCCTCAGTCTGTAAGCTTAGCCATACCAAACCTTTCCCTGTCTCTCAGTGTGTGTGCTTTCTCACAGCTGGGCCTGTGCACAGCACTGGAATTACACCATGTGTCTGACTAACTTCTCATACTCCTCATTACTTCAGTTATTTGCTTAAATGCCATCTTCTTAGAGAGGCCGCCACCAGAGATGAAGCCAGCCTCTCCCCCACCACCAAGTAGGCTTTACCTTTTCTTTTGGAACCTTCAGTACACCTGGAATTACCTATTTAAAAATCTCTCTTCCTATAGCCTGCAAGCTCCAGAGGAGACCACATTTGTCTTGTTCATTGCTATGATCCCCTACGCTAGCACAATATCTGACACATGGTAGCTGTTTAGTAGATACTTAGTGGATGAATGAATAGAGATGGGAATGATTATTTCTGCAGGAGTTGTGAGACAGTACAAATATTTAAGGAGTGATAGTTAAGCTAGAAAAATAATAAAATAGGATAGAGGCTACAGAGATCTTTGCAGGGGGGATCAGACTGCTTTGGAATTTGCAGATAAGCATTCACGATGTCCGCTTAACTTTCTAGACAAAGTGGTGAAGAAAGGGAAGAAGGACAAGAAGATCAAAAAAACGGTGAGAAAATGAGGGTTGAGGATAAGAAATGACTATGGATGTTTCCAAGCTAAATAAATAGCCATGTGAAGGAGGTGGGAGGTCCAAGGGAGGAGAAAAGATCTTGTCAAGAGAGGAGATAGGCAGGGCACGGTGGCTTACACCTGTAATCCCAGCGCTTAGGGAGGCAGAGGTGGGAGGATAGCTTAAGCCCAGGAATTTGAGACCTGCACACTCCATTCTCCACAAAAAGAAAAAAAAGAGAGAGACAGGAGGTAAGGTGAGGGTGGAGTGGAGGGCCAGTGGGCCAATGTGTGGCAGAGCACAGCCTGCTTGGATTGCTCTTGGAAACATGTTTACCTGTAGCTTAACTCCCTTTATAGTTCTTTGAAGAGCTGGCAGTAGAAGATAAACAGGCTGGGGAAGAAGAGAAAGTGCTCAAGGAGAAGGAGCAGCAGCAGCAGCAACAGCAACAGCAGGTACAAGTGCCACAGGGCCCACCAATCCTGGGAGGCATCTGGGTTCCACCAACCCCTTTCCAGCCCATGTTGCTCCATTCAGCTGATGGGGAACCCTCTGTGAGGCAGAAATACAGCAGGGGCCTGGGCTTCATTTTCTCACTGTTCTTTTGCTCTCAGCAGCAAAAAAAAAAGCGAGATACCCGAAAAGGCAGGCGGAAGAAGGATGTGGATGATGATGGAGAAGAGAAAGAGCTCATGGAGCGTCTTAAGAAGCTCTCAGTGCCAACCAGTGATGAGGAGGATGAAGGTAAATGACCTGAGGGGGAATGGGTACCTGGAATCCATGAGTCATGGAGAGTGATACCTCATACCCTGATCTTCAAGTTGGATTCAATTGGGGGGCCAGACATTGTAATTCTTTCCTATCTCATGTTCTCCCCCTGTCATTTCAGTACCCGCCCCAAAACCCCGCGGAGGGAAGAAAACCAAGGTAAGCCATCTGTGTGGTAAACGGAGACTCCAAGGATGCAACCTTGACCATCCTACTGACTTCTGTGGCCCTTTCATTCTCTAGGGTGGTAATGTTTTTGCAGCCCTGATTCAGGATCAGAGTGAGGAAGAGGAGGAGGAAGAAAAACATCCTCCTAAGCCTGCCAAGCCGGAGAAGAATCGGATCAATAAGGTGACAGTGGTGGCTCGATCAGTCACTCTCACTCCATTTAGCACCTTCTGGCCATGGTGGAGTAATTTCCCGCTTTTAAACTAGCTCTTCTCGGTCTGTCTTACTTATACTGTTAAAATCATCTTTTTAGAATACATGCCCAGGCTGGGCACAGTGGGTCACGCCTGTAATCCCAGCACTTTGGGAGGCCGAGGTGGGCGAATCACGAGGTCAAGAGATCGAGACCAGCCTGACCAACATGGCGAAACCTCATCTCTACTAAAAATACAAAAATTAGCCAGGCGTGGTGGCGTGCGCCTGTAATCCCAGCTACTTGGAAGGCTGAGGCAGGAGAATCACTTGAACTTGGGAGGTGGAATTTGCAGTGAGCTGAGATTGAGGCACTGCACTCCAGCCTGGGCAACAGAGCAAGACTCAGTCTCAAAAAAAAAACAACAAAAAAAACCATGCCATTTTTATCACTCAGAAATCTACAGTGATTCTGTTGCTTTAAGCACAGAACCTGAAACAAAGCCCCAGGTCCTTGCTCTTCTACTTGTGACTCTTCTGCGTGTGCATCTTAGTCCATGTCCATTTGAGCTCTTGAGAAAGCCTCCAGTGCTAGTGCCACTCACTCTGGTGGCGCACTTGCCTGACTTATAATCCTTAGCCTTGCTGACGTTCCCTAGTTATCTCTTCGCTATCTAGTCTGAAGCTGGAGGGTAGGGTTTTTCTGGGTCTCATTTTTCGTCAGCAGCACTCAATACAGATGGTCTCCAACTTCTGCTTCGGTGTACGATTTTTCTACTTTATGATGGTGTGAAAGTCATACTCATTTAGGGTACTCCTCAACTCATGATGGGATTATATCCAGATAAACCCATCATAAGTTGGAACTATTTTTTTTTTTTTTTTTTTTTGAGACGGAGTCTCACTCTGTTGCCAGGCTGGAGTGCAGTGGCGTAATCCTGGCTCACTGCAACCTCCGCCTCCCGGGTTCAAGTGATTCTCCTGCCTCAGCTTCCTGAGTAGCTGAGATTACAGGCACGTGCCACCACGCCCAGCTAATTTTTGTGTTTTTAGTAGAGACAGGGTTTCACCATGTTGACCAGGATGGTCTCGATCTCTTGACCTTGTGATCCACCTGCCTTGGCCTCCCAAAGTGCTGGGATTACAGGTGTGAGCCACCACGCCCGGCCAAGAACTATCATTTTTTATTTAAGTTTCTGGTGGGTTTATCGGGATGCAACCTGTCGTAAATGGAGGAGCATGTGTATGGTTAACACAGTAGACTCTCTAGAAATGCTTATTACACAGCAAAGTAGCACAATAATTTGTATGTATGTGTGTAATGTGTATGTGTGTCTCCTCCAGGCCGTATCTGAGGAACAGCAGCCTGCACTCAAGGGCAAAAAGGGAAAGGAAGAGAAGTCAAAAGGGAAGGCTAAGGTGAGAGAGTAACTAGCAGGAGGAGGTATTGGGGCCCAGGAATTAAAACATTTCATCAGGGCTGGGCGCGGTGGCTCACGCCTGTAATCCCAGCACTTTGGGAGGCCGAGGTGGGCGGATCACGAGGTCAGGAGATCGAGACCATCCTGGTAACACGGTAAAACCCCGTCTCTACTAAAAATACAAAAAAAATTAGCCGGGCGTGGTGGCGGGCGCCTGTAGTCCCAGCTACTCGGGAGGCTGAGGCAGGAGAATGGCGTGAACCCGGGAGGTGGAGCTTGCAGTGAGCCGAGATTGCGCCACTGCACTCCAGCCTGGGTGACAGAGCGAGACTCCGTCTCAAAAAAAAAAAAAGAAAAAAAAAAAAAACATTTCATCAGACCTGTCTTTTCCCTATTAGCCTCAAAATAAATTCGCTGCTCTGGACAATGAAGAGGAGGATAAAGAAGAAGAAATTATAAAGGAAAAGGAGCCTCCCAAACAAGGGAAGGAGAAGGCCAAGAAGGCAGAGCAGGTGTGTATTTGGTGTTGGGGCAAGGTGGAATGAGGGACTAGGGCTTCCAGGGTCCTTATGGGAGAGTTAGAATCTGGGGATATAGTTATTATCCCAGCAAACCTTTATTCTTTTCTTTTTTTGGGGGAGTAGTTGGGGTGGTGGTTCGTTTGTTTTTGTTTTTGTTTTTGTTTACACAGGATCTTACTCTGTCACTCAGGCTGGAGTGCAGTGGTGTGAACACGGCTCACTGAAGCCTCAACCTCCTGGGCTCAACAGATTCTCCTGCCTCAGCCTACTGAGTAGCTGGGACTACAAGTGTGCACCACTACCCCTGGCTAATTTTTTTATTTTTAGTATAGAGATGAGGTCTCACTATGTTGCTCAGGCTGGTCTTGAATTTCTGGGCTCAAGCAGTCCTCCTGCCTCAGCCTCCCAAAATGCTGGGTTTACAGGTGTGAGCCAGCATGCCAGCCAGCAAACTTTTTCTATAAAGGGCCATATAGTAAATGTTTTTGGCTTTGCAGGCCACATACAATCTCTATCACATATTCTTTTTTTTTTTTAACAACTCTTTGAAAATACAAAAATTATTTTTATAAAGTTCAGGAGCTATATAAAAATAAATGTCAGGTCAGCCTTGGCCCATGGGCTGTAGTTTGCAACACCTAATCCAGTGAAGAAAGGGCCTGGAATTTATCTCAGATGATCTGGGTCCTGGCTCTGCCTTCACTGGCTGTGTGACCTTGAATACATCTTCCCATCCCCTTGGGTCTCACTTGTCTCCTTTGTGTGATAGAAGGAGGAGTCCGGAGATCTCTAGGGTCCCTATGCGTCTGGCACTTCCTAATTCTGTGATTCTGCTGGATTCCTCTGACTGTGCACTAGAGCTTCCTGATCTTTTTTTTTTTTTTTTTTTTTTTGAGATGGAGTCTCACTCCGTTGCCCAGGCTGGAGTGCGGTGGCGCAATCTCAGCTCACTGCAACCTCTGCCTCCCGGGTTCAAGCAATTCTTCTGCCTCAGTCTCCCGAGTAGCTGGGACTACAGGCACGTGCCACCATGACCGGCTGATTTTTTGTGTTTTTAGTAGAGACAGGATTTCACCATGTTAGCCAGGATGGTCTTGATCTCCTGACCTTGTGATCTGTCCATCTTGGCCTCCCAAAGTGCTGGGATTACAGACATGAGCCACCGTGCCCGGACGGCTACCTGATCTTTTCTTTGCATGTTAACAAGGAAACCACAGAAACTCATTTTATACAAATGAAACTCTTGAAATCCATTTACTCCACCTTCAGTTACATTGTATTGGGAGTTACATTTATAGGGACATAACGCGTTGTCACATTTCATAAATACACATTCATACCATTTGTCTTGTACCATTCCTGGTAGCAGAAATTAATAAAGGACCTCAGGGAGACCAGGGGCTGGGTATGAGAATGAGAGAGGATCCCAAGATATTTTAGGACTCTGAGTAGTGAAGGAAAGAGCTGGGGCAGGGACAGGGGGCAGATGATGTGAAATCTGAGTTCTAGAAGGAGTCCCTAGTTTTTTTTTGTTGTTTTTTTTTTTGAGACGGAGTCTTGCTTTGTCACCCAGGCTGGAGTGCAGTGGCACGATCTCGGCTCACTGCAAGCTCCTCCTCCCAGGTTCACACCATTCTCCTGCCTCAGCCTCCCGAGTAGCTGGGACTACAGGCGCCCGCCACCACGTCCGGCTAATTTTTTGTATTTTTAGTAGAGATGGGGTTTCACCATGTTAGCCAGGATGGTCTTGATCTCCTGACCTTGGGATCTGCCCGCTTTGGCTTCCCAAAGTGCTGGGATTACAGGCGTGAGCCACCGCGCCCAGCCAGGAGTCCCTAGTTTTGACCATCCCCGGGTTCTCACAGGGTTCAGAGGAAGAAGGAGAAGGGGAAGAAGAGGAGGAGGAAGGAGGAGAGTCTAAGGCAGATGATCCCTATGCTCATCTTAGCAAAAAGGAGAAGAAAAAGCTGAAAAAACAGGTAAGACCTTGGTTCTTAGCGGTCAAAAGTAGGGGATTTTTAAATACTTCAACTAGGGGACATGCGATTGGGGACACGAAGGAAAGGTTTGGGGGCTACTCCAAGTAAAACAATCGGAGTAAGAAAATAATTGTGTTCTGTGAACCTTATCTCAATGTCTGATGACATGGGCTGTTTCACTTTGGGGTTTTTTGTTTATTTTTTGAGACAGGGTCTCACACTGTTACTCAGGCTGGAGTGCAATGACGTGATCTCTGTTCACTGCAGCCTCAACCTACCAGGCTCAAGTGATCCTCCCACCTCAGCCTCCCGAATAGCTGAGACTATGGGTGGCACCACCATGCCTGGCTAATTTTTGTATTTTTTGTAGAGACAGTATTTTAGCATGTTGGCCAGGCTGGTCTCAAACTCCTGAGCTCAAGAGATCCACCTACCTCAGCCTCCCAGAGTGCTGGGATTACAGGCGTGAGCCAGCATGCCCAGCCAGCATGGGCTGTTTCATGGTGATGGGAAACTGGTAGACTGTGGCTTCAAATGTAGTTTTTCCTACCTTCTCAGATGGAGTATGAGCGCCAAGTGGCTTCATTAAAAGCAGCCAATGCAGCTGAAAATGACTTCTCCGTGTCCCAGGCGGAGATGTCCTCCCGCCAAGCCATGTTAGAAAATGCATCTGACATCAAGGTAAGGTCTCAAGGGGCCCCTTCCAGTCCACTTACCTAGGGAAGAGCCAGTTCTCTCATCTTCCCTGAGTGGCTGTGGTGTGTGAATGGGTTAGTTCAGTGGGAAGAAAGATTGGAGGCATTTTCCACACCTTAGGTTCTGCCAACTTGAGCAAGAAGATAGAAAAACCAGTAGAAGTGGGGTCCACCCTTGGCAGAAAATAGTGTGGGACAGACTAGACTAGCTGAGGATGCATGGGGCTCCCATTACAGGCAGCGAACAGGGCGGGGACCGGCTGTGGGGAGAGGAAGGGGATTATGCTGGAGGTAGCGGTTTGTCAGAGGCTTCCCTGCAGGGAGAAAGTGGCCGCTCCTGTCCCAAAGGGAGAATTTTCATGTGATCATCCCTTCCCTCTGCCACCTCTTTCCTGATGGCTGCAGCTGGAGAAGTTCAGCATCTCCGCTCATGGCAAGGAGCTGTTCGTCAATGCAGACCTGTACATTGTAGCCGGCCGCCGCTACGGGCTGGTAGGACCCAATGGGTGAGAAGAGGAGGGAGCTGGAGGCAAAAAAGGGCCTGGAGGGAAAAGAAGAGATTTCTCAGTGGTGGCCAGGTCCTAATAGCTTTTATTCCCCAGCAAGGGCAAGACCACACTCCTCAAGCACATTGCCAACCGAGCCCTGAGCATCCC
Organism: Homo sapiens; assembly: GCF_000001405.40. Classification (NCBI taxonomy): domain Eukaryota; kingdom Metazoa; phylum Chordata; class Mammalia; order Primates; family Hominidae; genus Homo; species Homo sapiens. The sequence continues at coordinate 30,583,859 of NC_000006.12, forward strand.
TCCCAACATTGATGTGTTGCTGTGTGAGCAGGGTGAGACCACTGGGGAGAAAAGGGGCTTGGTGGGGTGGGCAGTTGGGTAGAAAAGCCAGCCAGCCAAGAATAGAAGAAATTGTGGCTATGGAGTTGGAAGGGATGTGGAGGGAGACTGGAGACCGGGAAAGGGATGCTAAGGAAAGGAGGGGAGGGTCAATGAGGAACTTGAGAGTGTTTTATTTGGAACAAGTACAAAGAGCTGGGCAGGGTCAGGCAAAACAGAAATGTAATTGAAGGGAAAGAAAGATGAGACTCTTGGCTCTTGAGGCTGCCTGACTGTTCTCCCTCTGCCTCCCAGAGGTGGTAGCAGATGAGACACCAGCAGTCCAGGCTGTTCTTCGAGCTGACACCAAGCGATTGAAGCTGCTGGAAGAGGAGCGGCGGCTTCAGGGACAGCTGGAACAAGGGGATGACACAGCTGCTGAGAGGCTAGAGAAGGTAGAGGAGATGGCGCAGGGGACACGGGCAAAGACTTGGGGGTTCCTGGGACCCTCAGACGTGTGTCCTCTTCTCCCTCCTCCCAGGTGTATGAGGAATTGCGGGCCACTGGGGCGGCAGCTGCAGAGGCCAAAGCACGGCGGATCCTGGCTGGCCTGGGCTTTGACCCTGAAATGCAGAATCGACCCACACAGAAGTTCTCAGGGGGCTGGCGCATGCGTGTCTCCCTGGCCAGGTGGGCCATTCACCTCACTGCCCTCCCTTCCAGCCTCAGACCACCGGGGCCCTTTTCCTCTTTCCCTTCTCATTCTTCCAAGGCCAATAGGGAGGCTCAAGGCTTACCTCTCCCTCCTTACTATCTGTGTTGTGAGAACTTAGGGTCTTTCTCTATTTATCTCCCTACTTGGTGGTGAGTTCTCATCAACATACCCTGCAGCTGGGTGCAATGGGTCACGCCTGTAATCCCAGCACTTTGGAAGGCAGAGGCAGGAGGATTATCTTCAACCCAGGAGTTTGAGACCAGCCTGGGCAATATAGTGAGACTCTATCTTCACAAAAGGGGGAAGAAAACATATCCTAGCCTGGGCAACATAGGGAGACCCTGTCTCTACAAAAAATTTAAAGATCAGCTGGATATGGTGGCGCACGCTGTGGTCACAGCTACTCTGGAGGCTGAAGTAGAAGTATCACTTAGACCTGGGAGATTTAGACTACAGTGAGCCCTTATTGTGCCACTGCACGACAGCCTGGGCAACAGGGCGAGACCCTGTCTCAAAAAAATTAAACCGTATCCTGCCCGAGAACTTCTCTGAGGAGAGCTTGGGAAGGAGTGTTCATGGTCTCAGGCTCTATCTCCGAGTTTTCTCTGGGGTTGTCTGAGCAAGGATCTTTCTCTCCCTGACCCTGCCCTCTGCTACCCACCCTCTAGGGCACTGTTCATGGAGCCCACACTGCTGATGCTGGATGAGCCCACCAACCACCTGGACCTCAACGCTGTCATCTGGCTTAATAAGTGCGTTACGGCCTTTGCATCATTGGTTCCCATTCTGCACTTTCTTCCCCTTCCCTCCCTGCCCTGTTTTCCTTTAGCCCTTCTCCACTGTGCCTGTGAGTGGAGCTCTATTCAGACCCCCCTTTCCCTCCCAGCCCCCGTTGTCTGCCTGCTTCCTCTGAATTCTCTCTCACTTGACCACTGTGACACTTACACCCTGTTCTCTGAAACCCAGCTACCTCCAGGGCTGGCGGAAGACCTTGCTGATCGTCTCCCATGACCAGGGCTTCTTGGATGATGTCTGCACTGATATCATCCACCTCGATGCCCAGCGGCTCCACTACTATAGGGGCAATTACAGTAAGTAGGATTGTGTGTGGATGCAGGGAAGAGATAGAACCTCGAAAAGAGGCCTGAGTGGGAGGGCCTATTTAGATAAACTGAATCCTGTCAGAATTCCAGACAGTGATGCCTACCCCATCACCACCAGTCCCTGGTTGTCCCTTTGCTGGGAAGAGGAGCAACCACTGATGCCTGGTCCCCTCTTCTGCCCCAGTGACCTTCAAAAAGATGTACCAGCAGAAGCAGAAAGAACTGCTGAAACAGTATGAGAAGCAAGAGAAAAAGCTGAAGGAGCTGAAGGCAGGCGGGAAGTCCACCAAGCAGGCGGTGAGCACCTGAGGGACTTCTGGGCTGGGGGCCACTGTTCTCTCCTGGCAGTGGAGGAAGAAGGAGACTCTGGAACGCTGGCCTACATTTCAAGGACTGCCGCGCAGGGCTCAGGTTTCTCTTTTTTCCTCTTCCTCTCCAGGAAAAACAAACGAAGGAAGCCCTGACTCGGAAGCAGCAGAAATGCCGACGGAAAAACCAAGATGAGGAATCCCAGGAGGCCCCTGAGCTCCTGAAGCGCCCTAAGGAGTACACTGTGCGCTTCACTTTTCCAGACCCCCCACCACTCAGCCCTCCAGTGCTGGGTCTGCATGGTGAGTGCCGCGGGCCTCTGCTGCTCCACAGGAAGCACCGGAAGCATGTATGTGCACCCTAAATTCTCCACCAAGGCTGAGATTGCTCCTGTTCTCCAAGGCCAGCACATGAGAGGGACTTTGCAGGGACTGAAAAGAATATAAATTGCTTCTTTTCGTGGCTTTCAGGTGTGACATTCGGCTACCAGGGACAGAAACCACTCTTTAAGAACTTGGATTTTGGCATCGACATGGATTCAAGGAGTGAGTTGGCGGGGTTGCCTCAGGGATGTGTAGCAGGAGCCACAGGGAGAGTCTCTGGGGACCTCTTTGACCACCTGTCTTCCATCTTGCAGTTTGCATTGTGGGCCCTAATGGTGTGGGGAAGAGTACGCTACTCCTGCTGCTGACTGGCAAGCTGACACCGGTGAGTCCTGGAGCCAAGGAGGGAGAGCATGAGAAATGTGAAGACACAGCTGCTTTTGCCAGAAGCTGGAATCAGGGAGCCTCTCGAGAATGTAGAGTTAAATACAGAACTCATGATAGATGATTCATTTCCCTAAGAGGGGCAGTAGAGGAGGAAAGAGCTTAGATCAGTTCAGGGGGGAGAGCTAAGAGAATTAAGATAGAACTAGGGGGCACACCCACGTGTTTTGGTTATACAAGAAATATATGTCTTTTATAGAACGATTAAAAATTGCATAAACGGGCCAGGCACAGTAGCTCACTCCTATAATCCCAGCAGGGATCACCTAAGGTCAAGAGTTCCAGACCAGCCTAGCCAACATAGTGAACCCCGCCTCTACTAAAAATACAAAAATTAGCCGTGTGCGGTGGCGCGCACCTATATCCTAGCTACTCAGGAGGCTGAGGCAGAATTGCTGGAACCTGGGAGGCGGGGGTTGCAGTGAGCTGAGATTGCACCATTGCACTCCAGCCTGGGCAACAGAGCGAGACTCCATCTCAAAAAAAAAAAAAAAAATTGGCCTGGCGTGGTGGCCCACGCCTATAATCCCAACTCTTTGGGGGAGGCTGAGGCAGGCAGATCACTTGAGCTTAGGAGTTAAAAACCAGCCTGAGCCCAGTGTGGTGGCTCACACCTGTAATCCCAACACTTTGGGAAGCCGAGGTGGGAGATCACCTGAGGTCAGGAGTTTGAGACCAACATGAAGAAACCCCATCTCTACTAAAAATACAAAATTAGCCAGACGTGGTTGCACATGCCTGTAATCCCAGCTATTTTGGGAGGCTGAGGCAGGAGAATCACTTGAACCCAGGAGGCAGAGGTTGCAGTGAGCTGAGATTGCGCTATTGCACTCCAGCCTGGGCAACAAGAGCAAAACTCCGTCTAAAAAAAAAAAACAGACCAGCCTGAGCAACATGGTGAAATCCCATCTCTACTAAAAATACAAAAATTAGCTGGGTATGTTGGTGCACGACTGTAGTCCCAGCTACTCGGGAGGCTGAGGTAGGAGAATTGCTTGAGTCCAGGGGGCAGAGGTTCCAGTTAGCCGAGGTCGTGCCACTGCACTCCAGTCTAAGTGACAGAGTGAGGCTCTGTCAAAAAAAAAAAAAAAATGCTTAAGTCAAGAGAAAAATCTGGAGATAACCAGTTTTTTTTTTTTGTTATTTTGTTTTGAGACGGAGTCTCACTGTCGCCCAGCCTGGAGTGCAGTGGTGCGATCTTGGCCCACTGCAACCTCCACCTCCCAGGTTCAAGATATTCTCCTGCCTCAGCCTCCTGAATAGCTGGGATTATAGGTACGCCCCACCATGCCCAGCTACTTTTTGTATTTTTAGTAGAGACAGGGTTTCACCATGTTGGTCAGGCTGGTCTCGAACTCCTGACCTTGTGATCCGCCCGCCTCAGCCTCCCAAAGTGCTGGGATTACAGGCGTGAGCCACCGCTCCCAGCTGAGATAACCAGTATTAATGTTTTAGTGGATATCTTTCTCCTTTTTTCTTTGCAAATGTGCATATAATTTTTAACAAAAATGGGCTGTCATATGAGTTGTTGTGTAGCTAGATTTTTCCAAATATATCAAGCATTTTTCCATGCAATTACTTATTTCATATGAGTCTACCTTTTTTTTTTGAGACAGAGTCTCACTCTGTCACCCAGGCTGGAGTGCAGTGGCACAGTCTTGGCTCACTGCAACCTCCGTCTCCTGGGTTCACGCGATTCTCCTGCCTTAGCCTCCCGAGTAGCTGGGACAACAGGCGCGTGCTACCACGCCCAGCTAATTTTTTGTATTTTTAGTAGAGATGGTTTCACCGTGTTAGCCAGGATGGTCTTGATCTCCTGACCTCATGATCTGCCTGCGTCGGCCTCCCAGAGTGCTGGGATTACAGGTGTGAGCCACCACGCCCGGCAAACTCTACCATTTTATTTGAACTTTTGTAATATATTGCCATCTAGTGTGTTAGAAAGTTTGTAGCCATTTCTGCTCTCTCTAGCAGTGTTGAGAGGCCATTTTCTCATATCCAGAGATTAGATCTTTAGAAAGGTATTATTAGATTCTCCCCAAAACACTAAACTTGCCACATGAGGCCCTTACGATGTACCATTCGTGAGTCTCGCTGTATGGAGAGCAGGTGTTCTTTGGCTGTGGTTAGTCCCTCCTGCTTGTCCCTCTTGTCCTCCATTTTGCTTAACTCCCCTTTTGTCCCTTAACTCTTTTACTTTGCTCACCATGCCTTTGTCATATTAGGGGAACATCCCTGTTCCTTTTCTTTTTTGAGACAAAGTCTTCCCCTGTCCCCGAGGGTGGAGTGCAGTGGTGCGATCTCAGCAACTTCCACCTCCTGGGTTAAAACCATTCTTGTGCCTCAGCCTCCTGAGTAGCTGGGATTATAGGCATGTCCCACTATGCCCAGCTAATTATTGTATTTTTAGTAGAGACAGGGTTTCACAATGTTGGCCAGCCTGGTCTCAAACTCCTGACCTTAAGTGCCTCCTGACCTGCCTTCCTTGGCCTCCCAAAGTGCTGAGATTACAGGCATGAGCCACCGTGCCCAGCCCCTATTCCTTTTCTTATGCATACTTGTCCCTGGCCCATTTCTGGTGTTTGTCTCTCCTTCAGAAAAGTTGGTGTATGGACGAGGTCAGGAGATCGAGACCATCCTGGCTAACATGGTGAAATCCCGTCTCTACTAAAAATACAAAAAATTAGCCGGGTGTGGTGGCAGGCACCTGTATTCCCAGCTACTGGGGAGGCTGAGGCAGGAGAATGGCGTGAACCCGGAAGGTGGAGGTTGCAGTGAGCCGAGATCGCGCCACTGCACTCCAGCCTGGGGGACAGAGCGAGACTCCGTCTCAAAAAAAAAAAAAAAAAGTTGATGTATGGAGCTGCAGCACCTTTTTCCCTTGCCCTCCTCTTAACTACTTTGTCTTCCCTTGCAGACCCATGGGGAAATGAGAAAGAACCACCGGCTGGTAAGTTGGCATTGGGATTTAGGGAATGATAATCTGATGGAGGAAGTGTGACTTTAACCGACCACCTCCCTCTCTTCTCGGGCAGAAAATTGGCTTCTTCAACCAGCAGTATGCAGAGCAGCTGCGCATGGAGGAGACGCCCACTGAGTACCTGCAGCGGGGCTTCAACCTGCCCTACCAGGATGCCCGCAAGTGCCTGGGCCGCTTCGGCCTGGAGAGTCACGCCCACACCATCCAGATCTGCAAACTCTCTGGTACCACTTCAGGGGCCAGGGAGGGTGCCCTTCACCTTATCATTCATGTCTACAAACTGTACCTAGAGGAACCGAGAATGAGGGAGCCTCAGCTCACAAACTGGCACATCTTGAGGGTTTGCCTTCAGAATGTGAGGTGCTAGGTGTGACAGCCCTCCCCTTCCTTTGCTACAGGTGGTCAGAAGGCGCGAGTTGTGTTTGCTGAGCTGGCCTGTCGGGAACCTGATGTCCTCATCTTGGTGAGTGAGCTGGGCTGTGGGAAAAGGGATAAGGGTAACAGTAATGGAAGACGGGAGTTGCAGTGCTCAGTCATGGAATTCCTCCTATGTAGGACGAGCCAACCAATAACCTGGACATAGAGTCTATTGATGCTCTAGGGGAGGCCATCAATGAATACAAGGGTGGTAAGTCAGCTGAGAGTGTGCCCTCATCCCTGCTCCATGGGGACCAAGCTGTAGTGTCCTTCACTACAGAAGGGCCTAGGACTCCCTTATTTCATGTTCTGATTCCCCTCTTTCTCCTTTCTTCCTGCCCTCTGTTGTTGCTATCTTTCTTCAAAGCTGTGATCGTTGTCAGCCATGATGCCCGACTCATCACAGAAACCAATTGCCAGCTGTGGGTGGTGGAGGAGCAGAGTGTTAGCCAAATCGATGGTGACTTTGAAGACTACAAGCGGGAGGTGTTGGAGGCCCTGGGTGAAGTCATGGTCAGCCGGCCCCGAGAGTGAGCTTTCCTTCCCAGAAGTCTCCCGAGAGACATATTTGTGTGGCCTAGAAGTCCTCTGTGGTCTCCCCTCCTCTGAAGACTGCCTCTGGCCTGCAGCTGACCTGGCAACCATTCAGGCACATGAAGGTGGAGTGTGACCTTGATGTGACCGGGATCCCACTCTGATTGCATCCATTTCTCTGAAAGACTTGTTTGTTCTGCTTCTCTTCATATAACTGAGCTGGCCTTATCCTTGGCATCCCCCTAAACAAACAAGAGGTGACCACCTTATTGTGAGGTTCCATCCAGCCAAGTTTATGTGGCCTATTGTCTCAGGACTCTCATCACTCAGAAGCCTGCCTCTGATTTACCCTACAGCTTCAGGCCCAGCTGCCCCCCAGTCTTTGGGTGGTGCTGTTCTTTTCTGGTGGATTTAATGCTGACTCACTGGTACAAACAGCTGTTGAAGCTCAGAGCTGGAGGTGAGCTTCTGAGGCCTTTGCCATTATCCAGCCCAAGATTTGGTGCCTGCAGCCTCTTGTCTGGTTGAGGACTTGGGGCAGGAAAGGAATGCTGCTGAACTTGAATTTCCCTTTACAAGGGGAAGAAATAAAGGAAAGGAGTTGCTGCCGACCTGTCACTGTTTGGAGATTGATGGGAGTTGGAACTGTTCTCAGTCTTGATTTGCTTTATTCAGTTTTCTAGCAGCTTTTAATAGTCCCCTCTTCCCCACTAAATGGATCTTGTTTGCAGTCTTGCTGACAGTGTTTGCTGTTTAAGGATCATAGGATTCCTTTCCCCCAACCCTTCACGCAAGGAAAAAGCAAAGTGATTCATACCTTCTATCTTGGAACATGGGTCTCTTTCCTTTTTTTTTTTTTTTTTTTTTTTGACAGAATCTTGCCCTTTCACTCAGGCTGGAGTGCAGTGGCATGATCTTGGCTCACTGCAGCCTCCACCTCCTGGGTTCAAGCAATTTTCCTGCCTCAGCCTCCCGAGTAGCTGGGATTACAGGCACACACCACCAGGCCCAGCTAATTTTAGTGTTTTTAATAGAGACAGGGTTTTACCATGTTGGTCAGGCTGGTCTCGAACTCTTGACCTCAAGTAATTCACCTACCTTGACTTCCTAAAGTGCTGGGATTATAGGGATGAGCCACTGTGCCCAACTTCTTTTTTTTTCTCTTTTCTGAGACAGGGTCTTGCTGTGTTGCCCAGGCTAGAGTGCACTGTACCCTCAACCTCCTGGGCTCAAGCAATCCTTCCACCTCAGCCTCCTGAGTAGCTGGGACTACAGGCATGTGCCGCCACACTCAACTAATTTTTTTTTTTTTAATTTTTAGTAGAGACAGTGTCTTGCTATGTTGCTTAAGGCTGGTCCTGAACTCCTGACCTCAGGCAGTCTTCCTACCTCGACCTCCCAAAGTGCTGGGGTGCTGGGATTATAGACGTGAGCCACGACGCCTAGCCAGAATTTGGGTCTCATTGTCCAAGTTAATCTCATGAATGAGGAGGTGCTCTGCCCTGTGGCCAGGGACCAGGGTATTGATTCTCTCAAAAATTATTAAATCATCTAGCCAAAATGTACGGTACTGTGGGGTATATAAGAAGGGAAGAGACAAGATCTGCCTTCATTAATAGTCTGGTTAGAGAAGACTTAAAAGTAAGCATGAATAGATAATTAATTTGATCAATTGTCTAATATGTCGTACTCTAGATTCTAAGTTGCCACATACTCAAAAAAGGGAAAGATTATCCAGGGCCTGATTATTTGACAGGGTCACTTGAGGGTAGATCTTGAAAAATGATGATTTGACTAATCAGGGACCAGGGAGCCATTTTTCAGAAGTAGGAAAAGAGCAGATCTCAGGCTTGGGGGGAAGAACAAGCTACTTGGGAGTTAATGGATGATAGCTGCTGTGGCCATTTTTCTTAAGAGTTAGACTGGGGAGATGGGTTTGGAAAGTAAAATGCAAATGGTGGGTAGTGGTATTAGGTGGTGATGTGCAAGGCGTGCTGTAGAAACCTGCAGGGTGAAGCCCATAACTTTTGTTACGGGAATGGGGTAACTGAATCCTAAACTAGCTAGGGGAGATAGGGATGGAAAGAGCAGATGTGGAGGTTGGGGAGAAGGGAGTGACAGGAGATATATCCAGTTCCAGAGGGAATAGGGAGAGCTGTGTGGCTAAGATTTAACTGTTTGGACATTTAATTTGGGGAAATTGTTTTCCAGCCAAGTGAATAAATAATACTGGACTTCAAGTACAAGCTTCATACAGGAAGTGAAGTTTTGGTGTGGAGATAGCTGCATAGTCAGGGAACACTCTAAATTAAAAATAAGGAGGCCGGGCATGGTGGCTCATGCCTGTAATCCCAGCACTTTGGGAGGCGGGCAGATCATGAGGTCAGGAGTTCGAGAGCACCCTGACCAACATATTGAAACCCCATCTCCACTAAAAATACAAAAAAATTAGCCGAGCGTGGTGGTGCACACCTGTAGTCCCAGCTACTCAGGAGGCTGAGGCAGGAGAATTGCTTGAACCCGGGAGGCAGTGGTTGCAGTGAGCCGAGGTTGCGCCACTGCACTCCAGCCTGAGCAACAGAGCGAGACTCTGTCTCAAACAAAAACCAAAAGACATCAGGAAACATGCCTCTTATGGAATTTGAGGGGGAAAAGTCAGGGTCTTGGCAGTGACCTTGGACAAGCCATTAGCCTCTTGATACCTCTTTTCTCATCTGTAAAATGAAGGTGGTAGTTACCTACTTCACAGGGTTATTAGGGGATTCAATGTGTAATAATACGTAAAGTGCCTTAAATTCTGTTGCTTTTGTTATATGTATTTCATATTATATATATATATATATTTTTTTTTTTTTTTTTTGAGATGGAGTCTTACTCTGTTGCCAGGCTGGAGTGCTGTGGCGTGATCTTGGCTCACTGCAACCTCTGCCTCCTGGGTTCAAGTAATTCTGCTGTCTCACCCTCCCAAGTAGCTGAGATTACAGGCACGTGCCACCACGCCCGGCTAAGTTTTGTACTTTTGGTAGAGATCAGGTTTTGCCATGTTGGCCAGTCTGGTCTCAAACTCCTGACCTCAGGTGATCTGCCCACTTCGGCCTCCCAAAGTGCTGGGATTACAGGCGTGAGCCACCGCACCTGGCCTATACTTTTGCATTTTTAAGTTTTTACTTCGCTAGTCTAGTTGAGATGATACATAAAATATATAGGAATGTTATTTATAAAGTGAATACCAGCTTGCATTTCAAATATTTGGTCACTAATTTCACTACTTCAAACATAAGTGAGAAAAGTACTTTAAGTACTCCAAAATAACTTTCCGCCACAGGCATAAATTTCATTTCTCTCTCTGTTCTTTTTTTTTTTTTTTTTTTTTAAAGATGAGGCCTTGCTATATTGCCCAGGCTGGTCCCAAACTCCTGGCCTCAAGCAGTCCTTTCTCCTAGGCTCCCCAAAGTGCTGGGATTACAGGAATGAGCCACGGCACCTGGCCACAAACTTTATCTCCTCCCGTGTATGTTTTAACTTCTGTGATCCCTGTAGCCGATCATATGTGCTGTTAATGGAATTAATAATTCACCTAAATGTGGGCAAAAGTATGCCCTCCAAAAAGCAGCATAGAAATGGAACACGAAAGGGAAACATTTCCATGGTAGCGCATGGAAATTTCATTAACCAAATTAAATTGTTTTATTTATAAACAGCTTATTACCTACAAGTGATGCACATATGTGGTACACAGTAAACATCGTAGAAATGTGTTTTTTGTTGTTTTGAGATGTGGTCTCCCTCTGTTTCCCAGGCTGGAGTGCAGTGGCACAATCATGGCTCACTGCAGCCTCAACCCTCTGGACTCAAGTGATCCTCCTACCTCAGCTTCTCAAGTAGCTGGGACTACAAGTGTCCACCAACATGCCCAGCCAATTTTTTAATTTTTTTGTAGCAAAGAGGTCTTGCTTTGTTGCCCGGGCTGGTCTCAGACTCCTGGGTTCAAGTTATCCTCCCACCTCAGCCTCATTAAAGCCAAAGCCTGAAGGTAGGAAAGGAAGAGCCTTCAGGGAAGGGACCAAAATGTGCAAAGACCCTGAGGCTGAAAAGAGCTGAACATGGTCAAGGAATGGCTGGAGCTGAGAACTTGAGCATGCGCCAATACACACGGGGCCTTATATGCATAGACAGCAGGTTGGGATGTGATCAGGAGAGGCTGAGCAATGGGAGGCCATTGGTTCTGTTTAGCCAGGAGTGCAAACTGATTCAGTTTTCATTTTTACAAAATTGCTCCTGGCTGCTAGGTGGCAAATAGTGGGTGTGGGGAGACAGGGAAAAGAGATGCCAGGAGAACAGCTCAATATTACTTTGGAAAGAAGATTCTCTTCATCTAAGAATGGAATGGAAGGGAGATAATGTAGACTCAGATATTTCCATGTGAAGGGAAGGGAAAATGTTGCTCACAGTGGATGGGACTCACTTTTTCCCAAGCTTTGGTGCCAGAGAATCAAGAAGAGTAGGCCGCGCACGGTGCCTCATGCCTGTAATCCCAGCACTTTGGGAGGCCGAGGCAGGCGGATCACCTGAGGTCAGGAGTTCGAGACCAGCCTGACCAACTTGGCAAAACACCGTCTCTACTAAAAATGCAAAAATTAGCCAGGAGTAGTGGCACGCATTTGTAATCCCAGCTACTCAGGAAGCTGAGGCAGGAGAATTACTTGAACCTGGGAGGTGGAGGTTGCAGTGAGCGGAGATCATGCCATTGGACTCCAGCCTGGGCAACAAGAGCAAAACTTCGTCTCAAAAAAAAAAAAAGGTTTGCTGAGCAGCAGTAAGTGTAGAATCAATGCTAACATTAATTTGTACTGGGCTAAGATAGTAGGATTTTGTGATTTTTCAACATTAGGTCTACTGCCCAGGAGTAGGAATGAAAGAAATAGGATAATGATTCTGAATTGAAGATAGACCCCGTTGCACCTGGGGAAGGATTGACAGAAAGAGAACGTTGAATGTCACAAGGGTATTTTAGAGGGAAAAAATGGAAGCAGAAAGGAAAAACAGACTGAAACGGTAGAGAGAAAAGTGCCTGCAGGGAGGGCTTGGTGAAGAAACATCATTGTAGTGAAATGAATGAAATGTTCAACCTCTCTCCCCCTGCAAAAAAACAAAAAACAAGGAAAATCTTCTCTTTATATAATCTAAAGTTTTTACGTAAGTAAAAAGGAACAGGTAGGCCGGGTGCCGTGACTCACACCTGTAATCCCAGCACTTTGGGAGGCCAAGGCGGGTGGATCACCTGAGGTCAGGAGTTCGAGACCAGCCTGGACAACATGGTAAAACCCCATCTCTACTAAAAATACAGAAATTAGCCAGGCGTGGTGGCAGGTGCCTACAATCCCAGCTACTCAGGAGGCTGAGGCAGGAGAATCCTTGAACCCAGGGGGCAGTGAGCCAAGATCGTGCCATTTCACTCCAGCCTGGGCAAAAGAGTGAAACTTGTCTAAAAAAAAAAAACAGGTTTCTTTGAATTTTTTTTTTTTTTTTTTTTGAGATGAAATTTTGCTGTCACCCAGGCTGGAGTGCAATGGCACGATCTCAGCTCACTGCAACCTCCGCCTCCTGGGTTCAAACGATTCTTCTGCCTCAGCCTCCAGAGTAGCTGGGATTACAGGCACCAGTCACCACGCCCGGCTAATTTTTTGTATTTTTAGTAGAGACGGTTTCACCATGTTGGTCAGGTTGCTCTCGAACTCCTGATCTCAGGTGATCCACGCGCCTCGGCCTCCCAAAGTGCTGGGATTACAGGCGTGAGCCACCACGCCTGGCCGAATTTTCATAAATGATTTGAAAGAAAATGAGCTCATTCTTTCTTTTTTTTTCAGACGGAGTCTTGCTCTGTCGCCATCCTGGAATGCAGTAGCGTTATCTCGGCTCACTGCAACCTCTGCCTCCTGGATTCAAGCGATTCCCCTGCCTCAGCCTCCCAAGTAGCTGGGACTACAGGTGCGTGCCACCACTCCCGGCTAATTTTTTTTTTTTTTTGAGACAGAGTCTTGCTCTGTCGCCCAGGCTGGAGTGCAGTGGCGCGATCTCTGCTCGCTGCAAGCTCCACCTCCCGGGTTCATGCCATTCTCCTGCCTCAGTCTCCTCAGTAGCTGGGATTACAGGCACCCGCCACCACACCCACCTAAGTTTTTGTATTTTTAGTAGAGAAGGGGTTTCACCTTGTTAGCCAGGATGGTCTCCATCTCCTGACCTCATGATCTGCCCGCTTCGGCCTCCCAAAGTGCTGGGATTACAGGCGTGAGCCACCGCGCCTGGCAATTTTTGTATTTTTAATAGAGACGGGGTTTCACCATGTTGGCTAGGATGGTCTCCATCTCCTGACCTTGGGATTTGCCCGCCTCGGCCTCCCAGAGTGTTGGGATTACAGGTGTGAGCCACCGCGCTCGGCCGAGCTTATTCTTAAAATACAGTAAAAACTTTAAGCTCTCTTTTAAGGTTCTTGTGGCTTGTTGCAGGAGATAGAAGAAAGGTGAGAAGCAGGCAGTAAATGGAAGCAGAAAGAGACACAAAGTTGTGACCACTAGGTTGTGACATGTTTGGGTTTTTTCACTTGAGCTGTATACTTCTTTGGTATTTCACGCCCTAGCCTGGTCCTTAGATTATGTCTTCTCAGGTCTTCTCCCAGTGCACACAGCAACAACAGACTGACCTGAACACCTCCGCCCACACACACCAAGCCTGGGCAAGGGGAAGGTAAAACTACCCACTTTGGGCCTACATGCAGTGAGGCCTTTCAGATACTGATAAAACATTGTTGCCCCCTCATGTGGCCAATGCTGGAAATACAGCTGAGACACGTATTCCAGGGCAGTGTAGCAGCCTCAGCAACTGGGAATTTGTTAGAAATGCATATCTCGGGATCCATCCTGACCTACTAAATCAGAATTTTGCTGGACCCTACCCCCAATCTGTCTGTTTTTTCTTTTTGTTTTGTTTTTGTTTTTTGAGATGGAGATGGAGTCTGGCTCTGTCACCCAAGCTGAAGTGCAGTGGTGTGATCTCTGCTCACTGCAACCTCCACTTCCCGGGTTCAAGTGATTCTCCTGCTTTAGTCTCCCAAGTAGCTGGGATTACAGGCGCGAGCCACCATGCCTGACTAATTTTTGTATTTTTAGTAGAGATGGGATTTCACCATGTTGGCCAGGCTGGTCACAAACTCCTCACCTCAGGTGATCCATCCGCCTTGGCCTCTCAAAGTGCTGGGATTACAGGCATAAGCCACTGCATCCAACCCAAATTTGTTTTTTTTTTTCTTTCTTTTTTTTTTTTTTTTTTTTGAGACCAAGTTTCGCTCTTGTTACCCAGACTGGAGTGCAATGGTGCGATCTCGGCTCACCACGACCTCCACCTCCCGGGTTCAAGCAATTCTCCTGCCTCGGCCTCCCGAGTAGCTGGGATTACAGGCATGCGCCACCACGCCCGGCTAATTTTTGTATTTTTAGTGGAGACGGGGGTTCTCCATGTTGGTCAGGCTGGTCTCGAACTCCTGACCTCCTGATCTACCCGCCTTGGCCTCCCAAAGTGCTGGGTTTACAGGTATGAGCCACTGCACCCGGCCCCAGATTTGTTTTCTAATAAGCTCTTCAGATGATCCTGATGAATGCTAACAGACTTGAAAACCGCCATTCTCAACCCACATGTTAAAACATGTTAATATCTTCAACTGCCCCATATCTGCCACACACACTCCCCCCAGAGTGATGTATCCTTTCTTTTTTTTTTCAGATGGAGTTTCACTCTTGTTGCCCAGGCTGGAGTGCAGTGGTGCAGTCTGCAACCTCTGCCTCCTGGGTTCAAGCGATTCTCCTGCCTTCCGAGTAGCTGGGATAACAGGCGCCAGTAACCACACCCAGCTAATTTTTGTATTTTTAGTAGAGATGGGGTTTCTTCATGTTGGCCAGGCTGGTCTCGAACTTCTGACCTCAGGTGATCCAACTGCTTCGGCCTCCCAAGGTGCTGGGATTACAGGCGTGAGCCACCACGCCCAGCTTTAATTTCTGGTTTAAGAGTGGAGGCCAGGCGCGGAAATGGGGAAATGGAGTTTCCCTATGTTGCTTAGGGTAGTTTTGAACTCCTGGGTTCAAGTGATCGTCCCATGTGGGCCTCCCAAAGTGCTGGGATTACAGGCGTGAGCCAACATGCCCAGCTTTAATTTCTGGTTTAAGAAGAGTGGAGGCCAGGCGCGGAAATGGGGAAATGGAGCTTCCCTATGTTGCTTAGGGTAGTTTTGAACTCCTGGGTTCAAGTGATCCTCCCATGTTGGCGTCCCAAAGTGCTCGGATTACTGGCTTGAGCCACCATGCCTGGCCAGAGCCACTTTGGGAAGAGCAGTCTATACTTACCCTTTGTTTTTTTGTGACGGAATTTTGCCCTGTCACTCAGGCTGGAGTGCAGTGGCATGATCTCGGCCCACTGCAACCTGCACCTCCTGGGTTTAAGGGATTCTCCCGCCTCAGCCTCCGGAGTAGCTGGGTTATAGGCACCCAGCTAATGTTTGTATTTTTAGTAGAGACGGGGTTTTGTCATGTTGGCCAGGCTGGTCTCCAACTCCTGACCTCAGGTGATCCACCCACCTCGCCTTCCCAAAGTGATGGGATTACAGGCATGACCCAATATGCCTGGCTTTTTTTTTTTTTTTTTTTTTTTGAGACAGGGTCTTGCTCTGTTGCTCCGGCTGGATTGCAGTGGTACAATCATAGCTGTGAGTTTGAACTCCCAGGCTCAAGTGATCCTCTCGCCTCAGCCTCCCAGGTAGCTGGAACTAAAGGCATGTGCCACCATGCCTAATATTTTTTGTATTTTTTGTACAGACCTGGTCTCCCTATGTTGCTCAGGCTGGTCTCAAACTCCTGGGCTCAAGTAGTCTTCCCACCTCGGCCTCCCAAAAGTGCTGGGATTACAGACATGAGCCACTGATACCCAACACTAACCTGGCTAAGGTCACCCAGGCTGTAGAGAGGTAGAGCTGGGACAATGGCCTTTATCTGACTCCAGCATCCTCAGGATTTCCTCCCTTATCTGTAGAATGTGGATAAGATGACCAAGAACACATCCTAGAGGGCACGATAGCCAGGATAGGACTGTTCTAGGAACACACACGAGGCGTGTTAAAGAAGACTCAGAAAGATGAAAACCAGGAAAGAGCCCTGTGGCCGAGATCTACTCTGTATCCTAGAGTATTTTATGTACTTTTTGAAGCATTTTTTCACCAGTACTTAATAGCAACTGTTAGATCAAGCATTAGCTCCAGAGGAGTAAAAATCAGATTCCACAGATTTGTACTAATGTATCTAACACAGGTGGTAATGGCTTTTAAAAAAAAAAAAATGAAAAACAGTCCAGGCCGGGCGCGGTGGCTCACGCCTGTAATCCCAGCGCTTTGGGAGGCCGTGGCGGGCAGATCACGAGGTCAGGAGTTCCAGACCAGCCTGGCCAACATGGTGAAACCAAGTCTCTACTAAAAATACAAAAAAATTAGCCAGGCATGGTGGCAGGTGCCTGGAATCCCAGCTACTCAGAAGACTGAGGCAGAAGAATCCCTTGAACCCAGGAGGCAGAGATTGCAGTAAGCCAAGACTGCACCACTGCATTCTAGCCCAGGCAACGGAGCGAGACTCCGTCTCAAAAAAGTCCAAACACACTAGGGGTTAAATAAGCTGCTTCTCTTTCCACTGTTTATTATTAATGTACAAAATATACAAAACCAAAAAAAAAAATACTCATCCTCAAATCCATTTTGGCTCTAACCCAAGACCCTGCACAAAACCCAACCAATCCACTGTTTTCATAGAAAACAACTGATGCCAAAGTGAAGGAGAGAACTGGGAAAGGGCAAAATCATCTTGTTGAATCCACCCAGGAAGGCGCCTGGTGGGGATTCAGAGGTGGTTGACAGGGTGAAGTACCTGGAAGCCTCCTTCACGCTGGCAAGGTTCCAGGTGGGAGCAGGGAGTGAGCTGACTCCCAAAGGCAGTGCATGTAGTGTGACTTTCAGGCCCAGCACGCCGGGCCCAAGTTGATGAGAAGCTGGTCTCACTGAAGTATTTTATCAAGTCTCCAGACTGGCTATAGTTGGCAAAGGCAGACCAGCACCACCGGTCTCACCTCTGCCAGCTAAAACTTGCACCGGATGCAGATACGAGTTCGCCATCATCGAACCTAGCAGACCCAGGACGCAGACTGGGTGTTCACAGAAAGTTGAAGGTCCCACTTGAGAAAGGACTAAGAATGGTGAGCCCACGCTGGGGGAGGGGTGGGGATGATGTGTGTTCCAGAACTCAAATCCAGCTGATTGAGCCCTCTCAGTGCAGTGGGATATACAATACCCCTTTCAGCATCTCCCCACCCCATGAGGAATAATGAACTTAGCTGGGATGATTTCTTAAGTGCAGCTGATCCTGTGTCAGAGTTCTGTGTGCATGTGGGGACCCGCAATAGAAGGGTAGGGGTGTTCGCCAGGATAACCAGCTTTAGGTTCTCAAGCATTAAGGGTAATACTGGAAAGGGGTTTGGGGTACAGGGCGAATCTTCTCAAAAAGTGAAGCCAACTGGGTCTCCTCTTCAGCAGTCCAGGAACGTTTCCAGTCTCTCTCCTCCCCAGACTGGAGGAAAATATGTACATCAATGCGCACCAGTGATCAGAAAACCCCCAGGAACCCAAGCAAGTGGGAACTGAGGGGGCCGGCTCCTCATCAGCTGGGGAAAAGGGAAAATGGGCCTCACAGAAGCCATAACAGGGTGGAAAGAGCGAGGCTGCAGTCCACAGGGGTTGTGTGAACAGGGCAGGCAAATGGTCCCTAGGGCAGGGGGGGCCCATTGACACCCGGGTGGTAGAAGGCACAGTTGTTCTCATAGCGGCAGTTGCCCTTCATCATGAAATGTCGGCAGACAGGGCGGTTTGACATGTCTGTGGGAACGATGGCAAAACAGTTAGACAGGAAATAGCTGAGGGCAATGCCACCCTCACCACCCCTTGTCCATGACATCCTGAGAACTGTCTTTCAGAGACAATCTTGGGGATTTGGGGGAAGGGCATAGAGTAGGAACTGCTATGCATACTAGGACATCAAAGAGACGGGTACCTCACGTTCTGCCTAGCTACCAACAGTAGTGACTCTCACCCACTCCCCAAAAGCTTGTATGGGACAACCAAAAGGCATATGGGGGACAGGGAGCATCCTCACCTCCTCCATGGCTGTGGCCTCCATCGTGCCCTCGGTGGCCCCCTCCCCCGTGGCCAGGACCATCATGGCCACGGTGCTCATGAGGTGGCGGCCCTCGATGGTCATGGCCTCGGTGACCAGGGACATCATGAGGCCGGTGGCCATGGGGCCCCCCGTGTCCAGGGCCTTCATGGGGACGATGTCCACCACTTCCACCCATGCTTCCGCCAGGGCCTTCGTGGGGGCGATGTCCACCACCGGCACCCATTCCTCCGCCAGGGCCTTCATGGGGACGATGGCCACTGCCACCACTGATGCCACCGCCAGGGCCTTCGTGGGGACGATGTCCTCCACCCCCACCCATGCTACCACCAGGGCCTTCATGGGGGCGATGCCCACTTCCCATGCCACCGCCAGGGCCTTCGTGGGGACGATGTCCACTGCTGTTGCCCATGCCCCCACCAGGGCCTTCGTGAGGACGATGCCCACCACCTCCAACCATGCCCCCACCAGGGCCCCCTCGTCCATTTGGGGGTCCTCCTCCAGAGCGACCTCCTCTGGCGCCTCGGAATGGAGGAGGAGGAGGAGGAGGTTCGTTTCCTCCTCGGCCACCTCGGCCTCTATGGTATGGTCCAGGACCTGGTCCTGGACCCCCCCGCATTGGGCCACCCCGCATAGGGTCGCCCGGGCCATCCCAGAAGGGATCACCTCCCCGGGGAGGGGGTGGAGGACCCAGAAGACGTGGACCCACTGGCCCACCAGGGCCTCCATGGGGACCTGTAAGGGGACAAAAAAGAGAGACAGTATCAGCTACCAGGAACTGCCATCTCCCAACCTAAACCACCACCTCCCACCTTCCAGTCAATCCTATACTATTATCAGACTGAAATTAAGCAGATAAGCCCATTCCAACCTTTTACTCACCACCTACCTGGCATAGGTCCCCCAGGTCCAGGGGGAAAGTGCTGCATGCCCTTGGGGCCCCCAGGACCCCCTGGTGGGAAACCATTGGCTATTGGGCCAGGGCCTAGGAGTCCATGTGGCACTGTTAATGAAAACAAGAGTAACACAGCATGAGCACTCTAGAAGACTAGCATGATCTCCCATTTAGGTGCAACCAACTGACCCTCTCAAACCAACCTGGCAGAGCAATGCTCTCTCTGTCCAGTCTTCCCCTCCCATTTCTTGCCTAGTGGCCACAGCCCTGTATTCTTCTGCATCTTTGAAACCCTGCTTCCCCCAACTCCACTGCAGGCTTCCTCCCCCAGTCCCCTGGGGCTGGCCCTGAAGATTACCCAGCATCTGCTTGATCTTGTCCGAATAGTCTGGTTGTTTCAGTAGTTCCTCTGAAGGATGACTGTTTGGGCTACCCTGTGAGGATGTAAGAAGGCAAAGTCAACAGACAGAAAGGGTAACAACCATGGCGAAAGATAGCGCCAAAGATTAGGGGTAAGTGGGTAGATGTGGAGAACTGGGGTAAGGCGAATGGGAGACAGTGAGGAGAGCGAGCTTAAGGAGGCTCCACAGAAGGTGGAAAAGGGGAAGGAGGGTGCGTACCATGATGGAGGTGAGGATCTCTTGGACATTAATGCCTCCTCCTCCAGGGCCTTGGGGGCCCTTTCCAGCACCCATGCTTCCCATAAGATTGGCCAGAACTGGAGGCAACTTGGAGCCTCCTGCCCCATCAGGTGAGCCACCTGACCCCCCAGGTTCCAGAGTCTCAACATACGGAGTCTCATCCATGGAACACTCCTGAAAGAAGAACAAAAAAAATCAGGATTGACAGAACAGAGACATTCTCATATGAAAGATGCACCGAATTCAATGACCATCACAACTTCCATCATCACAGAACATTGACTTACCTCATCTAGGGGGATGAGTTTAGGGGGTATGGGCTCGTAGGGCTCAGGATCAGGCTCATGAGGACTATCAGGAACAACACAGGTGAGAGAAAAAAGAATGATAGTCAAGTTATTAATTCAGACCCTGAAAGTAATTTCTAACCTCCACCCCGTAATTACCCCAGCTCATGTTCCCTCAGGAGTGTCCAAGCACTCAACATCCCAGGGCACGAACCCCACTCTGCTCACCTCTCCTTGTTCAGGAAGAGCTCCTGAAGGATTCCCTTCTCCCGCTCAGCCTGGATATATCGCTCCTGACTATTGCTTCCAGGGGTGACAAGAGGTGAGGGCAGAACCAGGGGCCGGGGGCACACCCAGGGCACCTTCTCCTCCATGTTATCATGGCTCAGACGCCGCGCTGTCTCAAATGCATGTCGGTCTGACAGTATCTCTCGCTTAGCCGCCTCACCAAAGTCCTTGATCTTATTCACATTTACTGTCGGCAGGGGAAGAAAAGCAAGAGGGAAAGTAAGCACAACCAAGTCCTTTCAAAATCCCTTAAACACACCTATTACGTAGGAAATGACCTCTTACCTCGTTCAGTTTCATCCAATTCAAAATAGAAATATTCTCTCAGTTTGCCTTCCTCAGGCCATGTCACACTTTTCCTCTTCCTGCCTTTCCGGGTCAGTTGGTTAGGATCTCCAGGACTCTCCACTGGCTTGGCATCCAGAGCTCCTGGCTCCAAAGAGGCTGGAAGCAGAAGAGGTTTCAGACCCAGATCCCTCCTTTCAGAAAACCCCCCAAACTGAACCAGTTTCTAGATTACCTGTATCCATGAGCTCCGGGACTTCAACAGGGGGAACCGGGGTGCCTGGACGGTCTGCGTCCATTGCCTCAGAAGGTGGTGCTGGTTCTGGGGAAGAAGGTTTGGCTGTGCTTGGTTCTGTGCTCGTTTTCCCTTCAAAGGGGCTTGGCTATTGTGAAAGAAAAGGAAGTTAATGAACTGACTGGAAAGCCAAGGGCAAGGCAATTAGTCCAGGGTCCCAGGCACAGTCCCCCAACAGTTCCTATATAAAGGAAGACTCTGTCTCCACAATGTCTCACCTGCACCAGTCTATATCCAAGGCAAAACGCCTCTTGTTGTCCTCCCCGACAACTCCTAGCTGCTGTGCCCTTTCTTCTACTTTACCTTTTATACTCTGTCACTGAAACCTACTTCTGGGAGCCCATACCTTGGCAGCCGTAGGTGACAGTACTTTTTTTTTCTTCTTAATTTTGATGCCTGGAACAGGGGCTGAATTAAGAGCATCCAGAAAGCCCAGGCCCTCCATAGCTACAAAAAGAAAGAGCACCAAATGGCATCATCAGACCTCCTTCATAATCCTACACCTGCAAACACAGTCCAGGCATAAAATGAGCCAGTGAAGACCCTGCCTCAACTTAGGACACGATAAGCTCAAGAGGACCAGGAAGCACATGCAGGAGGATTCACACAGGATATTCTTGTTGTTATTCTAGGTTTCTCATGGCAGGCAAGCCATAGCTTTGGATGTGAATTATAGCTCAGGTAGCTGACGAAGTGAGCCCTTGTGAACATGACAGATCACCTTACCAGGTGCCCCTGACCAGTCACAGAATGGCACACGTCCCTATCTTATCTCTAAAATTACTCCTAAGTGACCCCTGAAACGGGAGTTCCAGAGGTACAAAAAGTAAGGGATACCAAGAAATCAAAGGAAAATGGAGGGAAATAATAAAAGAGAAGGGAAAAAACTTCTCGTTCCCAGGGACATTCATTCCCATAAGAGTTTGCTCCTGGCCAGGTGCGGTGGCTCATGCCTGTAATCCCAGCACTTTGGGAAGCTGAGGTGGGTGGATCACGAGGTCAGGAAATCAAGACCATCCTGGCTAACATGGTGAAACCCCATCTCTACTAAAAATACAAAAAATTAGCCGGGCGTGGTGGCGGGCACCAGTAGTCCCAGCTACTCGGGAGGCTGAGGCAGGAGAATGGCGTGAACCCGGGAGGCGGAGCTTGCAGTGAGCCAAGACCGTGCCACTGCACTCCAGCCTGGGTGACAGAGTGAGACTCTGTCTCCAAAAAAAAAAAAAAAAAAGTTTGCTCCTAATTCAAAGTACATCTTCCCCACTTTAGACTCACGCTGTGGCGGGATGATCTTCACTTTGATCTCTTTGGTGGCATTAGGTGTTGTGTTGAGTGGCTTGTATTTCTTCTCTGCAGGGGGAGTGGCATCTCCTGGAGCAGCTACGTTGCTGTCAGAAGAGGAACTGTCATCAACATCTCCGACTCACCCCCTCCTGCTCCCTTGTGTCCACAGATCCACCCCATTCAGAGCCTGAGAATATGGTCCATACCTCTGACGTTTGAGGGGGATGGGTTTAAGGTTGTACTTGTCAGAAACCACCACTGTGCTGGCATTCTTCTTCACAGGCACCAAGGATGGTGTCTCCAGCTCTAGTCCTGGGGAAAGAAGCACGGTGTGGGCAGCTGAACTCAAACCCCAGACCCCCGAATTTTCCTCCCGTTCTCACCCGCAAATGTTCTTCTAGCCTTGTAACCAAAGCTTCCTCTGCTAGTCTTCCCTCTTCCTTACGATTAACATACCACACATCAAATGATTCCCCCATAAGGCTCTGGGTGTGCACATGCCCATGAACCCTCCAGAGGCCAGCCGCCAGTCTTACCAGTGGAACGGAACTTGGCATGACTGGGTGCTGTGGTGCGAAGAGACTTGGGCTTCTCCCTCTTCTTCTCTGGGGCCTCCTCAGCCCGGGTCTCAGCCTTCACCTCTGTCAAAGGTCGCTCAGGAAGGGTAGTTCGACTTTTTCCTTCATCTTTACGTTTCTTCTTATCTTTCTCTGTTGTGAAAAAACAAAGCAGAAAAGGATTTTATTTAGATGAACACTGTCAGAGGTGAAGCAGACTGGGAGCACCTAAAGGCCACATCCCAATAGGAAAGAAATAAATACAAAGGATAAAGGACTAAGGAGCTTACCAGCAGGCTGGGTACTGCTCTGAGAGCGGATGACAGCCATCCAGTCGCTGACAAGGACTGAGGCCAATTTCCGGAGCTCTGCAGGTGACAGAAAGGGGAAATGCCTAAATAATGTAAAGTAACATTCTTCCAGGAACAGAAAATGGGAGGTTTGAGAAAATATTGTGAAAATTTATGTAACGGAGAAAGTAACCCAAAGTTTTAAGAAGAACATGAGATATGCTTAAAAACCAAACCCTTAAAAAATGGAACAATGAATTAGAGTTGTGTTCTACTTGGATAACTTTCAACTCTGATGTCATCACACCACTCTGGAGTAAAAAGACCTAATATTTCAGAATATGTGGTTAAAATCTACATTAGTAAAAGACTACACGTTGGGTGCAGTGTACACTGCTTGGGTGATGAGTGTACCAAAATCTCAGAAATCACCATTAAAGAACTTATACATGTAACCAAAATCCACCAGTTCCTCAAAAACTGACATTTTTTTAAAAAGCTACGTTAGTTGCTTTATGTATAACACACCTAATTGTTACAACAATCTGAAGACTTTTTATTTTCCTTTATAGATGTGAAAACAAGAATAAAATTTGTTTCTAAATATATGAAAAAATACTTTGTAACTCTTTCCTTTTGTACTTGGCAAATAACATCTCTGATCTATGGCACCTCTCTTCTGGCCAACATTTCCACTTATAAACTCATTTCATAATTTATCATTTAGTAATAGGAGTTTCACAGATGAGACACGCTAGGATGATACTATTTCCCACAGCAAATTTTAAGTGTATGTGTTTTATAACAAGCAATTTTAGGAATCAGCTTCCAGTTAAAGTATGGCACCTTATATTCAGCAACAGAGAAATGAACAACTTTGGAATTGAGAACAGGAAAGAGGGTACAGGTTAGAGGAACTTTCTCTTTAAAAGAAGGAAAAAAAGCAAGGTGAGGTAGAAAGAGAAAAGTGAAGGGACAATCCAAGGATGGGAAAAGATATTAAGGTAATTAAGTGGAAGTAATAGAGAAAAGCCCATGAGAGAGCAGAAGTGGCACCCTACCTTCATCCTCACTTGACTTGCTCAGCTGCTTCACCAGTTTAGCTGTGTTGTTCTATGAGAGATGGGAGCAGCAGAAAGGTAAATGCCAGGAGGCAAATAATTCCACTTAGAGCTAAAAACGACAAAAGTTACAGTCCTCCCTGCTTTTTTTTTTTTTTTTATTTTTTGAGACGGAGTCTCACTCTGTTGCCCAGGCTAGAGTGCAGTGGCGCAGTCTTGGCTCACTGCAGCCTCGACCTCCCAGGCTCAAATGATTCTCCCACCTGAGCCTCCTAAATAACTGAGACTACAGGCATGCACCACCACATCTGGGTAAATTTTTTGTATTTTTTGTAGAGACAGAGTTTTATCATTTTTGCCCACGCTGGTCTTGAACTACTGGGCTCAAGCAATCCACCCACCTCAGCATCCCAAAGTGTTGGGATTACAGGTGTGAGCCACCACACCTGGCTGACACATTCCTTTTTTTTTTTTTTTTTTGAGACGAAGTCTCACTCTGTCGCCCAGGCTGGAGTGCAGTGGTGCGATCTCGGCTCACAATAACCTCCACCTCCTGGGTTCAAGCGATTCTCCAGCCTCAGCCTCCTGATTAGCTGGGACTACAGGCGCATGCCACCATGCCTGGCTAATTTTTTGTATTTTTAGTGGAGACGGGGTTTCACCACGTCAGCCAGGATGGTCTCAGTCTCCTGACCTCATGATCCGCCCGCCTCAGCCTCTCAAAGTGCTGGGATCACAGGCGTGAGCCACCGTGCCCAGCCGCCACACACCTATTAAAGGAGATAAATTCAAACCAAGTCTTCTTCTTCTAAATTCCTATTTTTTTTCTGCTGTTCTACCTCACAGGCCCAAGATTACAGCCACATCAGTCAGTTTGAGTTTTTCATCCATTAGACTAAACCAAAAAAGGAAGAATCAGGGTTTAAAGACTAAAGGTACCTGCTTGAGATGGTCTACAGTGAGCGGTAGATGCTGCAGGGTCAGTAGAATTTGCTGGAGGAGGGGAATGTTGTTGGTTGTCTTTGAATACGTCAGCCAATTGTTAAGAAGTTTGTAGCCGCCAACGTCAATAAATCTGCAGGCAGGCAGGAGAGTCTATCAGTAATGCCCTTTCTAGGTTTTGACAGTACCACATCCTACAATCCCAGTCTCCCATCAATGACCGAGGAACCCCATGCCTCACCGCCCCATCTTTTCGCTACACCTTCCCATTCCAACCATCCAGATCCCCACTTACTTGACCAATATTTCTGGTGAACGGGTCTGCAGGAGAATGTTCAAGTAAGTGCATCGACTCACCATCTTTCGTGCTTCCTTCATCAAACTGCAGAAGATGAGTTAGGGTTAGAAATGAAGCAGCCAGTATCTCTTCTCTTAGCAAAAGCGCCTCTCTGTGAACTGCCTAGAGATTCCTAATGACTTGGGACTTTGCTCCAGAGAAGGGGAGTCACATATACCTCTAGGAAGATGGGATGGATCCAGTGTGACATGGAAACTTATGGGAGAACAGAGACACCGCAGTCTCTGACCTGGGGAGGAGAGCATCGCTGCCTCCGTAACACACAGGATGAATTCCATTCTGCCTCCAGGTGATAAGGCTATCCCTCAACAACTGTCCCTAATAGTCTGTTCAAGACTGGCTTAGTTATTTACTCTCCCCTGAAAAACCTGAGAATCCCTGAAGGAAAATAACATTATGGGTAGGTGGAACACGAACCAAAACAATCTAGAATTCTGTTACCAGGCTACCCTGCTCTCATTCCAAAGCATGACTCCCTTGGGACCGTGGACGTCCAAATCTCCAGTTTCCATTATGGTCAGAAACAAGTGATCATCTTTTCCTATCCCTTATCCTAAAATTGTTACATTTTAATCCTATTGCACTGACTATCTTTCCCTTTCCTTTCCAGGATCATTCCAGTGTGCCTCAACTGCAGCCATGTTTTAACACACAATATTCTCTACTCACAGTGAATACAAAAAGGGGTAAAGACTCACCTGAAGATCTTGGAAATCCCATCCACACTTTTGACTTCCCCATCTCGGTTAAGGAAGCTGTCCAGGCCCTTGAGAAGTTCTTTGGGGTCTATGGGACCCGAACCCATGATGGTGGTTTCTATGGTAAGAGGACAAAACAAACAAACCCACAGAATAAATGGGTGGCAAGGACTACCCGAGTAGGCCCTCTAATAAACCACATCTCTATATTTGACAAAGTATAATGACTAATTATTCAACTATGCTATTTTTTAGATATGAAAAATCGACACAGACCACTTGCCACTACTGAGAAAATAGCCCTGGCAAGTTAAGCATGGGGAGCATATGTGACTGAACAGGAAAGCAATTCGATTGGAGGAGTAGGGCAGCACACCTGTCCCTCCCTCCCAGCAGCATCCTTCCTAGGATGGCTGAACTTCACTAGATCGTATTAAAGCTAAGATCAGTTCCCATAACAAGATGTTCAACTCTCCAGGGCATTTACACCTATCGTTAAGTCCTGTCTTCCCTAGTTGCTGATAAATTTGGCTTGAAAAACAGCCTATAGCTTGATAGAAATTGGGCCAATCTTGGGTGTTTGAGCTAAATGTCTTATAAGACTTGAGTCCTTTTTATCTTAGCCCATTAAGAGTCATAATCACTACACATGGCAAGATATGTATCAGCTGAAGTGGTAGATGATGGAGAACAAAACAAAACTTGAAAACAGAATCCCTCCCTAAGGAGATCTGGGAGTAGGTGCCAGAGATTGAGACAAATGGATGCATGGAAATCAAGCAGGTCCTCCTAGACCTTGAATAGACTGTCACTCATTAGCCAAACACTACACAAGTTTTTACTGTCTCTAAGTTAAAAGGAAGCTAGTGGTTTGTGCTTTCAAAAGCAAAGATGCGAATCTGGTCCTCTCCTCAAAAATCACGCTGTACAAGATCCCCTAGGAAAGCCTAAAACTGAAAACCATGGAACCTAAAAAGGGAACAGATAAAGCCAAATGCTAGAAAAATTCCCTTTTAAGCAGCTGTTTTAGACCAGGTTGGGAAGGGAATTAGTTAAAAGCTAAGCTCCTTTTATGGAAGGGACAAGCCAGAACTGAAGTTCCAGAAAGGTAATTTAGGATCAATATGGTTCTGATTGGGATTTTTATCTACACTGCCTCTAAATACTTGCTTCTAAGACCCAAAAAAGAGGCTGGGTGCAGTGGCTCATGCCTGTAATCCCAGCACTTTGGGAGGCCAAGGTGGGCAGATTCCTTGAGCGCAGGAGTTTGAAACCAGCCTTGGCAACATGGCGAAACCTCATCTCTACAAAACATAAGTCGAGTGTGATGGTGTGCACCTGTAGTCCCAGCTACCCGGGAGGCTGACGTGGGAAAACGGGAGGACTGCTTGAGCCCAGGGATACTGAGGCTACAATGAGCTGTGATTGTGCCACTGCACTCCAGCCTGAGAGACAGAGTAAGACGCTGCCTCAAAAACAAACAAACAAAAAACCACCAAAAAAGAAAGCCACTTCAGCAATATCTGCCTTTGGGCAATAAGGCCCACACTGAGTAGCAAGGAAGAGGCAAGAACAAAACCTTCCTCATCCTACATCTAGCACAGAAGTAACAGACACAATCCCAGCAGAAGGGTAGAAAAATCAGTATTTTACAAAGATGAGTAGTTTTGTGCCGGAAAAAACACAGGTTTCTTGTAAGACAATGCAAATTAGTTCTACTTGTTCTCAAACAAAAGAAAAAACATAGCATAACAATCTCAGCCTTTTTGTCCTCCCAACAAAAACGTCAGTAAGTTTCCAAATGTGTAGGTCCTAACAACCTAGGCGAGCAGCAGCAGAAGCAGGGAGGAGGCAGCCAGGAAGGGTAGGAGTATAATCTTGGCTCTGGAGATCATAACCTGTGGGCTGAACAGAGGGAGAGATGAGGCAAGAAATGTTGAGAAGTCGCTGCTGCCCTGGAACCTCCACAAATACAAGTGGAACCTGAGGTCAGAGAAAAAACATTCAAGGAGAATACTGGAAAAGATTAGATGTCCGTGGGCCAAATCCACTCAAGTGTGGTGATTCCTACACACACAGAGACAGACACAGAAATAAAGGTATTCTTCCCATGTAGTGAGATACTATAAAGTGATCTATAGAAACTATAAAGAGATACGATAAAGGGACACATAAAACAGATATCACATCTGTTGGAGACTGGAAAAGCAATGTATGGGTTCCAATAACAACATATCATAAGCAATCAAGAGACTAAGAAATTTTTAAAACTCCCTCTCTCTATATATACACACATACCTACCATTAGATTCCTAAAGCAAAATATATGCAATTTGACAAAAGGCCTTGAATTAAACATCATTTCAAACCAGTTACCCTTGACTGATTCAAACCCAGAGTTGAATATATATAACCCTGGAGAATTCCTTTTTGCATATCCAACTACAAGCTAAGCCAATAAATAGACCTACTACCCCTATTTCCTTCAGACACTAAATAAACTGTCATCTGAGCTCAAGTGTTCCTTAAGAGGATGGGAGACAAGAAAGAAGAGCCAGTCTTAGAAAAATGGACCAATGAGTACAAAGCTAAATTCTGTCCAGTGCCCTCTGCTGGAAATGGGATCCAGGGACTTTTTTATTCCCACATGTATAAACAAGAATAAAAGACATTAATAGTCAAAGGGAAGCTAAGAGACAAAGCAAAATTAGCGTTAAATATTCATTTTCCACTACTTATATTTTGGAAATATAAGTGAAATTTTGTCTCATGAGCACCAATCTTGATAAAATGTAAGTGGGTTTTCTCATGATGGCCTTCCTTCAGGAAGATTAGTTCTTATTTAAAATTAAGGACCCCAAGTGTCTTATAACCTAGTTTCCTTGCTTTGAAGTCAGTATATTTTGGAAAAAAACCAAACAATTTCCAAGGCGCTCAAGTGGAAAGGAATGTAAAGTCCAACATTTCGGGCACAGGGCTACAGCAGAGAAGGCAAACTGAGTTGATGAAGGCAGGCAGGGGCCGTGACTAAGTGTTGTAACATTACCTACTCAAGATCTGGAGTCTAGAATGAAAGCTTAAGAAAGCTTTCTGGAACCACAAGTAATCCACGGCATGATTATGTCTTCTTTTAATGAGCTGCTATTTTCTTGACTGCAGAACATACAGAAGGTGGGGAGTGAGGTAGCAACCCCCTGGCCTACCTCCACCTCATCCTAAGCTATGCGTTCCTTATGGAGAATGTTTCAGGCAGAGCCATACTCTACTGGCACAAGGCATTGGGGAATTTTCTACCATTTTTACCAGAGATAAACGTCTGTGACACCAACTCCTGCCTTCAAAATGAATTTTACTTGAGGGTTATTCAATTAAATAGGGTGAAAAAATATCCAGCATAGCTAAAGTTATTCCACACCCATCACCAATGAAACAGGACTGAATTGGTTCAGGATAAAAATTCTGTGCAAGTCAGAGCTCTTTAAAAAATAACTGTCTTCTAACAAAAGGAGAAAAAAGTCCCAAATTTACCTTAATTTAGAGGCACTTCTGGAAATGAAAATGATTTGTACCTAACCCCTTATGTTCCCCTTCCTTTCTTCAGTGTTTTAGGCACTTCCTAGTTTGACACAATAGTGGACTGAATTATGTCTCTCAGGTGATTCATCACAAGGTCATAGCTTTCTTCCAAGTAGTAAGCCCCTACCCCTCAGTCATTTTGCAAACCTGATACATGAGCTCCTCAAAAGCTTATCTGCCTTCCAATAAAGATGCAAAATGATATACCACCCTGACTCATAGAAAAAGACCCCAGACTAGAACTCTGGCCACAAACTACAAGGATCAGGTTTTCCAAGATTTTCTGAATGGATGTGGTTCCCCTAGTAGACCTGGCTTCCCATCTCCCATGTTAAGGAAGATCTTCTTTATTAATCCCCTGGCTCACTAGAGATCAGGAACCCCAGTGGGTAGAATGTTCAGCTCCCAAGGAAGATATGCTGCAGAGGCACATGGCAAACTGCTTAAAAGAAAAAAACAAAACAAAACAAAAAAAGCTTGTAGTCAACAGACATGTGAAGAGTCCCTCCCATCCAATCCAGAAGCTTAAGTAATAATTTGAGAATCTGTACCCAGTAGGAAGTTAGCCCTAAGTCTCACCCAGGTCACCAGAGGGCAGTTATACTTTCCAATTCTGCCTAGAACCTCCACGCTTCAGTGCAGGACTTTTAAAAATTAAAATTATATGGAGAGTCTGATAAAGATTTGACTTTGAAAAATTTGGGGGAAGAAAGGAACCAGACACCCAATACCACCCTCAGATAGGGCATGGCTTCTGAACATGCACCAAATGCCACAGCACTGCATGAGTTGAAAAATGAAGAGGACATCATTTTTTCATTAATGCTTTTAGGAATTTCTTTTAGAAGGGAAGGAAAAAGAAATTCAAAAAAGGTGGCTCTTTGGGGAAAAAAAAAAAATGAAAGTTGTGAAATGTAATACCAGAAAGGTTTTGCTTACCAGAAACCGTAGCTTGATTCCCCCTGCCTTGAGTTTACAACTGCCGCCTCCTTTCCTAAAGATTCACTTCTTATCCTAGTACCAATGTACAGGAACTAATCAAGTGCAGAACGTGATACAGCACTGAATACAGTTTATCCCCAAACTGAGAGGTGGGAATGAGGGCGATTTAGAAGAAAGTCCTAAAAGTACCCACCTTCCCCCGATTCTCATTACACAAAGCGACCAAATGCAGGAGGCCCACTGGTTCCTAAGCAGAAATGGCACACTTCAGTGTCATTAGGCCCGTTTATCTCCAAGTTACTCTTGCAAGCCCTTGTGTCTTTCCCATCTCCCTCTACACACATATATACATACACACACGCTCACACACATCCTCAAAGCTTCCCAGTCTTAGGTTTGCCTGTTTTTTCACCCCTGGCAGCTGAAGTGGGGAAAAATTACAAGCAGTTGTGATGAGTGAAGGAAAGTGAAAATAAAAACTGGTTCTATAAAAACTAGAACTACACAGAGATGGACAGCCTTGATACTTAATTCCTATAAGCTCCTATCCCTTTAAGATATTTTATATAATGAAAATAAGGAAAATGTCTTCTCCCTAGCAGCAACGAGCACAGGCAGTGCAAAAGCATCTGCTCAGGGGTGGAGCTTCAAGAGGGTGGAGAGAGGAGGAAGAAAGCTGATTACATCACCTTTCAAGGCTGCTCCTCCCACTTGACCAAGTTTCTAGGGCGGCCCTAAGCTCAGGATGGCAAAAGGGGGAGAAAAACAACAAAGACGGAGGGACGCCATTTTGTAATGGAGAAAGAGGACTTAAACTAAAAAGCCACCCGGCTCTGCCGGTAGCTTCAGTTACATTATAAAACACCTTTTTAGTAAAAAAAAAAAAAAAAAAAATCAAAAACCAGTTCCCCATCGTGAATAATCTTTGACCTATTTTGATCAGTAAGAGCGTAGTGAAAATTAAAGCAATTAAAATATTAAAAAGAACAATTTTCTGCAGGGAAGAACTGAATTTGCAACGGAGGTTCAACCGGCTACCATCGACCACCCCCATCCTCCCTATAGAGGGAAAGGGGGAGGAAGGACTTGGACCCCTCTCAACAAATAGGGTTGAGGTGGGAGGACAGGAAAAAAAATGGGTCAAGACACAACCTGCAACGCCGCTTGGAAGACAAAAGGACAAGGAAAGTCGCCATATTGAAGCAGGGAAGAAAAAAATTCCTTTTAACGACACAAATCTTTTAGAAAGCTAGCATTCAATTGCACTAAATGGCTTTTAAAATTATACTCCTAAATTCCACATTTCCCAACCTTTCCACCCTCTATTTAACTGTACCTCCCCCACCAAAAAATATCAAGTTAAAATGTTAATCACTCTTTTGCTTTTAAATACCTATGCAATCTGCAACAATTATAAGACATTCTTTACCTCCCCAACTATTATCTTGTATGTACTGGCACTAAGATTATATTTTGTCCTAAGTGTCTTGCAATCTTTATTCCTAGATTGCCACCTATTTTAACCACACAAATATACCCCAAGCAAATTACATTAAAATTGAGAGGATTTAACAGTCATTTAAAAAGTTATAGCGAGCTATTACTTCTCTCTGCCCATCTCCTTACCCTGCAATCTTTATGTACAGATTGCTTATTAATCTGGCAAATTGAAAGGCACCCTGCTTGTCTCACACACAAAGAAGTGGTACTTCTGGGCCACAAGATCCACCATCTCTTGTATGTGAGCTCATTAACCCTTTTGAAGACTGCTGCTAACCAGAGGAAGGTAACCATTCCTCCTTATATAAACACATATGGCTTTGGCAGTCTGGAAATTGGCTGGATTACCAAGGGTTAACCATCAAAATCCTCACTTGCTGGCCCTCCCTCCACCCTCTCTTTGCCTGCAGCAAGGCAGGGAAGAGATAGGTGGTAGGGGAGAGAGAACAAGACTGTTTAGACCCACAGGCCCTTTTTAATGGAGATTAAGTGACCAGATTGGTCCTTCTCCAGTTCTCTATTTGTTCTATGGTCTCATTTCTTCCTCTCATTATTTTTGGTTTCACAACGGGAAACGTTGATTTCTTGTTGCAAGGCTGGTTTTTGAAAATTCGACACTTACTATCCAATTTTTTTGCGACGTCAGCACCTCGGGCTCAGGGGGGAGGGGGTAAAATTTTGGAGGAAAAAAAATAAAACAACCAACCAGGACCCAAAACTCAATTATTTAGGGGGCCTCATTGGATCAAAAAGTCTTTTAAAAAATAAAGGCCAACTCAGTATTCATTTCCCCCCCACCCAACTCCATTTAGGGAGGGGGGTCGCAGAAAAAAGTTCTGAGTGGATTCAAAAAAGTAAACGCTGGATGAGTGAATTTGGGTGGTTTGGGAAGGGAGGGTGGTTGATTATTTTTGAAGTTATGTAGTGACGGTCCTTCGGCCACAGATTTCAAGTCCCAAGCAGCGTGGGCTGGTGGGGTGGGCAAGATAGGTGGGAAGGGGCAGAAGACACAAGTGGTTGGGCTGGTGGCTGCTGTTTTCCCTTTCCCCCCTCTCTCAGGATCCTTTCAAGGGCTTAGATGTTGCTGCGGCTTGTTTCTGTTTTCCTCGTGGCCGGCCTGTCTTTCTCCGAGAAAATTCAAACCTGGGATAAAAGGAACACAAGGGAGAAAGATGTAATCAGTACGGGTTGCTTCAAAACACTCACAAATGCCATCTTTGTTGTCCCCAAACAAACCTGTGTCCCATCCTGATCGCAACCGCTTTAAGCCGTGGCTCTCAAATGAACCCATCCATCCCTATCCCGCTTCCCAGATCCAACGCTCTCCGCAAAATTTTACCCACTAGACGACAAAGTAGGCAAACTTACCTCTAAACGAACCCCAGAATGGCGGCCGCCCGCTCGGGTGGAGTCTTTTATACCCGGACGCCGCCCAACGCGCCCAAACGTGCTAGTGAAACGCCCTTGTCGCGAGACATTATACGCGAGGCGTGAACTCATTGGTCAACCCAAATGACAACTCGCCAACTGATTGGCTACTCTCACTTCACCTTTGCTCCGCCCCTTTCCCTGGCACTCTCTTCCGCCTCCTTCCTGCCTCCCTGTCGCGTGCGCGTGACCAGGAGCCTAGCACCTCCCTTTCCTCTGCTTCCGCCACTTCCGCCCTGGAGAACATTTCTCACCCAGGATTGGTAGAAACCTAAGAGCGCATGCGCACTGAGAGGATACCGCTAAAAATCGCCTTCAAAATTGCTTAAAAGGCAAACTTTAACAATGCGATCTAAGAGTCGTAGTGACTGGCCAAAAAAAACCGCAATTTTGGGGTCTAATTCGATTGTGACGCAGTTGAAATTAGCTTCTCCCCCATGCCTTCCCTTTCACGCTTCCGTCCTGACGCAAACGTGGGGCCGCCTTCCGCACTGCGGGCTTGTCCTTGGCCCTGCCCTACTCAGTTTCCTGAAGCATGCGCAGTTGCCTTTCCGTCAATTCCTGTCCTGGGCGTACGTCAAGATGGCGGCGTCTGTATTAAACACCGTGCTGAGGCGGCTTCCTATGCTATCTCTCTTCCGAGGTTCTCACAGAGTTCAGGTAACTCTTCGAAAGACATTTTGCACAACCTCAAGTTGGTTATACCTTCTCGAGGTTGTCGCTCCACTGTCAGGAATCCACGAGTGGAGACCTTCCCACGTGTGTCTTAGCTGTCTAGGCAGTACTTCCTGCAACCCCCCCCCCACACCCCGCGCATTTTCTAATCCCGAGCCGAGGACTAAACGCCAGGGTTAGGTATCATCCTTTTTCCAAAATGCCATTTCAGTAAAATAACTTAAGTGATGGAATTGACCCCTGTCCACCCTCAGTCATGCATAACCAGCTTTTTAAAAATTATTTAACTAATTAAGGGGCCATGCTAATCTCTGTATCGTTGCAATTTTAGCATAACATATGTACTCCCCAAGCGAGCGCCACAACCAGCTGTTAACTATGCAAGTGGTGACTAAATCTGTGTTGCTCTGGAATGTCCTTGGGGAAATTAGGGATCCCAATTTCTACCAACCTTGCTATTTCTCAATAAGGTCAGGATATATTCTTACGACCTGAGGACAGTTTCTCAGCTCTCTTTATTAAATCAGTTTCTTATCGGAGTTATGAGAGCTTAACTCCGTCCTTTGAATTGAGGTTTCCCTCCAGTCTTGTGTACTCACCTCTCTGGAGGTTCTTGGTGGGGCACGGTGAGATAGGAAGGCTTGCCCAGCTGCCACTCCCTAAAGTGGGACTGAAGAGTGGTGACAGAGGTCAACACAGAAATAATAACAGCCTTGGTAGCTTTAAAACTAGCGTTAGGACTCAAGTTTGTTCTGCCCTGTAGAATGTTGACCTTCAGCTTTTATGAAAATGGGCAACTCAGTGACTTCATTGGATTGATTTGGAGACTCACCTGTCTTCTGCATCCCCTCCCCACCACACATCTTAGTTCCAAGAACCTAGATATCCTTCCTCTTACTTTATTCTTCCACCAGAGTCAATTTATTTCCAAAAAGCAAGAATACCTTTTATGTACTAGATTTTTTTTTCTTTTTTCTTTACACGAAATCTCACTCTGTTGCCAGGTTGGAGTGTAGTGGCGCAATCTTGGCTCACTGCAACCTCCGCCTCCCGGGTTCAAGTGATTCTCTTGCCTCAGCCTCCCGAGTAGCTGGGACTACAGGCGCATGCCACCACGCCGAACTAATTTTTGTATTTTTAGTAGAGATAAGGTTTCACCATGTTGGCCAGGATGGTCTCGATGTCTTGACCTCATGATCCGCCTGCCTGGGCCTCCCAAAGTGCTGGGATTACAGACGTGAGCCACTGCGCCCGGCCTTGTACTAGACTTTTTATTTGTCTTCTGAAATAAGATTGTTTTTTAGGCATATATCCCCTAACTTAGCTTTTCTTTCAGGATCCAATTGTAGAAAAGGAGAGTGGTTGTTGATTTATGTCAATTTAAACCCAACAAAAATACTTAACTTACATATGCATTCCTGTTATATTCCATTAATGCAGTATGTGTGCATTCCTCCTTTCCAAAGTGTGATAAGCAAAACAATTTAGTCCTTTCCTTAAACTCATTCTTTTATTTTTTTCTTCTCCTTTGTAGGTTCCCCTCCAGACTCTTTGCACCAAAGCTCCCTCTGAGGAAGATTCTTTGTCCTCAGTTCCCATTTCTCCTTATAAGGATGAGCCCTGGAAATATCTGGAATCAGAAGGTACCTCTAAAGGGGGAAAGGGAGGGTCAGATAGGATTTGAGATAAGTGGACAGAGCCACCCACTACACTCCCACCCAGGAATAACTTGTATGATCTTTCATTTCAGAATACCAGGAGCGATATGGTTCTCGCCCCGTCTGGGCTGACTACCGCCGCAACCACAAGGGTGGTGTACCCCCACAGCGGACTCGGAAGACATGTATTGTGAGTTTCTGAGAGTGGGATGTGGAGTGCGGGGAGGCCACAAGTAACAGTAACAGCAGCACTTTTTCTGACGTGTTTGAACATCCTTAACTGCTGTTTTTTTTCTCTCTACAGCGTCGGAATAAAGTTGTTGGGAATCCCTGCCCCATCTGTCGAGATCACAAGTTGCATGTTGACTTTAGGGTAAGGAGAGTCTTTTCTTTTTAGGGTAAGAAAAATAAAGATTAGGGGCTGGGCGCGGTGGCTCACGCCTGTAATCCCAGCACTTTGGGAGGCCAAGGCAGGTGGATCATGAGGTCAGGAGATCAAGACCATCCTGGCTAACACGGTGAAACCCCGTCTCTACTAAAAATACAAAAAATTAGCCGGTTGTGGTGGCGGGCGCCTGTAGTCCCAGCTACTCAGGAGGCTGAGGCAGGAGAATGGCGTGAACCCGGGAGGCAGAGCTTGCGGTGAGCTGAGATCGCATCACCGCACTCTAGCCTGGGCGACAGAGTGAGACTCCGTCTCAAAAAAAAAATAAAATAAAATAAAAAAAATTAAAAAGAAAAATAAAGATTAGGAGCCCCTTTGCAGTGCCAAAGAGATTACTGTAGGTGCCCCACACTTCGTATATCCAGGAGGCCCTACAGTCCGTTTTATAGTAACTGTTTCTGGCATTATAAAAACATCCCTCCAGCCTTTTACCTTCTACTATGGATTGTACTGAAAGTTTTATCCTATGCCTATGAAATTTACAGTCTAAATTGGCAGGTAAGAGAAATGGCTGTTTTTTTTTTTTGAGACGGAGTCTTACTCTGTTGCCAAGGCTGGAGTGCAGTGGCGTGATCTCAGCTCACTGCAACCTCCGCCTTCTGGGTTCAAGCGATTCTCCCGCCTCAGCCTCCCAAGTAGCTGTAACTACAGGCTTGTGCCACCAAGCCCAGCTATTTTTTGTATTTTTAGTAGAGACAGAGTTTCACCATATTGGCCAGGCTGGTCTCAAACTCCTGACCTTGTGACCCACCCGCCTCGGCCTCCCAAAATGCTGGGATTACAGGTGTGAGCCACCACACCCAGCCAGCGAAATGGCTATTTCTAGTGGGAGAGCCAATATCCAAAGATTCGTTTGTATTCATTACAGTTATTACCAAATATATTGGCCCACTTTCTTCCTGAGGTTTTCTTTATTTCCTTGTCAATGTTCAGTGCCATGCTGGCACCTGGGGCTGGAGGGCAGGTATATGAAGCAAGATAGAGTCCATTATTTTTCAAAAAGCCTTCAATATGTGAGAAGGACAGGATTTGCTCCTTAAAGAATTTGAAAACATATTGGCTGGGTGCGGCGGCCCATGCCTGTAATGCTAGCACTTTGGGAGGCCCAGGCAGGTGCTTCACCTGAGGTCAGGAGTTTGAGACCAGCCTGGCCAACGTGGTGAAACCCTGTCTCTACTAAAAATACAAAAATTAGCCAGGCATGGTGGCAGGCGCCTATAATCCCAGCTACTTGGGAGGCTGAGGCAGGAGAATTGCTTGAACCCGGGAGGCGGAGGTTGCAGTGAGCTGAGATTGCACCACTGCACTCCAGCCTGGGCGAAAGAGTGAAACTCCTCAAAGAAAAACAAAACAAAAAGAATTTGAAAACATTATATCAATAAAACAGATAATGGGAAAGTGTTCTTCTGAGCTTGCAGCAAAAGTATTAGAGCAGAAGCTATATGGCTGATCATCAGGGAAGTAGTAGAGCATTTGGATAACAGTCAGAAAATGGGGGTATTTGACTGCAATAAGAACCCTTCTAACACAGGTTATTTAGGAGTCCCATAGATAATTTCCCAGTTTCAATTGCATATAATTGGTTATAAAAAGAGATTATGGCCAGGTGCGGTGGCTCATGCTTGTAATCCCAGCACTTTGGGAGGCCAAGGTGAGTGGATCACTTGAGGTCAGGAGTTTGAGACCAGCCTGGCCAACAAGGTGAAACGCCGTCTCTACTAAAAATACAAAAAAAATTAGCTGGGTGTGATGGCGGGCGCCTGTAGTCCCAGCTTCTCAGGAGGCTGAGGCAGGAGAATCACTGGAACCTGGGAGATGGAGGTTACAGTGAACCAAGATTGCACCACTGCACTCCAGCCTGAGCAGCAGAGCGAGACTCCGTCTCAAAAACAAAACAAAACAGAGATTATAATTAATTACATAACTGAGAGAGAGAAATGTTACAAATTTAGTAGCATGGGTGATTCTGCTTGCATTCTACTCTACAATGTACCTGCTTTTTTTTCAAGAGTCTCATTTCCTAGTTAATTTGCTGAGAGAGAGTTCTATGTAAATTGTAAAATTATTCTTAGTATATAAATTATATTCAGCATACTATTAAATACATTAGTTGTTTATACATACACATTACAATATCATTTTTTGGGTGATTTCTGGGATTTCCAATGACCAGCCCCAGTTTTTCACCTAAAGGCTGACGTTAGAACTTAACCTCTGCAGCCCAGGCGCGGTGGCTCATGCCTGTAATCCCAGCACTTTCTGAGGCCAAGGTGGGTGTATCACTAGGTCAGGAGTTCAAGGCCAGCTTGGCCAAGATGGTGAAACCGCATCTCTACTAAAGATACAAAATAATTAGCCAGGTGTGGTGGCAGGCGCCTGTAACCCCAGCTACTCGGGAGGCTAAGGCAGAGAATTGCTTGAACCTGGGAGGCGGAGGTTGTGGTGAGCTGAGATCGCGCCACTGCACTCCAGCCTGGGCAACACAGGGAGACTCTGTCTCAAAAAAAAAAAAAAAAAAAAAAAAAAGAACTTAACCTCTGCATAAGAGATTTCTATGGGAGCACAGTGACAGAATATGGGATGTGCAAGGATGGATTCAGTGAATTGATGAAGCCAAACTGGGACATGAAGGAGGATGGCATCTGGAGAGCTGTAGAGGGGTGAAGGTGGTCCATGTGGGTGTGTAGGGATTGTGTACTTTCGATGTCCAAAGATCCTGCTGCTCTCCCTGCCTCTTTTCCTCACGTTTCTCTACCACTTTCCCCCACAGAACGTGAAGCTCTTGGAGCAATTTGTCTGCGCCCACACGGGTATCATCTTCTATGCTCCATACACAGGTTAGCCCATCATCCCTGCACCACCAGAGAGCTTTTCCTTGTGGCATGCCTTGTTTATGTAGTTGGCCAATAGGTATTTGTTCAGTGGCTCCTGCTTATAGCCTAAAAGGTCTGGCTGAACCTTTTGGAAATCTTGGCTTGCTGGGGGCTAAAGTAATTAAATGTGGACAAAAGAAAACAACAAATACAGCCAGGCGTGGTGGCTCATGCCTGTAATCCCAGCACTTTGGGAGGCCGAGGCGGCTGGATCACCTGAGGTTGGGAGTTCGAGACCAGCCTGACCAACATGGAGAAACCCTGTGGTGATGCATGCCTGTAATCCCAGCTACTCAGGAGGCGGAGGCAGGAGAGTCGCTTGAACCCAGGAGGCACAGGTTGTGGTGAGCCAACATTGCGCCATTGCACTCCAGCCTGGGCATCAAGTGAAGCTCCATCTCAAAAAAAAAAAAGGAAAAAGAAAAAAACAAGTACTTCTGTAAGCAAACTATCTAAATGTAGTTTTTAATTGATAAACAGTGATTAATTCCTTTCTATAGGGTCTTTTAACTTTTACAAAAGACTTCTCACAAATTGTCACATAAGTTATTTTATATCATTGTCAATTGGATTAGATTTTCCAAACTTGGAATCGTAAATTTAACAATTCAGAATTATATTTATTCCCTAACTACAGTCACAGGGCAAATCTGGCCCACTGTCACGTCCATTTGTTTTCATATTTTCTGCAATTGCTTCCATGCTACAATGGCAGAGTTGAGTAGCTGAGACAGAGACCACAGGACCTGCAGAGTTTAAAATATTTACTATATGACTCTAGACAGAAAAATTTTGCTAACCCCTGCTCTGAAGCAAGACAAATTTGCAGAGAATAATTTTTTGTTGTTTTTTTTTTTTGAGACGAAGTTTCACTCTTGTTGCCCAGGCTGGAGTGCAATGGTGCAATCTTGCCTCACCACAACCTCTGCCTCCCAAGTTCAAGTGATTCTCCTGCCTCAGCCCCCTGAGTAGCTGGGATTGCAGGCACATGCCACCATGTCCGGCAAATAGAGATGGGGTTTCTCCATGTTGGTCAGGCTGGTCTCGAACTCCGGATCTCAGGTGATCCAGCTGCCTTGGCCTTCCAAAGTGCTGGGATGACAGGCATGAGCCACCGTGCCCGGCAGAGACTAATCTTTGTTTTTGTTTTTTTTGGGGGGGTGTGGGTGGGGGGATGAAATCTCATTTACTCTGTCACCCAAGGCTGGAGTGCAGTGGCATGATCTTGGCTCACTGCCGTCTCCACCTCCTGGGTTCAAGCAGTTCTCCTGCCTCAGCCTCCCAAGTAGCTGGGATTACAGGCACGTGCCACTGTGCCTGGCTAATTTTTTTTGTATTTTTAGTAGAGACAGGGTTTCACCATTTTGGCCAGTCTGGTCTTGAACTCCTGACCTCAAGTGATCCTCCCACCTAAGCCTCCCAAAATGCTGGGATTATAGGCATGAGCCACCGTGCCTGGCCTTGCAGAGAATAATCTGAATTCACCATTGTTGGGGGTGGCAGTACAATCAGTGTTCAGTTTGTCAAGAGTTTCTTATAGTCAAGCTGTAAAGGCTGAAGGGACTATTATTGTTACTCTCTCAGATTGCCTTCCCCAACTCTGAAATCTCTTTTCCCTTTATTGAATCTTTGTGGATTGTTCAACTCAACCCTCTAATTAACCACACTTGCCCATTAAATTGTGTTCTCCCTGTCTTGGAGGTTTTACCATTAAATGGCTTCTCTATAGTGGCTAGACCCTCCTAAATCTTTATCCCAGCTCTCCAAAAGATGGGGGAGATTCTTTCCTTTGGGCAGATGGGGAAACTGAGGTCCATGGAGGGGTCAGGGGAAAGGGGTCATTAGGTAAAGCCAATCCTTCCCAATCTACCCCTCTGTCACCATATGGAAGCAGTTGTGTTCTATTATTTACTGTGCCTTAAAGAACAAGATATTTTTCTCCCCACAGGAGTCTGTGTGAAGCAGCACAAGCGGTTGACCCAGGCCATCCAGAAAGCCAGGGATCATGGTGAGCATGAGACGGGGCACACAGCAGTTTTGTTTAGGTATAAGGAAGATGACTTAGGGCTAGAAAATGGATATAAATGCTCACACCTGTTCAAGATGGTAGCACCCAGCATGTTCTTCCTGACGTTACATTGTCCCCTGTCCTTTCTCCTGAGTGTCTTACTTTATCATTGTCCTGTCTCCTTGTTCTTTGTCTTTCCATCCTTTTCCCTCCTATTTTACAACTGCTGGTCTCAATGCCTTAGGAAGTTCTTTATATAAATGTCTGGCCCTGGACTACATGGCACTGCTGCATAAGTTAGTAAAAAGTATACCCCTCTGCTAGGGCAGATGCAGCTTCATAGTCCTTGTTCAGCACTGCACAGCTTTGTAAGCAAGAGCCCCAGCAGTATGTCAGCCCACACTTGCCCTCTGGGCCGGTCACCTGTTTGCAGTATACAACATGCATAAATGTACCTGGTGGCTCTGACTGGTCCTTCCCTTTATAATCCTTTTTCTTACTTCATCTAAACCACCCTCCTCATTGCCTCTTAAATTTCTTTTCTTTTTTAATCCCTTAGGTCTCCTCATTTACCACATCCCCCAGGTTGAACCACGGGACCTTGACTTCAGTACCTCTCATGGGGCTGTGAGTGCTACTCCGCCAGCCCCCACCCTGGTCTCAGGTGACCCCTGGTACCCATGGTACAACTGGAAACAGCCACCGGAGAGAGAACTGTCTCGCCTTCGCCGGCTTTACCAGGGTCATCTCCAAGAAGAGAGTGGCCCCCCACCTGAGTCAATGCCCAAGATGCCCCCTAGAACACCAGCGGAAGCCTCCTCCACTGGGCAGACAGGCCCTCAGAGTGCTCTGTAGGAGCTGTAGACTGGGAAGAGAGGCCAGGCGTGGTGGCTCACTCCTGTAATCCCAGCACTTTGGGAAGCCAAGGTGGGCTGATCACTTGATCCCAGGAGTTTGAGACCAGCCTGGGCACCATGGTGAAACCTCGTCTTTACCAAAAAATACAAAAATTAGCTGGGTGTGGTGGTGCACACCTGTAGTCTCAACTATTGGGGAGGCTAAGGTAGGATCACTTGATCCCAGGAGGCGGAGGTTGCAGTGAGTTGCAGTCACACCCCTGCACTCCAGCCTGGGTGACAGCTAGACCCTGTCTCAAAAAAAAAAAAAAAGACTGGGAAGAGAGCTAGAGGGACTAGGAGATAATGTGTATGTAGGTTTATGTGATGGGATATCACCCTGAAGAGTTGTGTCTTTTGTGGCCAGTGACAAATCCAGGAAATGAATGTTGCTGATAGGGATAAATCTTGAGGCTGAGGGCGGGTGGTACAGATGTGTATGGGAAACCCCAACCCCTATATATTGTAAATAGATGGGCTGGGCTAAACATTGTTGCCGTTTCATACTTCTACCAACTCAGCTTTTACACAATAAAGCTCTACTGTCTCTGGTTTGCTTTGGGCTGTTTCCGATGAATGCCATTAGCGGGGGGTGGGCTGAGTGATGGTCTTTTCATATAAGCAATTGGGTGATGCTGTGGGGAGATAAGTGGTCAGGCTTAAGCCAGCCTTGCCTGTGACGCCTGGGACTAGAAGCCGGGGATGGGCAGCTGTGCCACTCTGTCAAGATGCCTTGTGGGCCCCCACTCCACAGCATGGCCCACTGTTCACTGAGGGGATAAAAGGTTGGACAGTGAGACACTGGGCCAAGGAAGACTACGTTGCCATGGCACTCACTGCCGTGGGATGCAGGGATGGAAAGGAGTGGCACTGCTAGGGGCACAGCTGGTTTGGCAAGAAAAACGGGGGCCCTGTCAGTTGCCAGGACGCTAGGGGGCAAGGTCTACAGGCGGGGCTCCTGGAAATAAAGACTCCGAGAGGCGGTGCGGCGAGAGGAGGGGCGGAAGTGACGTCGTGTGGGGCGGGTCCGACCGCGCACAATGGGCCATGGAGTTCCCGTTCGATGTGGACGCGCTGTTCCCGGAGCGGATCACGGTGCTGGACCAGCACCTGAGGCCCCCAGCCCGCCGACCCGGAACCACAACGCCGGCCCGGTGACAGCTCAAACCCACCCTCTGGCCCTTTTCTCCCGGTTCCTCTCCAAACCTGGTCCAGGCACCACGCCCCCTTCTCACTGACTAGTGATCGCCCCTTTTGATGTCCAGGCCTGCCTTTTTGGTGACCTCTGACCCTGGGCCTAGTGGGATTGATCAGCGCTTGGATCTGTGACCTTTCACCCCGGGCCCAAAATGTCCCAATCAAAGGATGTGGTTGACCTGGCCTTTCTGCTTCCTCACAATAACCTTAAGGGAGGAGGGAGTGTGCCACCTTGAAAGGTGTGACAGAAGTTTGGGTTTCAGAAGGGTGGGGTGGGAAATCAGATTGGAAGACTCCCAGGCAAAGGCAGGGAGCCTTCAGTGTTAAACCTGGGTTGGAGTTGTGGCCCAGGTTCCCAGGACTGACTGCCTAGGACCCGCTAATTTAGTGAGTATCTGACTCTTTATTTCTTCTCTTTCTCTAGTGTTGATCTACAGCAGCAAATTATGACCATTATAGATGAACTGGGCAAGGCTTCTGCCAAGGTACTGGAGAGTTTTTAGATGGAGTAAAGGGAGGACCTCTGTGGGGATGGTATATAAGGGAGGCCTGGGTCCTTCGGAGAGACTTGCAGAAAGTCTGACTTAA
This sequence comes from Homo sapiens, assembly GCF_000001405.40. NCBI lineage: Eukaryota > Metazoa > Chordata > Mammalia > Primates > Hominidae > Homo > Homo sapiens. The sequence continues at coordinate 30,627,624 of NC_000006.12, forward strand.
TCTTCCCTGCAGGCCCAGAATCTTTCCGCTCCTATCACTAGTGCATCAAGGATGCAGAGTAACCGCCATGTTGTTTATATTCTCAAAGACAGTTCAGCCCGACCGTGAGTGCCACATGCTCTTCCATCCCATACTTAATTCCTTCCTTCCTCAGCCCTTCCCCCATCTTTGACTATCTCTTGCAGATAGATACCACTAGCCTGTTCATTATTTTCCCCGTCCTACAGGGCTGGAAAAGGAGCCATTATTGGTTTCATCAAAGTTGGATACAAGAAGCTCTTTGTACTGGTGAGTGTTATTGGATGCTAGGAGTTCGTATACCTTGGTTTCTGAGAACAAAAGTGCTGGAGGTTAGGGGGCAGCAGAGATGCCGGGGTTCCTAAAACATTTTTATTGTTTCTCTCTTAGGATGATCGTGAGGCTCATAATGAGGTAGAACCACTTTGCATCCTGGACTTTTACATCCATGAGTCTGTGCAACGCCATGGCCATGGGCGAGAACTCTTCCAGTATATGTTGCAGGTATCACTGACCTCTTCACTGGTTCATCCAAACTAGGGGCTCCTTTGCCCTGAGCCCTTCCAGAAGCCCTGCCTCCCACCCCCCATGTTCCCATGTCATTCTATTCCCTTCCCAGGCTTCTGGCTTCCTGTTGGCATGCTTTCCCCATACTTCCTCCTACCCTGAGTCTCCTTTTCCCTGCAGAAGGAGCGAGTGGAACCGCACCAACTGGCAATTGACCGACCCTCACAGAAGCTGCTGAAATTCCTGAATAAGCACTACAATCTGGAGACCACAGTCCCACAGGTTAGAGGTTTCAGAGAATAGATCCCCACTGAGCATTCCCATTGAATTTATTTGTTATTTATGGCAAAGAAGTAGTGACTTATTTCCTATCACATAGGTTTCATTTTCTACAACCAGGCTCTTTCTTTCTCTTGTGGTACCATCTCTCATCCTGTAGTGACTTCTTTCTCATCTATTTTGATTTTTTTTTTTGAGATGGAGTCTCGCCATGCTGCCCAGGCTGGAGTACAGTGGCGCAATCTCAGCTCACTGCAACCTCCACTTCCTGGTTTCAAGCGATTCTCCTGCTTCAGCCTCCTGAGTAGCTGGGACTACAGGCACCCACCACCACACCCAGCTAATTTTTATATCTTTAGTGGAGACGGAGTTACACCATACTGGCCAGGCTGGTCTCAAACTCCTGACCTTGTGATCTGCCCGCCTTGGCCTCCCAAAATGCTGGGATTACAGGTGTGAGCCACCGCATCTGACTTTTTTTTTTTTTTTTTCAAAGCAGAGTCTCCTGCTGTTGCCCAAGCTGGAGTGCTATGGCAGGATCTTGGCTCACTGCAGCCCAACCTTCTGGGCTCAAGCGATACTCCTCCCTTAGCCTCCTGAGTAGCTGAGACTACAGGCATGCACCACCATGCCTGGCTAATTTTTTATTTTTTGTAGAGATGAGGTCTCACTATGTTGCACTGGGTGGTCTTGAACTCCTGGCTCAAGAGATCCACCTGCCTCAGCCTCCCAAAGTGCTGGGATTATAGGCGTGAGCCACTGTACCCAGACTTATTTTGATTCTTTACCACAAGTTGTTTCCTACACCTAATTTTTCTTTTTTTTTTTTTTTGTGAGATGTAGCCTTGCTCCATCGTCCAGGCTGGATTGCAGTGGCACGATCACAGCTCACTGCAACCTCTGCCTCCGGGGTTCAAGTGATTCTTGTGCCTCAGCCTCCTGAGTAGTAGGGATTACAGGCATGCACCATCATGCCCAGCTAATTTTTGTATTTTTAGTAGAGATGGAGTTTCACCATGTTGGACAGACTGGTCCTGAACTCATGGCCTCAAGTGATGTGCCCACCTCAGCCTCCCAAAAGTGCTGGGATTACAGGTGTGAGCCACCGCACACAACCCTTATGCCTAATTTTTTTTTGAGACAGAGTCGCTCTGTCACCCAGGCTGGAGTGCAGTGGCACGATCTCAGCTCACTGCAAGCTCCGCCTCCCAGGTTCACGGCATTCTCCTGCCTCAGCCTCCCGAGTAGCTGGGACTACAGGTGCCCACCACCATACCCAGCTAATTTTTTGTATTTTTAGTAGAGATGGGGTTTCACCGTGTTAGCCAGGATGGTCTAGATCTCCTGACCTTGTGATCTGCCCGCCTCGGCCTCCCAAAGTGCTGGGATTACAGGCGTGAGCCACCGTGCCCGACCCCTTATGACTAATTTTCAACCCAAACATAGCCAGCTCATTTTCACCTCCTTGTTTTCACATAGTTCATTACTCATCTGGTCAGTCAGTATTTATTAAGGGTCCAGAATAATATGCATTCCCTGTCCTCATGGAGCTTTGGCCTAATATAGGGAAGGAAGTCTTGTTTATAACTAAGTGCAGCAAAATGTTACTAATGCTACCCATTCATCCAATAAACATTGAGTGCCTGGCAGTGTTCTGGGCACTAGGAATGGTTTACTCAATGAAACAGACAACAGCCTGGGCAACATAGCGAAACTCTGTCTCTACAAAAAATACAAAAAAAAATTAGCCAGGCGTGGTGGCACGAGCCTGTAGTCCCAGCTACTTGGGAGGCTGAAATGGGAGAATCGCTTGAGCCTGGGAGGCAGAGGTTGCAGTGAGCCAAGATCGCGCCACTGCATTATAGCCTGGGCAACAGAGAGAGACCCTGTCTCCAAAAATGAAAACAAAAACAGAAAAAAAGGCCAGGTGCGGTGCGGTGGCCCATGCCCGTAATCCCAGCACTTTGGGAGGCTGACGTGGGCGAATCACTTGAGGTCAGGAGTTTGAGACCAGCCTGGTCAACATGGTAAAACCCCGTCTCTATTAAAAATACAAAAATTAGCGGGGCATGATGGTGGGTACCTGTAATCCCAGCTACCCAGGAGGCTGAGGCAGGAGAATCACTTGAACCCGGGAGGCAGAGGTTGCAGTGAACCAAGATTGCACCACTGCACTCCAGCCTGAGCGACAGAGTGAGGACTCCATCTCAAAAAAGAAAAAGAAAAAGGGCCAGGCATGGTGGCTCATGCCTGTAATCCCCACACTTTGGGAGGCCAAGGCAGGAGGATCACCTGATATCAGGAGTTCGAGATCAGCATGTGGAACATAGTGAAACCCTGTCTCTACTAAAAATATAAAAATTAACTGGGCATGATGGCGTGCGCCTGTAATCCCAGCTACTCGGGAGGCTGAGGCAGGAGAATTGCTTGAACCCCGGAGGCAGAGGTTACAGTGAGCCGAGGTCCTGCTACAGCACTCCACCCTGGGGGACGAAGCGAGACTCTTGTCTCGGAACAAAAAAAAAAAACAGAAAAAGAAGGGAACAGACAAAAGTCCCTGTCTTAGTGGTGGAGCTTATATTCTAGCTGGAGAGACAAACAAACATAATAAACAATATGGTTAATAAGTGCTCTGGAAAAATGAGAGCAAGTAAGGGTTTGGGAGTACTCAAGTAAGGTGGGGATGGGAGTATGTGGGATTGCAGGTTGAAAGGGGATCATCACTGAGAAAGTGTCATTTGAGCAATAACTGAAAGGAAGTAAGAGTAAAAACTGGCCGGGCACGGTGGCTCATGCCTGTAATCCCAGCACTTTGGGAGGCCGAGGCGCGCGGATCACGAGGTCAGGAGATCTAGACCATCCTGGCTAACATGGTGAAACCCTGTCTCCACTAAAAAAAATACAAAAAAATTAGCTGGGTGCCTGTAGTCCCAGCTACTCGGGAGGCTGAGGCAGGAGAATGGCGTGAACCTGGGAGGCAGAGCTTGCAGTGAGCCGAGATCGCGCCACTGCACTCCAGCCTGGGTGACAGAGCGAGACTCCATCTCAAAAAAAAAGAATAAAAACCAAGGCTGGGCGTGGTGACTTACATCTGCAATCCTAGTACTTAGGGAGGCCGAGGTGGGTGGATCACTTGAGCCCAGGAGTTCGAGACTAGCCTAGGCAACATGGTGAAACCCCATCTCTACAAAAAACACAAAAATTAGCCAGGTGTAGTGGCACGCACCTGTGGTCCCAGCTACTTGGGGGTCTGAGGCAGGAGGATTGCTTAAGCCCAGGAGGTCGAAGCTGCAGTGAGCCGAGATGGTACCACTGCACTGCAGCCTGGGTAACAACGTGAGACTGTCTCAAAACAAACAAACAAAAAAAAAGAGTAAGAGCCAAGAAATATCTGGAGAGAGAGCATCCCAGACAGAAGGTACCACCAGTGTATGGCCGTGAGGTGGGAGTGTGCCTGAAAGAGCAAATTGGCTGTGTCCAGAGCAGCATGAGTCAGCGGAGGAGTATGGTAGGAGATGAGACCAGAGAGGTAATGCGGAGGAGGGGCCTTATAGGCTACTGCAAAGACTGGCTTTTATTTTAAGTAAAAAATAAGATCAGGCCAGGGGTGGCGACTCACACCTGTAATCCCAGCACTTTGGGAGGCCGAGGTAGGTGGATCACCTGAGGTCTCTACTGAAAATACCAAAATTAGCTGGGTGTGATGGCAGGTGCCTGTAATCCCAGCTGTTTGGGAGTCTGAGGCAGGAGAATCACTAGAACCGGGAGGCGGAGGTTGCAGTGAGCCGCTGAAATTGTACCACTGCACTCCTGCCTGGGCGACAGAGCAAGACTCCTTCTTAAAAAAAAAAAAAAAAAAAAATAGCGCCAGGTGTGGTATCTCATTCCTGTAATCCCAGCATTTTGGGAGGCCCAGGCAGGTGGATCACAAGGTCAGGAGTTCGAGACCAGCCTGGCCATATGGTGAAACCCCATCTCTACTAAAAATACAAAAATTAGCCGGGTGTGGTGGCGGGCACCTGTAGCCCCAGCTACTTGGGAGGCTGAGATAGAAGAATCGCTTGAACCTGGGAGGCAGAGGTTGCAGTGAGCTGAGATCGCACTACTGCACTCCAGCCTGGATAACAGAACGAGACTCCATCAAAGAAAAAAGAAAAAGATCATTTTGGCTGTGATCTTGATTTTTTCCTTTTTAACAAGATCACTTTGGCTGTTAAGAACAGGCAATAGCCGGGCACAGTGGCTCACACCTGTAATCCTAGCACTTTGGGAGGCCGAGGCAGGTGGATTGCCTGAGGACTTCAAGACCAGTCTGGCTAACATGGTGAAACCCCATCTCTACTAAAAATAGAAAAAAAAATTAGCCAGGTGTGGTGGTGCTCGCCTGTAATCCCAGCTACTCGGGAGACTGAGGCAGGGGAATTGCTTGAATCAGGGAGGTAGAGGTTGCAGTGAGCTGAGATTGTGCCACTGCACTGCACTCTAGCCTGGTGACAGAGTAAGACCCCATATCAAAAAAAAAAAAAAAATGGAAACGGCAATAAGGGAGCCAGAGTAGAAGCAAGTAGACTAATTAGGCAGCAACAATCCTGGCGAAAAATGGTGGTGGCTCAGACCAAGGTGGTAGCAGTAGTGATGGTAAAGAGTGGTCAAATTTTAAATATTTTGAAGGTAAAGCAAGTAAGATTTCCTGACAGATTGTATGTGGAGAAAGAGGACTTTAGGACAATGCCAAAGCCTGAGCAGCTGGAAGAATGAAGTTGCTTTAACTGAGATGGTAGGTAGACCAGCTTTGGGGGAAATACTAGGAGTACATTTTTAATATGTTAATTGGAGATGTCTGTGATATGTCCAGGTTTGAGTAGACAGTTGGATACTTCCCTGGAGATCAGGGAGGAGGTTTGGGGAGGAGAGTTTTCAGCATACATCTGGTATCTAAAGCCAACAGACAGGATGCGATCACCATAGAAAGATTATAGATAGAGAAGCTGCCCCTTTGGGCCCTCTTTAAGAAGTGAGGACCCCCAACTGGCTGCTCTGAAAAGCCATCTTTGCATTGTTCCTGGTTCGGTGTCCTGCTCACCACAGCCACCTCCGCCATGCACTTCCTCTGCTGCCTCAGAGTCTGGCAGCTTAATCGACATAGTCCCCAAACTCTCACTTTCTTCTTAATCCCTTGCATCGGATCACCGCTGTGCCCCACCATGTCAGAGGCAGTTGTGGACACAAGCTCCGTGATCACCACCAAGGACTTCAAGGAGAAGTTGTGGAGGAGGCAGAAAGTGGAAGAGACGCCCATGCTAACGGGAACGCTAATGAGGAAAATGGGGAGCAGGAGGCTGACAACGAGGTAGATGAAGAAGAGGAACAGGGTGGGGAGAAAGAGGAGAAGGAAGAGGAAGGTGATGGTGAAGAAAAGAACGGAGATGAAAACGAAGCAGCTGAGGCGGTATGGACAAATGGGCAGCTGATGATGATGAAGATGACGATGTTGATACCAAGCAGCAGAAGGCCAGTGAGGATGATTAGACAGCAAAAAAAGAAAAGTTAAACTTTAAATTAAGGCCACCGTGACCTATTCACCCTCCACTTCCCATCTCAGAATCTAAACATGGTTGCCCTCGAGAGGCCTGCTTGCCCTCCACAGACAGTGCCACTGCAGATGACAGGCACTCACCACCACCCAACCCAAACCAGAGAATTTGCAACAGAGGAGGAAAAAAGAACCAAAACTTCCAAGGTCTTGCTCTTTTAAAAGTACTTTAAAAAGGAAGTTTGTTTGTATTTTTTATTTACATTTTATATTTTTGTACATATTGTTAGGGTCATTTTTTTTTTCTTTGAGACGGAGTCTAGCTCTGTCGCCAGGCTCAAGTGCAGTGGTGCGATCTTGGCTCACCGCAAGCTCCACCTCCTGGGTTCAAGTGATTCTCCTGCCTCAGCCTCCTGAGTAGCTGGGATTACAGGCGCCCGCCACCACACCCAGCTAATTTTTGTATTTTTAGCAGAGACAGGCTTTCACCAGGTTGGCCAGGATGGTTTCTATCTCCTGACCTTGTGATCCACCTACCTCGGCCTCCCAAAGTGCTCGAATTACAGGCGTGAGCCACCGGCGCCCAGCCAGGTTCAGTCATTTTTAATGATCTCAGATGACCAAGCCAGCCTTTGGAGGGTTCTCTGTCTTACTTCTGACTTTACTTGTGGTGTGACCATATTCATTATAATCTCAAAGGAGGAAAAAAAAAAAAAAAAAAAACCTTGTTTAAAAAAAAAAAAAAAGCCTGGGCGCGGTGGCTCGCGCCTGTAATCCCAGCACTTTGGGAGGCCGAGGTGGGTGGATCACGAGGTCAGAAGATCGAGACCATCCTGGCTAACATGGTGAAACCCCCTGTCTACTAAAAATACAAAAAATTAGCCAGGCGTGGTGGCGGGAGCCTGTAGTCCCAGCTACTTGGGAGGCTGAGGCAGGAGAATGGCGTGAACCCGGGAGGCAGAGCTTGCAGTGAGCCAAGATTGTGCCACTGCACTCCAGCCTGGGCAACAGAGCGAGACTACATCTCAAAAACAACAACAACAACAAAAAGTCTCGTTCTGAGCATTCCAGTAGCTTCTTTAGTGTATGTAGTTAGTTGTACCATAAGTAGTTGGTTTGTGTGAGATGGTTAAAAAGGCCAAAGATAAAATGTTTCATTTATTTGCCTTTTTTGTCTATGAAATGGCTGCTTATTTATTTAGGCCTATTTGATGTATGTGTGAAACAATATTGTGCAACAATAAACCCAAATTTTATTTTGCTGAGTTGTTCTAACAGCAACAAAAAGAAGTTAAGGAAGAGAAGAAGACCAGCAAATGCAACCACAGAGTGACTAGTGAAGTAGATGAAAACTGAGGCCGGGTGTGGTGGCTCACACCTGTAATCCCAGCACTTTGGGAGGCCGAGTCGGGTGGATCACCTGAGGTCAGGAGTTCAAGACCAACATGGTGAAACCCCATCTCTACAAAAAATACAAAATTAGCCAGGCGAGGTGGCTCATGCCTGTAATCCCAGCTACTTGGGAGGCTGAGGCAGGACAATCACTTGAATCTGGGAGGTGGAGGTTGCAGTAAGCCGAGATCATGCCATTGCACTCCAGCCTGGGCAACAAAGCGAAACTCCATCTCAAAAAAAAAAAAAAAGAAAAGAAAACTGAAAAGTAAGGTGACCTCAAAGGCCACTGAAGAAAGTGTTTCCAGGAGGAAGGAATGGTTTACTTGGTCAAATGCTGCTGATCAAGGAGCAAAGAGGTCTGAGAAGTTACCATTGGATTTATCTGCGTTAGGCCATTGGTGATCTTAATGAGCAGTTTTGGTGCAGCGGTGTTTGGAAGCCTGGATGCAGTGGGTCTTGTAGACTGAGAAGCTAGGAACACAGCAAGAATAAGCTACTCTTTTAAATCCTGCTTTAATGGGAATAGAAATAGAGCAAGAGCTGGAGAGTGAAGTGGATCAAAAGAGTTGATCTTTTGCAGATGGGAGAACAAATAGCATTAGAATGATTCAGTAGAGAGAAAATATTATTATGTCAGAGAAAGTGGGGAGAACTGTTGAAGTGATGTCATTGAATGGGCGGCGGGGGCGTTGAGATTTGGTTGACAAGTTAGCCTTGGATAGGAACATGGACAGTTAATCCATTGTAACATGATTTGATAGATGTGATTACAGAGGAGGCATAAGGACATGGATTTGAGTGCTATCTTGGGCTGGGGGTTGGGTAAAGAAAGATGACATGTCTAATCTTGAAAGGCAAGTGTTTGTCAGGTGGACAAAAGGCTAAAGTGCATTTCATGTAGAGGAACAGGCATGAGCAAAGGCAGAAAGGTATTAAACCACCTTTCAGGCCAGGCGTGGTGGCTCACACCTGTAATCCCAGCACTTTGGGAGGCCAAGGTAGGCGGATCACAAGGTCAGGAGATCGAGACCATCCTGGCTAACACGGTAAAACCCCGTCTCTACTAAAAATACAAAAAAAATTAGCTGGGCGTGGTGGCAGGCGCCTGTAGTCCCAGCTAATCAGGAGGCTGAGGCAGGAGAATGGCGTGAACCCAGGAGGCGGAGCTTGCAGTGAGCCCAGATCATGCCACTGCACTCCAGCCTGGGCGACAGAGCAAGACACTGTCTCAAAAAAAATAAATAAATAAATAAAAATAAACCACCTTTCAGGACACTACAAGCAGTGTGGTGTGGTTGGAGTGCTGGGCATGTGCTTGTTGGGGGGTGGGGGTGATGAGGATGGGCTGGTAGACATTACAACAAGGTCAAGGCAAGGGATAGGCAGGGTCTTCCTACAGTATATTTTTCCATTAAGAGGCAACAGAGAGCAGTGGAAGGAGCACAGTTTTTTTTTGTTTGTTTGTTTGTATTTTGAGATGGAGTCTCAGTCTGTCGCCCAGGCTGGAGTGCAGTGGCACAATCTCAGCTCACTGGAACCTCTGCCTCCTGAGTCCAAGCAATTCTCTTGCCTCAGCCTCCTGAGTAGCTGGGATTAGAGGCGCCCACCACCACACCTGGCTAATTTTTGTGTTGATGAGGTTTCACCATGTTGGCCAGACGTCTCGAACTTCTGACCTCAAGTGATCCGCCCACCTCGGTCTCCCAAAGTGCTACGATTACAGCCGTGAGCCACCATACCCGGTCCTGGAGCACAGTATTCGATATGAAACACATTACCCAGTTAACATGTAAGGCCAGAGCAGTATAGAGTGTAAATAATAATTCACATTTCATGGGCTCTATGTGGTATCTATATGCATCATCTCAGTGGATTCTTGCACATCTTTTTGAGGTAGGTACTATTATTAAACCTATTTTGGGTTTATACAAATTAATGACTTAACCAAATTCACACAGCCAGTAAATAGTAGAGTCCACATTTGAACCCATAGCCATTTGCACCCAGTGAACTTTTTTTTTTTTTTTCTTTTTGAGGCAAGGTCTTGCTCTGTTGCCTAGGCTGGAGTGCAGTGGCACGATCACGGCTCACTGCAGTCTCTACCTCCTAGGCTCAAGAGATCTTCCCTACCAGCCTGGCCAACATGGCGAAACCCCATCTCTATTAAAAATACAAAAATAAGCCGGGCGTGGTGGCATGTGCCTGTAATCCCAGCTACTCAGGAGGCTGAGACAGGAGAAGAGCTTGAACCTGGGAGGTGGAAGTTGCAGGGAGCCGAGATGACACCATTGCACTCCAGCATGGGCAACAGAGTGAGATTCCATGTTAAAAAAAAAAAAAGGCCGGACGCATTGGCTCGCGCCTGTAACCCCAGCACTTTGGAAGGCCAAGGCGGGCGGATCACGAGGTCAAGAGATCAAGACCATCCTGGCCAACATGGTGAAACCCTGTCTCTACTGAAAATACAAAAATTAGCTGGGCATGGTGGCGCATGCCTGTAGTCCCAGCTGCTCCGGAGGCTGAGGCAGGAGAATCGCTTGAACTCAGGAGGTGGAGGTTGCAGTGAGCTGAGATCTTGCCACTGAAGTCCAGCCTGGCAACAGAGCGAGACTCCATCTCAAAAAAGATCTTCCCACCTCAACCTCCCAAGTAGTTGGGACTACAGGCGCCCACCACTATGGCTGGCTGATTTTTTGTATTTTTAGTAGAGACGGGGTTTCACCGTGTTAGCCAGGGTGGTCTCGATCTCCTGACCTCGTGATCGGCCCGCCTCGGCCTCCCAAAGTGCTGGGATTACAGGCTTGAGCCACTGGGCCCGGCCCACGCCTGGCTAATTTTTAAAAATATTTTTGTAGAGATGAGGTCTTGCTATATTGCCCAGGCTGGTCTTGAACTCCTGGGCTCAAGCTATCCACATGAGCCACCATGCCCAGCCCCCATTAAACTTTTTTTTTTGAGATGGAGTCTCACTCTGTCACCCAGGCTGAAGTACAGTGGTGCAATCTCAGCTCACTACAGCCTCTCCCTCCTGGGGTCAATGGATTCTCCTGCCTCAGCCTCCTGAGTAGCTAGGATTACAGGCGCACGTCACCACACCCAGCTAATTTTTGTATTTTTAGTAGAGACAGGGTCTCGAACTCCTGACCTCAAGTGATCCACCCGCCTTGGCCTCCCAAATTGTTGGGATTACAGGCGTGATCCACCACGCCTGGCCCCCGAGTTTTTTTTTTTTTTTTGAGACGGAGTCTCTCTCTGTCGCCCAGGCTGGAGTGCAGTGTTGCCATCTCGGCTCACTGCAAGCTCTCCTCTTGAGTAAACTCTTAATGGCTACACTATTTTCCTGGCTAAAACACTGCAGCTGGAATCAGAAGTCTGAAAGTTGAGGCCCAGCCCTGCCACTTGTAGCTACTTGGCATTGGCCAAGCGAAGCCATGTCTCCAAGGCTGTATTTCCCCCAACCTTCTTTCAAATAGTGACTTCCAGGATTGTGAAGGCCAAATTAAATGTGAAAATATAATGAAGTAACTCTAAAATTAATAGTTACTAGTTATCAAAGTAGCATCCTGGCCTCCAGCATGTCTTCCCCTGACTTTCCCCACCCCTTGGAACCCTGCTGAATTTTTTATTTATTTATTTATCCTTTGAGACGGAGTCTCATTCTCTTGCCCAGGCTGGAGTGCAGTGGCACGATCTCAGCTCACTGCAACCTCCGCCTCCTGGGTTCAAGCGACTCTCCTGCCTCAGCCTCCCAAGTAGCTAGGATTACAGGTGCACACTGCCATGCCTGGCTAATTTTTTGTATTTATAATAGACACAGGGTTTCACCATCTTGGCCAGACCGGTCTTGAACTCCTGACCTCAAGTGATGCCTGCCACAGCCTCCCAAAGTGCTGGGATTACAGGTGTGAGCCACTGAACCTGGACTTTAGCACCTTTTTATGTGCTTATTGGCCATTTGTGTATCTTCTTTAGAGAAAAGTTTATACAAGTCCTTTGTCTGTTCTTAAATTGTGTTCTTTTTTGTTCTGAGAGTTTTTCATATATTCTAGATAGAACGCACTTATCAGATGTATGACTTGCAAACATTTTCTCCCATTCTGTAGATTGTCTTTTCACTTTCTTTCTTTTTTTTTTTTTTTGAGACGGAGTCTTGCTCCATCGCCCAGGCTGGAGTGCAGTGGCACGATCTCAGCTCACTGCAAGCTCTGCCTCCCGGGTTCACGCCATTCTGCTGCCTCAGCCTCCCGAGTAGCTGGGACTACAGGCGCCCGCCACCACATCCGGCTAATTTTTTTGTATTTTTAGTAGAGATGGGGTTTCACCATGTTAGCCAGGATGGTCTCGATCTCCTGACCTCATGATCCGCCCGCCTCGGCCTCCCAAAGTGCTGGGATTACAGGCGTGAGCCACCGCACCTGACCTTTACTGTACCTTTTCTGTGTTGAGGTATGTTTAGATACATCAGCTGAACCATTATGTTAGAATTGCCTACAGCTGGCTGAGCATGGTGGCTCACGTCTATAATCCCAGGACTTTTGGAGGCTGAGGCAGAAGGATCACATGAGCCCTGGAGTTTGAGACTGGCCTGGGCATCATAGTGAGACCCCCATCTCTACAAAAAGTTAAAAAAAAATTAGTAGCCAGATGTGGTGGCATGCACCTGTGGTCCTAGCTACTTGGGAGGCTGAGGTGGGAGGATCATTTAAGCCCAGGTTGATGCTGCAGTGAGCTGTGATGGCACCACTGCACTCCAGCCTAGGCAACAGAGCGAGACTCTGCCTCTCAAAAAAAAAAAAAAATTGCCTACAGCATTCAGTACAGTAACATGCTGTACAGGTTTGTAGCCTAGGAGCAATAGGCTGTATGATATAGTCTGGGTGTGTTGTAGGCTATAGTGTCTAGGTTTGTGTAAGTACACTCTGTGATGTTCACACAATGAAATCACCCAATGACGTATTTCTCAGAATGTATCCCCATCGTTAAGTGATGCATGATTGTATTTTGTTTGTTTCATCTTCCAGGTGAACAACTTTGTGATCTTTGAAGGCTTCTTTGCCCATCAACATCGTAAGTTTTTGCATTTTGTTGGTCACGTAGTCGGGGTGAGGGAAAGGAAAGAGCTGGACTCTTGGTCCTGCCGACCCCTCACTGAGGGGCCCCGCCGCTTCCTTCCTCACAGGGCCCCCTGCTCCCTCTCTGAGGGCAACTCGACACTCTCGTGCTGCTGCAGTCGATCCCACGCCCGCTGGTAAAGCCTGTATTGAAGGGGTGGAACTGTAGTGCAGTGATGGCTACTTACTCTAGATGCCACGGGGTACAGTGCCATCTGTGGGCAATTTTGGAAAATTCTAAAGCAACCCAAGTCTCCAGCAGTCATGACTGTTTGCCTTTGCCCTCATGGGAGCTCAGTGCATTTTATATTTGGCAAGACTTTTAACTAAGCAAGCTCATTGGGAGCCTGTTTGACAGCTGATATCAATGGACCCTCTTGCCAGTTCAGGTCCGTCAACATAGGCCAGAGTCAGGCTCCTTTGTAAACCCCAGGCTTCTGTTAGCCAGTGAGGGACAGGCTGGTGCAAACAGCCCTTCCATTTGCAGTCACAGAATAGTGACACAAATGGCCCAAAATTTAAATGTTACTTTTAGAAGATAACACTCAGAGTTTATAACATTTCCAACCAGATAATGAAATTGATATGGAGAAACCAAACCTCAGAGGCACTAAAATGCTGTCCAGATTCCCCATCCCATATACACACATACACACACACACACACACACAAACACACTTACTGACAGTCTGAGCCCCACTCCTTCCTCTTCCTCACCACCTCCACCTTACCAACTTCTGACAGCTGTACAGTGCTTGCTTGCACAGAAGAGCCCCCTTCCTGAGCTGGCTCTGTGGCCAGGAAAGGATGTAACCACCATCCAAACAGCAGTCTGTAACCAGCTATGAGCATCACAGTGTCAGGCACTGAGAGGCACCTCAACTCGCTTTGGTTTCCAAGGCTTCTCCCATTTAGCTTGTTCAGAACCACAGGCTGTGAGAGGGACTGAGGGCCAACAAGGATGGTGAGGTCTCAGGCCTGCAGGGGAGGGTGCTGTGGATAAAGCTTAAGTGAATTTGCTGAGAAGTCTTTCATTTGCCACACATACATGATGGAGAATCTCTTGAGAGGGAAAGCCGGGAGCAAGTAGAGAAGTGAGGAGGGGGAGGCTGAACTTTGGACATTACATCAGCCTCCTGCTTACTCTGATAGCTCCCTTTCAGATGCCCATATTTATTTTCTTTTTTTTTTTTAACCTAATAAAACTTCAGTCTCTTCCCATTTTCGTATAGGAAGGAGAGATTGTGCCCTCCTTCCAAACCTCCCCTGACCTCTCCAGAGCAATTCCTGATTAACCAAGGGCTTTGTCCATCTCATCCAGAGGAACCCAGGGTCCTCGTTGGCCCGGCTGGGACCATTCCACTGCCCCAGAATACCAGGGGGCCATGACAGCACCCACTGACAGTAAGAGCTCACTTCCCTTGGCTGCCCTTCTCCTGCATCTCCCAGGCCCCCAGAGTCTCCCCTTCGATCTTTCTCCCTAGCTCTGTGTTTGGCCTACTCCTTCTGGCTTTCCTCAACAGTGTTCCACATTCCCCTCAAATTCCCTTTTGGTGTGCTGGCATTGCCATGGTGCTGCTCCTGCAAGTTCTCAGGAGGAACTGTGGTGTCAGGGAGCAGAGGTTTGGGGTTGGGGTATAGTGGCTGGGAGGAGGGGTGCAAAGTATGTCTCCTAACGCTTACCCTGCCTATGTCCCCTCCACTGCCAGCTCCAGCAAGGAAGCTGCCACCCAAGAGAGCAGAGGGAGACATCAAGCCATACTCCTCTAGTGACCGAGAATGTAAGAGGGGCAAGGGTCGGGTGTCTGGGCCTGGGGTACCTTAACACAAGGGAAGAGAATGCTCAGGGGACCCAGGGAAAGGATTCGTTCTCTCTAAAGACTCAGATTTCTTGGGCTGGGCATGGTGGCTCATGCCTGTAATCCCAGCACTTTGAGAGGCTAAGGCAGGCAGATCGCCTGAGTCCAGGGGTTCAAGACCAGCCTGGCCAACATGGTGAAACCCCGTCTCTACTAAAAATACAAAAATTAGCTGGGCACGGTGGCACGTGCCTGTAATCCCAGCTACTTGGGAGGCTGAGGCAGGAGAATGGCTTGAACCCAGGAGGCGGAAGTTGCAGTGAGCCAAGATCGTGCCACTGCACTCCAGCTTGGGTGACAGAGTGAGACTCCGTCTCAAAAAAGAAAAAAAAAAAAAAGAAAGACTCAGATTTCTCTTTTTTTCTACCAAAACCTTTGCTGTCATGACTCTCTTCCTTTTTTCTTCTTTTTCTGTCTTGCTCTTCATTCTCCCTGTCCCCAGTTCTGAAGGTAGCTGTGGAGCCTCCTTGGCCCCTAAACAGGGCCCCTCGCCGCGCCACACCTCCAGCCCACCCACCCCCCCGCTCCAGCAGCCTGGGAAACTCACCAGAACGAGGTCCCCTCCGCCCCTTTGTGCCAGAGCAGGAGCTGCTGCGTTCCTTGCGCCTCTGCCCCCCACACCCTACCGCCCGCCTTCTGTTGGCTGCTGACCCTGGGGGCAGCCCAGCTCAACGTCGTCGCACCAGGTAATAGGAGTTGAAGGGCTAAGGAGCCTCACAGCTATAAAAGAGGATGTTAGAAATGGCAAAGGGCAATTTGAATCCATCAGAGAGATGGATCAATAAGATGGGTGGCTTGGGGGGGGTCCTGAAACCTTTCAAGAAAAATATTTGTGCAAGTGATCTGGGAAAAAAATGCAGTGAAGGAGCAGAATAGGACCTTATATGGAGCCTAGGGACCCTGGCTTTAATGTGAGAGTTATGTGGAATGGTAGGAAGAACACCGAGATCCATCGAGTTGGGGGAACAGAGCCTTCTAAGATTGGGAAAATCTTCGCTTAATACTTGCTGGGGAAGGGGCAGTGTCTGACAGAGAGTGGGAAGCCACTGGCTTGTGTGCCAAGAGTCCATCGCAGCAGGCAGGGAGTGGGCATTTCCTTTATTTCTCTCCCTTTCTCTTCACCTCTGACTTCTCTGTTTTTCTCTCCCCCGCCCCCCGCCATTTCCCATCTCCCTTCCTCCCATCCATAACATCCTTCCACAGCTCCCTTCCCCGCTCTGAGGAGAGTCGATACTAACAGCTACCCTCTCCCTGCCCTGGGAGACCTGGGGTGGGCAGGGAACCCCTCCCTGAGAACCTCAGACCCACTCTTCCATTGCATCCTGTAGGACCCAGTGGAACCTGACAGAGCCCATAGGATTCCCTCTTCTACTTTCTTAGACAGCAGGGATGTCAGGGTCTCAAACTGCCTAACACTTTGTAGCTTTTCTTAACACAAAAGCACCCCTTCTCTCCTAACTTGGGCTCTGAATACTTTCCCAACAGGAAGTCTGATCTGTTGCCAGACTTCTTGGTTAGATGGCTCATACATTTATCTAGAGAAGCACACTCTTGCTTGCTGTCAAACTTTAGACCACCATGGAAGGTCTAAGGGCATCCTGTGCCAGGGAAACTTTTTAAGGAATTTTATCTATGGGATAAACCCCATATTCCCTCTAGTGTCTACTGGTGGCTCTAATACTGCTTTGTGCTGCCTGCCACACTTGCCCTTTGAGCCTGCGAATGGCCGCTAGTGAGCAAGCTCTGCTTCAGAGCAGTCTAGTTAGGTAGAACAGGGACTTACCAGCTTCCCAAAGGGATCTACTCACCATTGCCAAACTCTTCATTTCCACATTTTGTGTAGGTGTCAGGGAACCCCAAACTGGTGTTGCTTTGGGGTCTCTAAAGGAGATTGGCTGACACCACCATTTCCCCCAGATCCAGATTCTCTGAGGGAGGTTGTTTCTTGAGAGTAGATCCAGAGTGTCAAGGATCTGTTAGATCCTGGAATCCCTTCTTGCATCCATCCCTCCCTGGTAGCTAGGTCCCGATATACTCCTGTCTTGTGAGATTGTCGAGATGAGATGGGGGACCACTCTTCCTCTGTCCTTCCTCTCTCCTTTCCTCCATAGCAAGGACGACCTTCCCTGCTCCATGCCCAGAGTATAGCTAGATCCCTTCCCCTCCCTACCCTCTGAATGTGTGCTAGATCAGGTGCCCCACTGTGTTTCCTGAAATCCTTGGGAGCCGGATCTCCCCATCTCCCCTACTCACTCTTCCCTTTTCTTCTCTCAGTGTTGTCTGAATAAAGTGTGAAATCTTTTGTGTTTTCTAAATTGACATTTTCAATGAAAAAAAGAATCACAAAAAAAAAAGTTGTCAGCCTCATTTGTGCGTCATCCCTTATTTTCCTGGGATCTCAGGACCTCTGTCCCTCTCATTTCTCACTTCTGAGATCTGCACATCTTTTACCCAGGAGCCTCAGAGCTCCTGAGTCTGGTGTCTGCCTATCCCCATCTTCACTGTTAGTCCTCCTGCAGATTCTGTGTCTCCTTTCATGTAGGTGCTGGATCCCTGTGTGTGGGCTTCCGTATCTACTCCCTCATTCCCTCCAGGAACCTCCAGCTCTCCCCAGTGACTTCTACCCTTTACTCTGGGCGTGCCTTTGCCAAGATGTCAAAGCTTACCAACATCTCTGGATCCACTAATTACCTCCTGCCTCCTGTATTCGTCTTCCCACTCTGATTACCTGACGTCTGCTCCACTAAACCGCTGGATCTCTCTCAAGACAAACCCTTACCTCCATTGAGAGTGCAACACAGTCTGTCACCCTATTTACAGAGGCCCCCTTCCTTTTCCTCCTAAATTCAAAATTCAGCCTTGTCACTTCCTATTTCCCTCTGGTCTAAGGAATCTTTTTTTTTTTTTTTGAGATGGAGTCTTGCTCTGTCGCCAGGCTGGAGTGCAGTGGCACAATCTCAGCTCACTGCAACCTCCGCCTCCTGGGTTCAAGCGATTCTCCTGCCTTAGCCTCCCAAGTAGCTGGGATTACAGAAGTGCACCACCGTGCCCAGCTAGTTTGTGTATTTTTAGTAGAGACAGGGTTTCACCATGTTGGCCAGGTTGGTCTCGATCTCCTGATCACGTGATCTGCCCGTCTTGGCCTCCCAAAGTGCTGGGATTACAAGCCTGAGCCACCGCGCCCAGCCTGGTCTAAGGAATCTTATAGTTAAGGTAACCCTGTTTTCCAAACCAAACACCAGAGTACCCGATCCAACACATTTTTGACCACATGTGAGTCTGTTCTTCTGACATGATTTGGATCACACCTAGCCATAGATTTAACACATTACCTCAACTAGAAAGAATAGAGCAATAAATCAGAAGCACTCCAGAAAATCTTGGGTATAAAATGAACTTCCCCCGCCCTTTTCTGGGGCACAGCTTTGATTAAAACCTGTTAGGAATGATAATTACCCCCTTCTCTTTGTTCCTGTGCTATTCCTTTTACTCCTCTCCTCTGATTCCTCCATACCCACCCATCTTTCATCCAGTAGCCTCCTCCCCATCATCTCCCATTTCTTCTACAGGGGGACTCCCCCAGGTCTGGTAGCCCAAAGCTGCTGCTACAGCCGCCATGGGGGGGTGAATTCCTCATCCCCCAATACAGGTAAGTATTCACTCCTCCCTACCCTCAAATCAAGTAGGCCACATTCACTGTCTACTCCTGCCTTCCCATTCACATGCCTGATATTTCCACAGGCAACCAAGACTCCAAGCAGGGAGAACAGGAAACAAAGAATAGGTGAGGTCTAAACCCCTCCCCTAACAGCCTCCCACCACCATCTGACTCCCTTCCTAACATCATTCTCAGTCACTTCCTACTCTTAAATCTTATTGTATGAACTGGACACCAGCTCCTCCCACAATTCCTTCTACCTTACATCCTGCAAGCCCCTTTCCCCCACAGGTTCAACTCTGGTACTTCCCTTTGGAATACGGATTCTCTGAGAGGTTTTAAATTTGGACATAGCACTAATGGTTCCAGCTTCATACCCATCATGTGTCCTACATTAAAACCTGGCCCGAGACCTTGAAGAGTCTGTAATCTTAATTTCCTCTTTAGTATTCCTATAACCCACTCTCCATCTCCCCACCTACCAGGTCTGCCAGTGAGGAGCAGGCCTTGTCACAGGATGGGTCTGGGGAGAAGCCCATGCACACAGCTCCTCCACAGGCCCCGGCCCCGCCAGCCCAGTCCTGGACAGTGGGTGGGGACATACTCAACGCCAGGTTCATTCGAAACCTGCAGGAACGTCGCAGCACCAGGCCTTGGTGACCGCAGCCCCGTCAAACATCTTCAAAGTATTATTTCTCCCTCACTACAGGAAAGAGCCAAAGCCCAACCCTCATAATAGATGGATACATTCATTCATTCATTCATTCAGCAGGCTTATCAGATTCAAGTCATTTGTATCTTTTAACCAGACCAATAAAAGTATTTATTTTTATCACAAGAGCTGTTGAAAAATTTGACTCATTATTTCAGCCGCCTCACCCCTCACTGTCGTTGCACCCATTCAGCCTTCAGCCCTGTTTTTGCTCAGCTTTTTGCTCAAAGGCCTCAGCTGTGAATACAGCGCTTGGGGGGGCGGGGGAGGCTGTAACTTGCGCAAGCGCACTCAGGCAGTCTCCGAGCCCGCGGGCGCAGGCGCGCTTACAGCCGACAGAGCGCTTCAGCCGCTTCCCTCGAGCCTGCAGTGCGCAAGCGCGGGACATCTCCGTTTCCCTCCCTCAGCCCCTTCCCCCCCTACCCCCCCGCCCCGGCCTCCTTTCCCCTTCACGAAGCCGGCTCTGGGGCGCGCTCACCCCTGTGAGGAGGCCGGAGGTCGGACTCAGGAGGCTCCTTCTCCACTCCCGGAAGATCATGTACCAGCCCAGCCGGGGTGCGGCCCGGCGTCTCGGCCCTTGCCTGCGCGCCTACCAGGCTCGACCCCAGGTGAGCGGAGGAGAAGAGGGAGGGAGGAGAGGGGGCGGGGAGAGACCCTCCTCAAAGCCGGTGCGTGGGGCGGAGCGCGCGCTGGGTTCCGCGCAGGCGCAGAGACACCCGCCGCCCCTTCCCACCTGTGCCCTGCAGCGCGTGGACAGGCTAGGGGTCGCGGGAGCGGGAGGGAGGCGCTGCCGGGCCTGTCGCGCAAGGACGTCGGTCCTCCCAGGTTTGAGGGCGGTCAGGCGGGGTCAAGGCCAGGCAGCGGGGCGCGTCTGCGTTGCGCCCGACTCTCCGCGGTTACCTGTGCCTAGAGGTGATTTGAAGGGCAGGGGCCGAGAGATTCGTAGCCCTGCTGCGGCGCCGTCCCGGAGTTCCCCGGCCCAGACCAGACCCGCGGGGCGCCCTCAGCAGCCCGCCCGTCTTGCACTCGGAGAGCGGTCCTGGCAGGAAGGCCGGCCAGTGTGCACCCGGTTCGGGCCCCTGCGCCCGGGCTGGCAAGATGGCCACGCCCCCAGCAGAGACGGCGCCTCTAGGACACCATCGGGGACCGAGGTACCCGAGCGGTCCGCCCGCCTTCCCTGCAGTGAGACGATCCCCTGGGGGGTTCCTTGGGAGCGGAGGGACTCGGGTGAGGCCTAACTTTGGGTGACCTCCCCTTGCAGTTTCAACGTCGGTAAACCCAGGAGAGTGAAGGCCAGCCTTTAACTGTCTCCTGAGGTTGTGTCTGTCATTAGAGGGGCCCGAAATGATAATAGCTTCCATTTATGTACTGCTTTCTAGGTCGCTACGTTTTGTTTACATTCATTATTTCATATAGGCCTCATAACCCAGTGAGGCTTTATTGTTCTCATTTATAGGACATTTGTAGGAAGCGGAGGCATAGGGAATGAGAATGCCTAAAGTTACATGATAGAATTCAGATTCCTAGCTTCAGCTGGATATTCTTTTTTCTCTGTACATTTGCCTCGCACACTTAATCATGGAGATGTACAGGCCACAGCATTTAATCCACAGTACAATAAAACCTGTTATTCGTTAACTCATCAAGTATGTATTACATGATTCTTGCGATAAGAGAGGTGAAACTGCCCCCAGTGTTGGAATCTTTTTTTTTTTTTTTTTGAAATGGAGTCTTGCTCCGTCACCCAGGCTGAAGTGCATTGGCACCATCTCGGCTCACTGCAATCTCCGTCTCCTGGGTTCAAGCAATTCTCCTTCCTCAGCCTCCCGAGTAGCTGGGACTACAGGCTCCCGCCACCACACCCGGCTAATTGTTTTGTATCTTTAGTAGAGATGGGGTGTCACCATATTGGCCAGGCTGGTCTCGAACTCCTAGACCTCGTGATCCGCCCGCCTCGGCTTCCCAAAGTGCTGGGATTACAGGCGTGAGCCACCGCGCCCGGCCACATTTCTTTAAGATTCCAACACTGGGCCGGGCACGGTGGCTCACGCCTGTAATCCCAGCACTTTGGGAGGCCGAGGTGGGCGGATTACCTGAGGTCAGGAGTTCGAGAACAGCCTGGCCAACATGGTGAAACCCCATCTGTAACTAAAAATACAAAAATTAGCCGGGCGTGGTGAAGGGTGCCTGTAATCCCAGCTACTCGGGAGGCTGAGGCAGGAGAATGGCTTGAACCCAGGAGGCGGCGGTTGCAGTGACCCGAGTTCGCGCCAATGCACTCCAGCCTGGGCGACGGTGAGACTTCGTCTCAAAAAAAGAAAAAAAAGTAAAATGTCTGCTAGGTTTTGGGAGGTGCCGGTATTTATGTCACATAAAACAGTTTGCTCGGCTGGGCGCGGTGGCCCACGCCTGTAATCCCAGCACTTTAGGAGGCAGAGGCGGGTGGATCACGAGGTCAAGAGATGAAAACCATCCTGGCTAACATGGTGAAATCCTGTCTCTACTAAAAATACAAAAACTAGCTGGGCATGGTGGCGCGCGCCTGTAGTCCCAGCTACTCAGGAGGCTGAGGCAGGAAAATCACTTGAACCCGGGAGGCGGAGGTTGCAGTGAGCTGAGATCGTGCTACTGCACTCCAGCCTGGCAACAGAGCGAGACTCCATCTCAAAATAAATAATAAAATAAAATGGTTTCCTCCTGTTTTCAGTAGAGATGGAGATGAATCCATCCCTTTTTTCCTATAGTAATTCCATCCATTCTGTCAGGAGGAATAGGTATTGGAAGCCTGTTGAGCATCCAGGGGATCAAGGGGTGTTAGACAAGTGGATTCTTATCTTTCTCCCTTCTGTTCTTTCTCCTTAGGACCAGCTTTATCCAGGGACTCTACCATTCCCACCCCTTTGGCCCCACTCCACGACAACCACTTCCCCATCTTCTCCTCTATTCTGGTCTCCCCTGCCCCCACGCCTTCCCACCCAGCGTCTTCCCCAGGTTCCCCCACTACCTCTCCCTCAGATCCAGGCCCTCAGCTCAGCATGGGTGGTTCTCCCTCCAGGAAAGGGGGAGGAGGGACCAGGACCTGAGTTGCATAGCGGCTGCCTGGATGGGCTTAGAAGCCTTTTTGAGGGACCTCCCTGCCCCTATCCTGGGGCTTGGATACCTTTCCAAGTCCCTGGAACTGCCCACCCTTCCCCTGCCACCCCGTCAGGAGATCCTAGTATGGAGGAACATCTGTCTGTCATGTATGAGAGACTGAGACAAGAGGTAAGTCAGTGCAAAAGTGGCCTTCGTCTACAGTGGGAAGGATGTGGGTAATCCTTGGACGTACAGGGATAGTCAACTGGATTCTTTTTTGGAACCATGAGGCAGGCATAGAAATATATTATAAACATTTTCCTGAGAAAATGATGTTCCAGCCAGGCACGGTGGCTCAAAGTGCTGTAATCCCAGCACTTTGGGAGGCTTAGGCAGGTGGATCACCTGAGGTCAGGAGTTCAAGACCAGCCTGGCCAACATGGTGAAACCCCATCTCTACTAAAAACACAAAAATCAGCCAGGCATGGTGGCAGACGCCTATAATCCCAGCTACTCAGGAGGCTGAGGCAGGAGAATCGCTTGAACCCAGGAGGCGCAGTGAAAGGAGATATCTCCATTGTACTCCAGCCTAGGCAACAGAGCGAGACTCCGTCTCAAAAAAAAAAAAAAGAAAGAAAATGATGTTCCTCATTTTGGGTTAAGGGAGGTTAATCATGGGATGAGATCTTTCACTCCAAGATGGGAGTAAGGAGGCCTTAAAAATAGAAAACTGGGCCTGGCACATGGCTCACGCTTATAATCCTAGCACTTTGGGAGGCCGAGGCAGGCGGATCACAAGGTCAGGAGTTCAAGACCAGCCTGGCCAACACAGTGAAACCCCGTCTCTACTAAAAATACAAAAATTAGCTGGGCATGGTGGTGGGTGCCTGTAATCCCAGCTACTCGGGAGGCTGAGGCAGGAGAATCGCTTGAACCTGGGAGGCGGAGGTTGCAGTGAGCCGAGATTGTACCTCTGCACTCCAGCCTGGGCGACAGAGCTAGACTCCATCTCAAGCCTGTAATCCCAGCTACTCGGGAGGCTGAGGCAGGAGAATCGCTTGAACCTAGGAGGCGGAGGTTGCAGTGAGCTGAGATTGTACCTCTGTACTCCAGCCTGGGCGACAGAGCTAGACTCCGTCTCAAAAAAAAAAAAAAATTAGAAAACTGAAAAATAGGATTATCTTTTCTTTCCCACTGGGTTGATGCCATCTTCTTCCACCTAGCTTCCCAAGCTCTTCCTTCAGTCCCACGACTACAGTCTGTATTCCTTGGATGTGGAATTCATCAATGAGATCCTCAACATACGTACCAAGTGAGAATTGGGGCACAGGTAGGGCACTGGGGAGGAAAAGCACCCAAAGGTATATACATGACCCTTTTCACTTCCCAGAGAAGTTCCTAGACTGCTTCTCACAGCTGTTCCCCATTCCTTAGAAGCCAGTTTGGTTTTCTAATTCTGCCATCATGAGATTTCTTTCCCATCCCTTCTTCACAGGGGCCGGACATGGTACATTCTTTCACTGACCCTCTGCCGTTTCCTGGCCTGGAATTATTTTGCACACCTTCGTTTGGAGGTTTTACAGCTGACCCGCCACCCTGAGAACTGGACCCTGCAAGCCCGGTGGCGGCTTGTGGGGCTGCCCGTCCACTTGCTCTTTTTGCGGTTCTACAAGCGTGACAAAGACGAGCATTACCGGTAAGAGAGAAATGAGAAAGGACCCAAACTATAATCAGTTCCTTTTTTTTTTTTTTTTGAGACGGAGTCTCACTCTGTCACCCAGGATGGAGTGCAGTGGCGTGATCTCAGCTCACTGCAGCCTCTGCCTCCCGGCTTCCAGCAATTCTCCAGCCTCAGCCTCCTGGGTAGCTGGAATTACAGGCACACCATCACACCCGGCTAATTTTTGTATTTTTAGTAGACAGAGGGTTTCACCATGTTGGCCAGGCTGGTCTCGAACTCCTCACCTTAGGTGATCCACCTGCCTTAGCTTCCCAAAGTGCTGAGATTACAGATGATCTAGTCTCCCAGACAACCCTTGACCTATCCTCACTTGACTGTTTAAGGACAGGGATCCTGTTTAGTTTATGTTAATGTTAAAAAAAAAATAGAGACTGGGTATATTAGAAAAACCTCTGAGCTTCAGTTTCTTCCTATACAGTGCCTAGCACATGGTAGGTACTCAAATACTTACTGAACAGACTGGGTGTGGTGGCTCATGCCTGTAATGCCAGCACTTTGGGAGGCCGAGGTGGGCGGATCACTTGAGGTAAGGAGTTGGAGACCTGCCTGGCCAACATGGTAAAACCCAAAAAAATACAAAAATTAGCCCAGTGTGGTGGTACACACCTGTAGTTCCAGCTACTTGGGAGGCTGAGATGAGAGAATCACTTCAACCTGGGAGGTTGAGGTTGCAGTGAGCCGTGATCACATTACTGGACTCCAGCCTGGGTGACAGAGTGAAACCCTGTCACACACACACACACACACACACACACACACACACACACACACAAAAGTACTGAACAAATGAAAAGTCCTGTCTCATATGTTGAGCCTTACAACCTGGTAAATTTCCGCCTGGGAGTAGAATCCCAATAAATTGTTAGACTCAGCCACAAACATTGGATATAAGTTTTTAAACCAGCAGTTCCCAAACTGCTGCACAGTAGAAATGCCCAAGGATCGTTAAAAAATATTGACGCCAAACACTCTGATTTAATTGAGACAGGGCACAACCTAAGCACTGAGATGTTTGTAAGTTGCCCAGGTGATCTAATATGTAGCAGAATTTAGGGACTACTCGTTTAAACAAATGCTTGAATTCAGCTTTGGGACCAGTCACCTTCTCCCTCAGTAAGCCTCCCTCTATTCCCCAGGACCTATGATGCCTACTCCACTTTCTACCTGAATTCCAGTGGCCTCATTTGTCGCCATCGTCTAGATAAAGTGAGTCCTAGGTAGGGCTGGGTGGGGTAAAGGGTAGAACATTTGTGTGCCTCCCCCAACTGGCATTAACCTTTCTCCCTGCAGCTGATGCCTTCACACTCACCTCCAACGCCTGTGAAGAAGCTGCTAGTGGGAGCCCTGGTGGCCCTGGGGCTGTCAGAGCCAGAACCTGACTTAAACCTGTGTTCCAAGCCCTGATCCTTGACCTTGGAGTGGAGGCAGCACTGAAGACTGCTACGCCCAAGAGAAGGAGGTGGAGGCAGCCAAGAATCTCAGGAGCCAGCTTCCTCTCCTCGTTTCTCTCCTTCCTTCCTTTCCATCTCATGCTGTGTAAAGCTGCTGTGTAATTTAACTTGTAAATAATAAAGTTTAACTGACTATATGAGATAGAATTTCACATATCACTTTCTCTAGATCCCAAATGTTCCCACAAGCTTTATTCCAAAAATAATTTTATTTAATAGGTATTAAATAATGTATAGAAGGAAAAGGAGCTGGTGTCAGGTTCTGTTTACGTCCTTCTCTTACCCTAGCTCTTCTCGTGTTTTGCCTATTTTTTTGGGCATTTTCTTAGCATGGGGATCTTCTAGCTCCTTGGCCTTATAATAATGGGGAGCCACCTCCAGAAGCCAACTGCTCTCAATCTCCAGTACCTAGGAGAGAGAAAAGATCAATGGAGTTCCCTTCTTTCCAACATAGATCTTTTGTTGTTGTTATTTTTTTTTCTTAAATTGAAACAGAGTCTTGCTCTATTGCCCAGGCTGGACTGCAGTGGCGTATCATGGCTCAAAGCAGTCCTACTGCCTCAGCCTCCCAAGTAGCTGAGACTACAGGCACACATCACAGTGCACCATTAATTTTTTGTATAGTTGGGGTCTCACTATGTTGCCTGGGCTGATCTTGGCCTCCCAAAGTGCTGGGATGGTTTACAAAAATGAGCCACTATGCCCAGCCCCAACCTAGATCCTTATGTGTATGGTCAAAAGTTATCTTTCCTCTTTGACTGCAGGGCTAGGTGTAAAGGTGCCTGGCTCTATTATTATATACCCAAAGGGCAGATACACCTCTGTATGTTATTCAAGATACCAAATAAGCTATTCCCAAGAAAAGTCTAGAACAACATGCCAGGCACAGTGGCTCACACCTGTAATCCCAACACTTTGGGAGGCCGTGGCAGGCGGATCATGAGGTCAGGAGTTCGAGATCAGCCTGGCCAACATGGTGAAACCCAGTCTCTACTAAAAATATAAAATTAGCTGGGCGTGGTGGTGGGCACCTGTAATCCCAGCTACACTGGAGGCTGAGGCAGGGGAATCACTTGAAACCGAAGGCGGAGGTTGCATGAGCTGAGATGGTGCCACTGCACTCCAGCCTGGGCTACAACAGCACGGAACTCTCAAAAAAAAGAAAAGCCTAGAACATAAAGACTATACTCTGTGAGACCAGAGACTGCTTTGTTCATTATAGCCCCAGCACCTATACAGTAGCCATTCAAATATTTATTGAATAAGTGTCTAGTTCTCAGATCTTGGAAGATGCTGACACACCTGTTAGAAAGGATGTCTTTGGGCTGGGCATGGTGGCTCACACCTGTAATCCCTGCACTTTGGGAGGCCGAGGCAGGCATTTGAGACCAGCCTGGCCAACATGGTGAAACCTCATCTCTACTAAAAATAACAAAAATTAGCCAGGCCTGGAGGCTTGCGCCTGTAATCTCAGCTACTTGGGAGGCTGAGGCATGAGAATCTCTTGAACCCCAGAGGCAGAGGTTGCAGTGAGGCTAGATTGCGCCACTGCACTCCAGCCTGGACAACAGAGTGAGACTCCGTCTCAAAAAAAACAAAAAAAAACAAAGGATGTCTTTCTATTTTACCCTACCTTCCTCTTTCTGTACCAGTCCCAGCAACTTGAACCTGGGTTCTTAGCTTGCCAGGACACCATCTCTCTACATAGTCTCCACCTGCGTGGGCACAGGATGTTCTCCTCACCTGTCTCATGAACTCTTTGGTGGTCAAGACAAGTTCGTGGTAGAGCAGCCAGCGTGGCTGTTGCTCAAAGAGGGAGGAGTTGGGATGAATGAAGACTGTCTGCTGCTGTTTCACTGTGCGGTAGCCACTCCGAGTCAACCGTGCCGTGTGGTAAAAGTAACCAGCAGTGATGGCCTAAGGAGCGGGCAGGAAAGAAAATCAATGGAAAAGGCAGACATCTGGGGACCCTAAGAATGCACTACCTTTTTAGTTCAGGCTTCAGGAAAACTAGAGAGGTAAGGAATGCATGAAGAACTTCCCAGGAATGAACCTTCAGTGGTCTGGGGAAGAAAGGGCCCTGGGAGGACACGTCATACACAAGGGGAAGAGGGCATGCTCTCACGCTGGAGGAAATGCTGCATGCCCCCAGAGAAGCTTGCTCCTGGGAAGGTACTGGGGGTGGAAAGCAGGAGGCTGAAGAAATGCTGACCTTGCGTACACGGATATAGTCCCCCTGGCAGGAACTGAGACCAACTTCCACACGTTCCAAGAGCCCTTCCAGCTGTTCCCGCACATCCCGGGCTCGGCGCATCGATCTGAACTGTACAAAGTTCTCATAGCACCACTGGGAAGAGTAACCACTCTCAGCCCACTGGGAAGACAGTTAAAAAGAAAGGAGAGATAATTAAGTATACAGCAGGACTAAAGTCCCCCAGTGTCTCTCATTCCCACTCACCCAAGCCCAGTGACCTGTGTGTAAACATTTAGCAGAACCAGGTGGTCACCGCCAGGGAGAAAGAAGTTGACACGGGCATTGTCAGCATGGACGACCTTGTCCTTTGGTCGGTAGAAGATGGAGTTGTTGACAGAGAGCATGGCAGCCACTGTCAGGATCTCCTCTGAACAGCTGTACCTGGGACAGGAAGGGGAAAGCATGAGTTCAAAGCAAGACACATAGGAACAGATATGGTGGAGTGGGGAGTGATCACTGTGTGATGGATGTTTCCTCATGTGGGGAAGGCTGGTTGGCATAATGGCTACAAAGCAGCCAGCAGATAGATTCTGGCAGCAGCTTGGGGGTCAAGGAAGTAGGGGCCATAGATGAAACACAGTCACAAAGGAGGGACATCCATGGAGGCAGGAGCAGGAAACACCGGGGAATTCTGAGGCTTCTGCAGAAAGTGTGCATTCACTATGTGCATTTGGAAAAGATCTCTGACAGCAGAGGAATGGCATTTAAAGGTCATCCCTCCACAGCTACATCTAAATGTTCTAGTTGGAAACCTTAGGAACAAGTAAGTTCCTCAAGGGGCCGGGCGCAGTGGAATCAAGGATAGGATCAAGTGTCTTACCCTTGTGGGCCTCAAAAGGGGGCAATCAGAGTTATCTAATACTTTATTATGTGTTAAGGGATAGTATGATGAACAGAAAAAGACAGACAAAGGGGACCCTGGAGACAGAGGAGGCCTGGCCTGTTTGTGTGCTGGGGGCCCAGGTGGAGGCGAGGGCTTACTTCTCAGAGGCTAAGATCATTTTGGACAGCATGGGGTCCACCGGCAGCTCTGCCATCTTTCGACCAGACTAAGGAGAAGAGAGAGAGAGTTGAGCCCAGTCCTCCCTCAGGTTTCCCGCTACTACTACAGGGGTCCCTGGAGCCATCCTGACCCCTATCATCCTGCCTCCACCCATGCTGTCCCCCGACTCACCGTGGTGAGCTCCCCAAGGTGGTTGAGGGCTCCCAGAGCATACAGCTGCTCCAAAGCCAGCAGCAGTGTCTCATATGGTGGAGGGTCCAGGAAATCAAAGTGCATTAGGTCATGGATCCCTAGAAAGAGGTGTGATGGATGGAACAGAGTCCCTTCAAAGGACAGTGACTCCAGCCCCTCCCTCCTCTCTCAGGTAGCCCAATCACCTAAGCTCTTGAGCAGCAACACGACATTGCCCAAGCTGGTCCTCTGGATCTCAGGCACTGTGGTTTCCTCAAGCTCGTGCTGATAGGCCCAGGCGGTATACAGGCGGAAGCACTTCCCTGCAGCCACCCGACCTGCCCTGCCAGCTCGCTGATTGGCTGAGGCCTGGAAAGAAAGGGGAACAGGCTGGCTGACAATTTGGTCAGGGAAAAGAAAAAGGCAGTATTTATGCAAGAAATCTGGAAGGATGCAAACTGCTCATCCCGGTTCCCTAGGAAGCCCCCACCCTGCTTCTGAGTTGGACCTTCTCTGTGGGCCAACTCCACCTCCCCCACTCCCATGCATCCCCAGGCTGACCTTGCTGCAGGGTGTGACAGTGAGCGATTCCATGCCTGTGCGGGGGTTGTAGCTCTTCTGCTTACAGAACCCTGGATCCAGCACATAAATGATGCCCTCAATGGTGAGTGATGTCTCAGCAATGTTCGTTGCCACAACCACCTGAGTGATAGGATATGGGGTCACCCAGTGACCCCACCTACCTAGTTACCCAGAAAAAGTAATCTTGGAAAGTTAGGAGTAGTGAAGCAGTTGCAGTAAGGGGCAGGAGCTGAGGGAATTAGTAGTATCCAAGGTCAGGAGCAGGGGACAAGGCCAGAAGACAGGGGACAGGGAAGTGGGGGCTGGGAGTCAGCAGGGCCATAGGAGGAAAGGAAATGGAGAAGAGGATTTAGGGTTTTTTTTTTTTTTCAGAGATGGGAAATGGGGGTGTTCAAGTTCCTGCCCGATCCTCCCCATCACCGCTTTCGTCTTCACACAACACTTCCTGTAAGAGCCTCCTAACGTGTATCCCTGCTTCTGCTCCTAGCCTCTGTCACATGGCATCCAGGATGGTCCTTTTAAAATACAAACCTGTCACATCACTCCCCATCCTTCAGTGGCTTCCTATCCTACTCTAGAATTCAATCCAAGCCCCTTAAAAGCCTGGATCACCTACCCCAGCTGCCTTTCTGACCTCATCTGCTAGCACTCCACCACCTCCCTCACTCCTCCCACACACTGCTTTGCTCTGCCCAAGTAAGTGCACTCCTCACTGGATCATTTGCATCAGCTATTCCCTCTGTCTGGCATACTCTTCTCCCAGATATCAGCCTGGCTCCCTCCCTCACCTGGTTTGGGTCTCTATTCCACTTTCCCCTTACTGAAGAGGCCCTCCCTACACCCCAAGGAAAATACCTTCATGCCAGTCCTCACTCCCACCCCACAGAGTCAAGTTCCATCCTACTATGCTGCCTTGTATCTCTTCATAGCACTGGCCACAAATTGACAATATGTATTTATGCATCCACTGCTTCCCCGATAGACCACAAGTGCAAGTTTGTTAGGCTAAGGACTTTGTTTTGTTCATCACTGTATCATCAACCCCTGTGTACCTGACACACAGAAGGAACTCATTAAATATTTGTTGAATGAAAGTTATATCTCTGCTCAAAATCCTTTGACTGCTACTCAGCTGTCTAAAGTCCAAACTTCGCCAAGCACAGTGGCTCATGCCTGTAACCCAGCACTTTGAGAGGCCAAGGCAGGCGGATCACTTGAGTCCAGGAGTTCAAGACCAGCCTGGCCAACATGGCGAAACCCCATCTCTACTAAAAATTAGCTGGGTGTTGGCCAGGCATGGTGGCTCACGCCTATAATCCCAGCACTTTGGGAGGCCAAGGTGGGCAGATCACCTGAGGTCAGGAGTTTGAGACCAACCTGGCCAAAATAGCGAAACCTCATCTCTACTAAAAATACAAAAAATTGGCCAGGCGTGGTGGAGGGCACCTGTAATCCCAGCTACTGGGGGGCTGAGACAGGAGAATCGCTTGAACCTGTGAGGCAGAGGTTGCAGTGAGCAGAGTTGGTGCCACTGCACTCCAGCCTGGGCGACAGAGTGAGACTCCATCTCAAAAAAAAAAAAAAAAAAATTAGCTTGGGGTGGTGGTACACACCTGTAATCCCAGCTACTTGGGAAGCTGAGGCACAAGAATCACTTGAGCCTGGGAGGTGGAGGCTGCAGTGAGCCGAGATCTTGCCACTGCACTCCAGCCTGGGCAACAGAGCGAGACTCTGTCTCAAAAAAGAAAAATAAATAAAGTCCAAACTTTCCTGTCATCAAAGGCCCTCCCTAATCTTAGCCCCAAATTGTTTTTAGCCTTGTCTCCTACTCCTTCACCACATGAACCTCCCACTAAGCCTACTAGCTCACACTCTGACCTCAAACATACCTTGGGCCTTCCTCTGATGACTTCTCAGCCATTTTTCTTTTTTGAGATGGAGTCTCGCATTGTCACCCAGGCTGGAGTGCAGTGGCACAATCTCAGCTCACTGCAACCTCCTCCTCCTGGGTTCAAGCGATTCTCATGACTCAGCCTCCTAAACAGGTGGGATTATAGGCGCACGCCACCATGCCCTGCTGATTTTTGTATTTTCAGTGGAGGCAGGGTTTCACCACGTTAGGCAGCCTGGTTTCGAACTACTGACCTCAAGTGATCCGCCCACCTCAGCCTCCGAAAGTCCTGGGATTACAGGCGTGAGCCACCGCACCTGACCTCAGACATTTCTCTTAAAGGTCCATATCAAATCCCACCTCTTAGCACATCAAGGACTTCCCTTCTCCACTGAATCTACTGTGCATACTTTCCAGATCACATATTTGGCTCTCTCTTGGTTCACACCATATTTCTCCTCTCTTCAGTCCCAGGAACAAGGGACTGGCTGCTCCTCAGCTGTGTGCAGCAGTGCGCAGGACTCACCTTGCATGGGGCAGGCACACAGCTTTTTCACTACTAGTTGTGGGAAGCATAGGGGTGAAGAGTGTGGGTTTCTCCAACTGACCTTTCGTGCCCCAGGTGGTGTGGGCTGGAAGATACGGGCCTGCATGTCAGAGGGCAGATTGGCATAAATGGGCAGCACCAGGAGCTCCCGGATTTTGGAGCCCAGGCGGCGGCAGCGATCCTGGAGCATCTCACAGGCAGCCTCAATCTCCTCCTGGATAGAGGGTAGGGAGAGCAGCAGGGGTCCCAGAGTCACAGAAGGCCAACATGCCGGCCCTGTCTTCCCCTGGGATACATCATCCCCTCTCCCCACCATGTCAGGCACCTGTCCTGTCAGGAACACCAGGATATCCCCAGGGGGCTGGGTCACATGGATCTGCAACACAGATACTACACAAGCTTCCAAGTAGTCAGCCTCTGGAGCCTGGAGAGCAGAAAGAGATGGGGTCACAGGAGGGCCACCTGCTTAGGCAAACCTTTCCTCTCCTCCCAATTCAACATACACTTTATCCTAGTTCCCCTTTGAACCTTCCATTCCATCTTTCCCTCCACAGGATAACCTTCTCCAAAGGCCTCAGCTTTTCTGCCACAGACTTAAGCCCATCCTCCCTGAGGGGGCACCTTGGTGTAGAAGATGTCCACAGGAAACCTGCGTCCGGGGATTCGAAACACAGGGGCGTCATCAAAGAAGGTGGAAAAACGGGCAGTGTCCATTGTGGCTGAAGCCACCAGGACCTTGAGCTCAGGTCGGAAGCGAGCAACATCCTTGATCAATCCAAAGAGAATGTCTGTGTGTAGGGTCCTTTCGTGTGCCTCATCCACCATCACCACGCTGGGGAGGGAATAGGAGAGCAATGAGGGAAGAGCGCTAGGCAATGCAGTATCAGACACCAGAGTTAACTGGATGAGAGGGGAGTAATGGACACAAAGAGTTCAAGAATGACTGTTGACGGAGGGGGCTCTAAGGAGAAGTCAGCCATCCCACTTATGTAGAGCAACAGAAAGTCAGAGAAGGCCAGGGCCCCATGATCTGCAACCTATCCCAGCCTCAGCAGATAATAGGAGACAAGATGTAGAGGCTGCACACTGAGGCCAGGACAAGTTAGCCATACCCTCTAGTTCAGTCAAGAGTCTGCTTAGACTCAGCAGCTGCTCTTACTAGAAAAAGTTGAAGGATATGTTTTAGGCTGGGCATGGTGGTAGCTCACGCCTGTAATCCCAGCACCTTGGGAGGCCGAGGCAGGTGGATCACAAGGTCAGGAGTTCGAGACCAGTCTGGCCAATACAGTGAAACCCCGTCTCTTCTAAAAATACAAAAAAAATTAGCCAGATGTGGTGGTAGACGCCTGTAGTCCCAGCTACTTGGGAGGCTGAGGCAGGAGAATCGCTTGAACCTGGGAGGCAGAGGTTGCAGTGAGCCAAGATCGTGCCACTGCACTCCAGCCTGGGTGACAGAGCGAGACTCCATCTAAAAAAAGAAAAAAGAAAAAGTGGAAGGATTTTTTTTTTGAGACAGTCTTGCTCTGTTGCAGGCTGGAGTGTAGTGGCATGATCTCAGCTCACTGCAAGCTCCGCCTCCTGGGTTCACACCATTCTCCTGCCTCAGCCTCCCAAGTAGCTGGGACTACAGGTGCCTGCCACTGTGCCTGGCTAATTTTTTGTATTTTTAGTAGAGACGGAGTTTTGAAACAGAGTCTCACTCTGTCGCCCAGGCTGGAGTACAGTGGCACGATCTCGGCTCACCGCAAGCTCCGCCTCCTGGGTTGCGTTCACGCCATTCTCCTGCCTCAGCCTCCTGAGTAGCTGGGACTACAGGTGCCCGCCACCACGCCCAGCTAATTTTTTATATTTTTTAGTAGAGACGGGGTTTCACCGTGTTAGCCAGGATGGTCTTGATCTCCTTACCTCGTGATCCGCCTGCCTCTGCCTCCCAAAGTGCTGGGATTACAGGCGTGAGCCACCGCTCCCGGCTGATACGTTTTAAAGGAAAAAAAAAGTGGAAGGCAGGGTCCCTTTCAATAAGGGTGGGCCAGCAAGGCTGACTGGGGGTAATAGACCTGAGCTGCTGTGATTCAAATAGCCTAGAAGCTCCTGGTGTCCTGTGGGACAACTGCTGCTGGCATCATTCTTGACTGTTTCTTCTTTTGGAGACAGGAGCAAGTTAAGCCTTTCTACCTCAACTCTCACAGGACTCTGCATGCTCCTTGGTTTCCTCCTAACTCAGTTATGTGCATGACACCTTCTTTCTCTTTGTTCTTTGGCTTTTCTGGGTGGCAGCCAAGTCCCAGGAACTCATCCCCATCTTCCCCTACCCACCTCCCTGACCTCAACTCTTTGTGCCTAACCCTAACTGTGATGGTGAAGTCCCCAGCCATTCCACAAAGCAGGCTGGCTCGATGGGCAAAAACATCTGCATCAGACACTCTTGCGCTGGCTGGCTCTCCATGGGTTCTTAGAGATCTTTTGCAAGGGATATGAAGGATAAAATCCTATCTGTCCAATTGCTCCACTGTGATCTTCCAAGACCAGAAATTCACAGCCTCTGAAGAGTCAAAAAGGCACATATTGTTCAGCTGGCCTGACCCCACCCCCATTACATTCATGAATCCCTTTTCCCCCTCAACACATGTTCAACCAACCCCTGCTTGGCCATTTCCAGCACTAAGAGCTCATTATTCACAGACCAAGCTACCCAAGACTTGTGTGGAGGGCCAAGACCCAGAGTCCAACCACTCTGACAGGCCCTGCAATCTCCACCACTCTGAGGGTTACTCAGCCATTGGTATTGAGTTGGAATCTGTCTCCCTGTAACCTCCCCATGGCTCCTAGCTATGTCGTGTAGGGTCACATAAAACAATCTGATCCTTCTTTCCATGTAACAGCCTTCACATATTTAGAGGGAACCAGGATGCTTCCTGTTTCTCCCTCTGAGCTGAGCATTCCAAGTGTTTTCAAATGGTCTTCACACGGTATTTCAAGTCTCGGCAGCAATGCTCTGCTATCCTGGTTGTTTTCTAAACCCTGGAGATGAATGGGGAAAGAAGAGGCTTTCTCTACAATCTCTTCTGTCCTCCAGCCCCATCTCCGTGGTACCTGGAGGTCAGTTCAAGGACCATTTGAACCACAAAGATTCAAGAACGGGTGGATTAATCAGAAGACAATGGCTGAATTGGCTGGGTGGGAAGAAGGGAGAGAAAGGCCAGAGATTAGAGATACCTGTAACTCGCCAGGTCAGGCTCAGAGAGGAACTCCCGGAGAAGCATCCCATCTGTCATGTAGCGGAGGACAGTTCGCTCTGATGTGCAGTCCTCAAAGCGGATGCTGTAGCCAACCTGGTCAAGGGAACCATTAGCAACCAAGTGTGGGCTGGTGTGCCCTGAAAGGAACTTGGGGAAAGGTGAAGTGGGGCAGCACCAAGACTTCTGCTGTAGGGACCTGAGGGAACTGTAGACTGAGTCACAGACCCCAGACTCTACCCCCCGGTTCCCTAGAAATCTCACCTCATTCCCAAGCTTCACACCCATCTCCCGGGCCACTCGGGCGGCCACACTCATGGCAGCCACTCTCCGGGGTTGGGTGCAGGCAATCTTCATACCCTTGTTTGTATAACCCTGAATGACAAAGAAAAAAGAAGAAGTTTGCCCTTTACTAAATATGCACCCTGGGACCAGGTACATTTCAGAGAAAGAAGTTGTAAAAACCAGGCAGGAGAAAAGGAGGAAAAGACAGATGCTGAAAACCAGAAAAGAAGGGCAAATAGATAGGATGACAGACCTAGGGCCCTCAAAGGGGGTCCTCACCCAGCTCTGGGTAATTAAGTTCATGACTCTGCTAGACTTGAGCTGGAAAAGAACAGATTAGCTGAGACAGAGCCAGCTAAGGTAAAAAAGCAGGAAGGCTGGGCACAGTGGCTCATGCCTGTAATCCTAGTACTTTGGGAGGCTGAGGTGGGAGGATGGCTTGAGCTCAGGAGTTCGAGACCAGCCTGGGCAACATAGTGTGACAAAAAAATTAAAAATTCAAAATTTTGACCAGGCACAGTGGCTCACACCTGCAATTCCAGCACTTTGGGAGGCCGAGGCAGACGGATCTCCTGAGGTTGGGAGTTCGAGACCAGCCTGGCCAAAATGGTGAAACCCCGTCTACTAAAAATACAAAAAATTAGCCGAGCATGGTGGTGCATGCCTGTATTTCCAGCTACTTGGGAGGCTGAGGCAGGAGAGTCGCTTGAACCTGGGAGACAGAGGTTGCAGTAAGCCAAGATCATGCCACCGCACTCCAGCCTGGGCAACAGAGCAAGACTCTGTCTCAAAAAAAAAAAAAAAAAAATTTCAGGCCAGGCACAGTGGCTAACACCTGTAACTCCAGCACTTTGGGAGGCTGAGGTGGGCAGATCACGAGGTCAGGAGATTGAGACCATCCTGGCCAACATGGTGAAACCCCATCTCTACTAAAAATACAAAAATTAGCTGGGTGTGGTGGTACGCACCTGTAGTCCCAGCTACTTAGGAGGCTGAGGCAGGAGAATCACTTGAACCCAGGAGGTGGAGGTTGCAGTGAGTCAAGATCGCGCCACTGCACTCCAGCCTGGTGACAGAGCAAGACTCCACCTCAAAAAAAAACAAAAAATGTTTAATATGGGCATGGTGGTGTGCACCTCCCAGATACTCAGGAGGCTGAGGTGGGATGATCTCTTGAGCCCAGGAGTCCCAGGTTGCAGTGAGTCATGATGGTGCCACATCACTCCAGCTTGGGCATCAGAGCAAGAGCCTGTCTCCAAAATAAGGCAGGGGCTAGGCACAGTGGCTCACACCTGTAATCCCAGCACTTTGGGAGGCTGAGGTGGCTGGATCACTTGAGGTCAGGAGTTCGAGAGCAGCCTGGCCAACATGGTGAAACCCCATCTCTACTAAAAAATTAGCCAGGTGTGGTGGCGCATGCCTGTAATTCCAGCTACTCTGAAGGCTGACGCAGGAGAATTCCTTGAACCCAGGAGTCAGAGGTTGCAGTAAGCCAAGATCGCACCACTGCACTCCAGCCTGGGTGACAGAGCAAGACTCCGTCTCCAAAAAAAAAAAAAAAAAACTAACAAAAAGGCAGGAAAATAGTCCTTTAACTCCTTGTTTTTTGGCCACGTTGGAGCATAGGGAGGTCCACATTTATACACGCCCCACTCCACCTATCCATCTACCCGTCCTTCCAAATGAAATGAATGCAGGAAGTGAGAACAGAAATGTGAAAAGGGTATGGTCTTTACTCTCAAGAATTTCACAATTTAGTGGAAAAGATAGGTAAGTGACTACTAAAAATATAATGTAAAAGGAGCTCTGACAGGAATGAGGACATTGATGCCAGGTGCCCTGGCAAGCTGAAGGGTGAGATGACTGTACCTCCTCAAAGAGATACTGCGGGATCTGGGTGGTCTTCCCTGAGCCTGTCTCGCCTTCAATGATGAGGACTTGGTGATTTGCAATAGCAGCCAGGAGCTCCTCTCGAAATGGGAACACCGGGAGGCTGCGGCGGACGGCCTGGATGGACTCTTTCTGCTGGGCCTGAGTTGAAGTGGGTGGAGCTGACGGCTCCTAAGGAAAGAGAAGGAGGTGTGAGCTAAATAGCTCGCTACGGGTCTTCCTCAGAAAGTCTCCCAGCTCCCCTCTTACCTCATCACCCTGGAGCTGAGTGGCCCGGACAAACTCAATGGTCTCCTCCTCCTCCAGCACCAGTTGATACTTGGGCTCCTGAGAGGCAGCATCTCGGGCCCCAAACTTCAGGGACGCTGCCCCAAGCCGCGCCTCCTCCCAGCGCCGCTGCTCCTCCCCAGGGGCTCCTGATTCCTCCTCCACTAGATCCACAGCTCGGGCTGGCTACAGAGAGAGGGGATATGTGAAGACTCAAAAACAGGATGTCCTCTCTGCCCTCTCCCCTCTTCCCATTACTACCCCCGCCCACTGCCCATTGGGAACGGCAAGGCAAGAAAGGGGATGACCCACGTGTTGCCCAATCCCCTGAAGCCTTCCCCACAACTTGTCTTGGGGACCAAGGCTGAAGCAGACGCCGCTTCACCTCACCTGTCCTCGGGTTTCCTTGGGCATGTGGTAGCGATTGGTGGCCTCCAGCTTCTCCTGCTCCCCAGCTGCCCGGTACTCCCGGGCGAGATCCCGCACTCGCCGCTTATATTTGAGCTCCTGCCGCTCGTGCCGGCTCAGCTCCACGTCCCCAAAAAGGAACTCCTCATCAGCCAGCTCCGCCTCCAGGTCCTCAAGCTTCTCTCGCTCCCGCTTAGCCAGGTACTCTCGGCGAGATTTCTTCCGCAGCTCAGGGACCTGAGTTGGGAAAGGACAGTCGAATCCTCATCTTGCTGGAGGAGCAACCCCTTTCTCTACCAATCCCTACAAGGGAAAAATCCCCTGACAGGCAGGCATGAGAACCTCAGGATGCACCCTCTACCTTCCCTCTGCAATGCACAACCAAAACAATGACATACTCAAATCTGGGCCTCTTTGGATGCTACATGCTGACCCCACATCGTATCTTCCTGCAGCAGAATCCAGCTGGAAAGTCCTCTTAGGCAGCATTATCATCTTTGTTAATATAGATGCACTAGGGAGATGTCTGCGTAGCTTATATTTTACTCTTGCCATTTTATTCAA